>NC_000011.10:74389029-74692059 GCF_000001405.40 Homo sapiens
AGCCAATTGTGCTGTCTCTCCAAAAGGAAGGATGAAAGAATTCTGATTTAGATTATCCAGGGATTATCATTGAAATCTAAGCTAATGTAACCAGGTGTGATGGCTTGTGCCTGTAGTCCCAGCCACTCCGGAAACTGAGGTGGGAGGATCACTTGAGCCCAGGAGGCTGCAGTGAGCTATGATCACACTGCACTCTAGCCTAGGTGACAGGGTGAGACCCTGTTTCTCTACAAAACAAAACAAAACAAAAACCCTGAGCTAATGAAATATAATAAGATGTATATTCTTTTGTTAATTCAATGTATCTCACAAGTAAAACCTGGAAGAATCAAATGATGATAAATTCCTTTTTATTAGATTATCCATATTCTTTGATTTTTTTAAATAAGAGGAGAGGAAGAGACAGGAAAAATACTTTTTTAAAAATTTATTTTTTTTGAGATGGAGTCTCGCTCTGTCACCCAGGCTGGAGTGCAGTGGCGCGATCTTGGCTCACTGCAGCCTCCGCCTCCCGGGTTCCAGTGATTCTCCTGCCTGTCTCCTGGGTAGCTGGGATTACAGGCAAGTGCCATCACGCCCAGCTAATTTTTTGTATTTTTAACAGAGATGGGGGTTTCACCATGTTGGCCAGGCTGGTCTCGAACTCCTGACCTCAGGTGATCCGCCTGCCTTGGCCTCCCAAAGTGCTAGGATTACAGACGTGAGCCACTGCGCCCGACCGGGAAAATAATTTTAGATCAAAGACATATCCGAATAGGTTTCTAACGGCCTTGTAGAAAACTTGAAGGAACTGGCCGGGTGCGGTGGCTCACGCCTGTAATCCCAGCACTTTGTGAGGCCGAGGCGGGCGGATCACGAGGTCAGGATATCGAGACCATCCTGGCTAACATGGTGAAACCCCGTCCCTACTAAAAATACAAAAAAAAAAAAAAAAAAAAAATTAGCCAGGCGTGGTGACGGGCGCCTGTAGTCCCAGCTACTCGGGAGGCTGAGGCAGGAGAATGGCGTGAACCCGGGAGGCAGAGCTTGCAGTGAGCCGAGATTGCGCCACTGCACTCCAGCCTGGGCGACAGAGCGAGACTCCGTCTCAAAAAAAAAAAAAGAAAACTTGAAGGAAGTAAACAAACAGCTTTTATGAAAGAAAAAAAAAAAAACAGGGCAAAGAAGTCCCCCAAATAACAAACAGAAGTGCTAGTCTACCTATTTTGAAAACTGTCAGGTGAGACAGGAAGAGCTTTCAAATATGAATCACTCCTTTTCAAATATATCTATGGAAAAATTACTACACTGTGTAGTTTTTCCACACCATCTTCTTTCAGTAAGCAATCTACATTTAAGGTTTCTTCATCTTTTCACAGCTTGATAGCTCATCTCTTTTTGTGGCTTGACAGCTAATTTGTTTTAATCACTGAATAATATTTGATATGCAACAGTTTGCTTATTCATTCACCTATTGAAGGACATCTTAGCTGTTTTCAGTTTCAAGTACATTTTTAATTTGAAGAAATAAAAGTATAAAGATTTTTGGGTCAAGATGAAAGACTTAAACACTTGTCTCCCCTCCCTGAGAACTTATTACAGTGATAGTAAAGGAACGAAAGGACTAAACCTACAATGTAAAAAGAACTGGAGGAAGGGATCAGTGGGTACTGAAGAGTAGATGCAATTTCCACGTACAAAAAGTAGCATGAAACAAAGTGCAATAAGCCCAAACCCAAAATAACTTGATAACATGTACATTTTGTTCTATAATCAAAATGAAATCTTGTCTTCAACATGGATGAACTATGAAGACATTATGCTAAGTGAAATAAGCTAGTCATAGAAAGACAAATATTGTATGATGCCACTTATATGAGGTACCTAGATTAGTCAAATTCATAGAAACAGAAAGCAGAATGGTGGGTGCTAGAGGCTTAGGGGACGAAGAAATGGGGAGTTATTTAATGGGTACAGAAATTCAGTTTAGCAAGATGAAAAAGTTCTGGAGATCTGTTTTTCTTTCCTTAAGATCCATCAATTAATTGTTCAAAATGATGCCCCATTTTAGTTGGCTTCATTTTTAGACCATAACTTAACTTACTCAGCTTTGTCTTTCCTTGCTTATTTGGGTCCTTCATTCTTTCCTTCCCTCCCTCCCTTCCTACTTTCTTCCTGTTTTCCTCCTCCCTCCCTCCCTTCCTTGGGTAACTGCTTTTTCTTTTCTGTTCTTTTTTTTTTTAATGTTGTTGACCAGAAACAACACGCCATCTTCACCATATTACTAACATCTTCCAGCTTTTTACTATTTATGGCATAGATGCTGAATTCTTTTTCAAGATATATTTCTGGAACCCCAGTGTGGATCAGTACACTATTTTCATCTAGGATTTCTTTACATTGGATTTCTGGGGAAGTTACTCCACATCAACTTCCTCATATTTCCTATTTCCTTTTGCTATGTTTCCTCAACTTTAACGTCTATATTTTCTATTGCATTTGGCAGGGGTGGGGTGTAACGTTTTTTTCTTAATTTCCAAGAGCTCATTATTGTTTCCTGTTCCTTTTTCATAGCATATTTCCTTATTTGATGGAATAATTGTCTTATTTAATCAAAAAACATTAAGTTCTTGTGTTCCCTGACTTAACTCAGTTTTTTTCCTGTATCCATTGCTTTACTTATTTTTCATGCAGCTTATTTCCTTTTTATAGTTTGATCGTTAGTTAGTTATTAACATCAATAGATTTTTAGCCGCTGGTACCCAACATTCTGTTTTCTGTTTCTGTGTATTTGACTACGCTAGGTACCTTATATAAGCTGGTATGGGTTTTCTCTGTTTTCATGTATACAATATGTTTTCTGCCAGTCTCCTCTTAAATAGAATGGCCAGTTGGAAGCCCTGTTTGTTAGTTGCACTTATTGTCCTGCAAACTTTGCTAGCATTAATTATATTGTTTAAACTTTTGAAATAACTAATGCTAATAGCATAACTATCAAAATTTAGGAGACATAGAGAATAGTGAGTGAATTCCCATTTTTTATAGCACAGGGATATATTTGACAGATAATATCTAAAGCTTTAAAATACATCAAGAAATAGTGCTTCTAGTATATTACTTAGTCTTTTCATGGTAACCACAAAAATAACTAAAAAGAAACTTAAAATGACTTATAAGGAGCAAACTGAGGAAAAGAAGAGGCAGTTAGGATCATTGTTTTCCATTATAATCCCTTCTGTACTATTTTTTAAAATCATAAGCATGTATTTCTTCAAAAAAAATAAATTGCAAATAAAATGATGAAAACAGGAGAAAATGTAGGAAATTTGGAAGTATAAAGAAAAAAATGAATTTGAATTCTAAAAAGAAAAATTCAAATATTCATTTATATGTACTAAATTTCTTGGACAGAAGGAGAATACTGTGTTGCCAAGGAGACCAAAGCAACTGTTCAGCTCTTAAAAAAAAAAAATCCATGGCAATTTATTCTGCATAATATTACATCCTACTCCAGCTTTATAAAAGCCAATAAAATAGTTTTTTTTTTTTTGAGACGGAGTCTGGCTCTGTCGCCCAGGCTGGAGTGCAGTGGCGCGATGTCGGCTCCCCTGCAAGCTCCGCCTCCCGGATTCACGCCATTCTCCTGCCTCAGCCTCCCGAGTAGCTGGGACTACAGGTGCCCGCCACCTCGCCCGGCTAATTTTTTGTATTTTAGTAGAGACGGGGCTTCACCATGTTAGCCAGGATGGTCTCGATCTCCTGACCTTGTGATCCGCCCGCCTCGGCCTCCCAAAGTGTTGGGATTAGAGGCGTGAGCCACTGCGCCCGGCCAGCCAATAAAACAGTTTTAATGAGGGCCTTGAAACTTAGTTTATGTTGTCACTAACATTTATTAAACATTTGGTTTATGGAGTCTACCCTAGTGATAAGAATACAGTAAAAGTCAGATGACCTAGGTTTGAGTCCCAATTTTACCACTTAAAAGCCGTATCTCCTTTAGCAAGTCACTTTTCTTTTATGAGCTTAAGTTTCTTTACTTGCAAAATTGGGGATAACTACTACCTGCCTAACACACTGTTGCTATGAATAGCAAATGAGACTTAACAGCATTTTACCAAAGTTGAAACACTACAAAAATAAATTCAAGGAATAAGGACTAGCATTTCCCAAAAGTAATAAAGCCATATGTGTATACTGTGTACTCTTCATTGATTAAATGCCAAATTCAGTATTAGAAAAATGTGAACAAAAAATGTTATATAAACTAGTATTATAAAAATTGGATTGAACTAGGTGGCAGATCCAAGCTCCCATCTAAGCTCCCCAACTGGATAATGTCCACAATTTCTTTGGGTCTCTACGCAATGACCCTGGAGTAGACCACCTTTGTACAGGTATGTCATAGGTGTATTTCCCATCACATAATGATGACTTAAAAGGAAATTCACTCACCATCTTTTCTATCTGGGCTACATTAGGAGGCACAGAAAATCATGTGAGTGACATTGGAAAAAAAACTTCTACCATTAGACTAATGTGTGAATCACTGGCTTAGATTGAAGTATTTTATTTCCATTTTCAGGCTTTTTATAAGCCTACGCTACCTTGAACTTTACATGATACTCTTTCTCAACGCAGACCTACATTCTGAGACCACAGTGCTCTACTTGCTATTTCTTAAAATGCCGTGGCCAATTCCTGCCTCCACATCGTTGTTGATATATAGGAAGTTCAACACCTTTGTGACAGCTGCTATAGCAGGCTGAGCAGCTCTAGCCTGTGTCCCAGCTCTATTCCCCATCCAGCCACTGACCCCATCCACTTTGCCAGTGCCTAACATCTTACATATAGGACTGCTTTTAAAAAGAAAATTCACAATGGATAAAGAACAGGACATATTATAATGAGAGAACCTGCTTCTGGGCCAGCAAAACTGGTCTATAATTTGACAGAATGTAAGAAAGCACTGAAAAAAAAAAAACTAGGAAGGAGGTGAGTGACTTAGCCCTAGAGCATAGAAGGAGAGAGCACTGGTAGTAGAGTCATCTGTTCGCTGCCTGGAGGAGAAATGCCTTGATCTAGGACTTGTTGGGTTCTAATGGTAGGACAGTCCCATTGTGGAGATGTGTGCATTTACTTATTACAGGTTGATGCTGTTAAATGTTTGTGTCATATATCTGACTCCCTGTGATTTGATTTCATGACCACCAAAAATCTTCTTTTGACTTCTCCTATGGTGCATCTAGAAAATGCCCTGAATAGAAACAAATCTACTTAGCTATTACATCTGTACCATACATTAATAAAACATTCTGAATTCAGACATCAGTTTCTGTGGCATTGGGCACAGTGAGTACATCCTGAGACAAGGTAGGCTAACAAATTAGGCTGAAGGCTCAGGAATGGAAGGTCACATTCTGGACTTGTAAATTTACCAACAGAAAGCCACCCCTTAGAAATTACATGGAGTACCCCAAACTGCCCCAATAAACACCTGTCTTGTTGCATTGTTTTCTTTTTAACATTTACACACACACCTGTGTGTATTTAAGCCCTTCAAGACATACTAAAGCCCTTCTATGACCTGGTCTTTACACATCCTTCCAAAATTTTCTATGTACCCTGAGCAACAGCAGAAATAAAAGTTCTTAATACACACATTAAAATTTCTCTCTATGCTTGTCATAGTTCTCCTTATGTTAGCAAGTCTAATTTTAACTAATTCTGAAAGTTCAAGCACAAATAACATTTTTTCATAAAGACTTTTCAAATACACCAACCGAGACTAAGATTAGTAATTTTAGTGACCAACGCAAGTAGCAAATTGACCTCTAATCAATTTAAAACTTATTATATGCCTCATCTGAGTCATGAAGAATTGGTGGCATTTGGTTCCTTTTTTAATTAAATAGGTATTCATCAGGTGTTAAAATCAGTTTCTCTGTTAAAAGACTACATATGCCATCAATATATAATGTAAGAAATGCCATGAGTCTGATCTTATTTTACATTTCTGCACTCTAAATTTCAGTGCCCTGAGACAGTCTAGCTTACCTATAGTATCAATCTACAGTAGATACAATTTCTCCATTAAATGTATTCTCTCCTATTAAGAGAGGATCAATGAAGAAATTTATTATATTTATTAAATAATTAACAAATTACTTAATCTATTCCTCTGTTAAGGATACTTATTACTTGCCCCTATTATTTATGCTTTTCCTTCCCTTCTATTTTCTTTAAAGATATGATCCATATCTATTTCATCTTTCTATCTCTCACAGGTTTCAGCTAATGCCTTATATTCAGAGGCACTTTAAATACAAATTAAGAATTTATCTTCCACTTTCAATGAAGTTTTATCTTCATTATTTTTATTTTGTTTTATTTATTTTTGAGATGGAGTCTCACTCTGTCATCCAGGCTGGAGTGCAGTGGAACGATCTCAGCTCACTGCAACCTCCGCCTCCCAAGTTCAAGTGATTCTCTGGCCTCAGCCTTTGAGTAGCTGGGACTACAGGCACGTGACACCTCGCCTGGCTTTTTTTTTTTTTTTTTTTTTTTTTTTTTGTATTTTTAGTAGGGACGGGGTTTCACTATGTTGGCCAGGCTGGTCTCGAACTCCTGACCTCAGGTGATCTGCCCACCTTGGCCTCCCAGGGTGCTAGCATTACAAGCGTGAGCCACCGTGCCTGACCTCTCTTCATTCTTTTTATGTATCCTATCTTCTAATGAAGTCTTCCTTGAGCATCTCAGTCCACCGTTTACTCCTACTTTTGAACTGCAAGAACTGACTGCCTACAAACCATTTAATTGCCACCAAAACTACCCTAGCATTATTATTTTATGTGCATTTTACAGGTTTCTTTAATATTTCAGTATATCCCAACAATGTATAGGCATAGAATGGACAATCAATAAATATAAATTCATTCAAACAATCTTTTAAAAATAATTCAGGGGCCGGGTGTGGTGGTTCATGCCTATAATCCCAACACTTTGGGAGGCTGAGGTGGGAGAATCCCTTGAGGCCCAGAGTTCAAGACAAGCCTGGGCAACATAGTGAGACCCCATTTCTAAAAAAAAAAAAATTTTTTTTAATTAGCCGGGCGTGGTGGCATGTGCCTGTAGTCCCAGCTACTCGGCAGGCTAAGGCAGAAAGATCACTTGAGCCCAGGAGTTCAAGGCTGCAGTGAGTGCAGTGAGCGGAGATCGCGCCACTGCACTCCAGCCTGGACAACACGGTGAGACCCTGTTTAAAAAAAAAAAAAAAAATCAATCAGGAGACTCATTAGGAAAAGTACAGTTAAAACTGGCACCTAAAGAGAACAAAAAGTCTTGCTACTCCAAGTGTGGTCCACAGACCAGCAGCATTAGTATCACCTGAAAATTCATTCTTTTTTTTTCTTTTCTTTTCTTTTTTTGAGACGGAGTCTCGCTCTGTCGCCCAGGCTGGAGTGCAGTGGCGCGATCTCCGCTCACTGCAAGCTCCGCCTCCCGGGTTCAAGCCATTCTCCTGCCTCAGCCTCCCGAATAGCTGGGGCTACAGGCGCCCGCCACCGCGCCCGGCTAATTTTTTGTATTTTTAGTAGAGACGGGGTTTCACCATGTTAGCCAGGATGGTCTCGATCTCCTGACCTCGTGATCCACCCGCCTCGGCCTCCCAAAGTGCTGGAATTACAGGCCTGAGCCACGGCGCCCGGCCGGAAATTCATTCTTAGGCAGAATCCAAGGCCCCACCCCAGGCCTCCTGAATCAGAATTTGTATTTCAAGATCCCCAGGTGATCTATAAGCACATTAAGGTTTGAGAAGCATTAGTTTAGACTGTAGAGGAAGAATTATTCGTCCAATATACATATGACCAATTAACACCAAATACCTCATTGTAGTTGCTTATTTGTTGGTCTTCCTCATCTGCTAACTGAGGCTTGTTGAGGGCAGGAACCCTTTCTATTTTCCTCACAAGTATTTCCTGGGTCTAACAAGACCTAAAACACGCACTCAGCATTCAATATTTTTTTGCTGAATGAATGAATGAATAAAGTAAAAACAAAACTTTCAGAAAGTGAAGCCTTAAGGAAATTCATTTGTACAACATAATGTCACATACTACCATACAAATTCCTTAATTCAGTGTCATTAATTCCATTTTAAATGTGCTGCCTTCTCTACTTCAACAAAGGTATTTTACGCACTTGACAAAGCAAAAGCTTGGATTATCTTCCTCTGTTGGAGCTACCAGGGACCTCTTTTACAAGTAAGATAGCTGCATTTTAATTCTGATTGTCACAAATTCATCCCAAATGCCCGCACGAGGTTTAATTACCACCACAACTTGGAGGTGGGGGCGGAGGGTGGGTGGGGAGGTGTTGGTAGAGAAGTAATGGTTAAGGCAAAAACAATCCTGTATTAAGAGTACCACATGAAACCTGGAAAACACGATTCCTTGAACAGATTAATTCCAGAAAATAGCTGCCAGCAGGAGAAAGAAGAGGTAAGCGCCTTGCCTTTCCCAACAGCAAAAGGTGATACTAGACAATACCAGGGAGTGATAAAAGGCCAGCAACTACCTAGCGACAGAAGGAGGAAACACACCAGACCAGAACTAAAGCGGATAGCGGTTAGAAACGCCCAGTAAGGGTGCCAGAAACCACTTTCAGGTATGTGGAGAAGGAAGTCAAGGGAGAAAAAGGGAAAGGAAATCGTTGTTTAGGGTATAACTTACAATGATGATGATTTTTTTTTTTTTTTTTTTGAAGAAAGAGGGAAGACAGCACTTGAAAGGAAAGAGGGTAAAGAAGAGGAAGGGAGGTTACAATTGAGAGCACTGCAGAAGGAAGCGATGCAGATGTTGCCGCCCGGCTCTGGCAGTCCGAAGGAGCAACCCCACGCATAGGTGGGTGGCAACGCCCTGCTCCGCTGCCCCCCGCTCGGTGTCCCGAGCCATCTCCTCTGCAGCCCGCGGGGCGCTGGGTGGGCACAGGAAAGAGCAGACTGTGTGGGGGAGGCGACGGCGTTTGCCGGGCTGACCAGGTACCCACCTTATCCCAGCGGAGCCACTGCCCGATGGCCGTGTCCAGCTGAGGGTCCCCGGTGTGGTAGGGGGCGTGGAGCAGGTTGGAGTTCAGATCCCCCTCTGTGTTTTCAGCCATGGCGACCAGACAGGCGTACGGGCCGGGGGCCGGCGAAGACACTGAGTTGGGGTGGGGGGTGGCTTGGGGTTCGCTCACCAGGGTCCAGGCGTCCCCACCTCACTGAAGGGCATCGGAGACCAACCGCAGGGTGTTCGTAACAGCTCCTGCCGCGGCGTCAGGGAACCGGGAGAGAGGGGGTTTATGGCCGCCTGCTCCCCAGCGGACCAGGTCCGGGTCTCTGGGCGAAGTGACTGAGGCGGTCGCGCCGCGAGAGAACAACAGTCCCAGATGTCTGGGTCCTGGCTCCGCCGCCGCCGCCGCCGCCCGCCCCGCCTACGGCCCCGCCCCGCGCCTTAGGCCCCGCCCCTTCCCGCCCTTGCTGATTTAAGTCCCCGAAGTTCTAGACTGGAGCCCGGGAGCGCGCTCCCCACGCCTCCGAAGTAGTGGGGGTTTACAGCCCGTCCGGGTGGTGAGGCAATAGTGCACGGTTCTTTTTATTTTTTAATTTGCCAAGGGTCTCCTTTCCTCGATCTGCTCTCACGGCTACCACTAGCAAGCTGCCTTTGCGCTTGCCCTGCAGGTCCCCAGCGCGCGCGCAGGCCCCCAGTTTCTCTTGGGGGCACGCGCCGGTTGGGGGAGGAGGGGCAGTGCGAGCTGTCCGCGCACTGCCTCACGGGAGTTGTAGTTCTTTCCTTTGTCTGAGCTCAGCGGAGACCGCCGCCGAGACTACGACTCCCAGCAGCTCCGCGTTCCCCCTTTCCTCAAAAGAAAAAGATCTACCTCGAGGTAGTTCCCTACAGACACGCCCTATCCCTATTAGTTATGCTGCGCTGTGTGGCCCTGGCATTAAATTAAACAAGGAATGACATAGTAAGGGGACAAAGTGGTATCCGTTTAGTGCTGTGCAGTTTACGAATCGCGTTCTATCGCCTCAATCCCTCAGTAAGGTACAGGGGCGTAGTCCTTTTCCGTTTCACACACAAAGAAGAAACTGACTCCCTGAGACACCTCTCCTAAGAGGCCGAGTTCGTGAGCGGTCAAACTAGGGTTCCAATCTCATTTCAGATCCCCTCAGCTGGCAGTTATTTTATTAGGTCGGTGCAAAAGTAATTGCTGTTTTTGCCATTAAAAATAATGGCATTAAAAGTAATGGCAAAAACGGCAATGACTTTTGTACCAATCTAATATCTCTGCTGCTATAGTAAACTAGGAGGTAGGGAGAACAAGATTACTGGAAAATAGATAAGGAAGTTGTTGAGGGAAGATGGTCGGCATTTAACCTAAATATAAGAATGTATAAGCATCACAAGATACCAAGAGCAATGGTAATGGGAATACGGAGGAAAAGGAAATTGGTTCACCCAAATTGAAATAGTCTTCCGTTACTTCTTAGCCGTCTCTCCTATGGAAAGCTCACCTAAGTTGAGGTCTGGGAAATGCTGAGAAGTGCTGACCTGTCAGCCACCTAGCTACTCCTCCGTTTCTTGGTTTGGCCTTCTTAGAATGGCTATGATTTTGGGCAAGTACATTACAACTCTTTCCCTAGTCAGCTTTTTTGTAAGGAAGGTATGATAATATTTACATCATGGCTGTACAGTAACTTAATAAATGGCATTAGGCTGCTTTGAGGTTCACAGATAAAAGACATATTAAGTTCAAAGTATTACTTTATTTCCTTTAAAGTGCCATTTACCATAATAAAATTCAAACTACCAAGGTACAAAAGGATTGTGGTACCAGTTTCTGAAAAACGTGCCATAGTTGGGAGTTGCAGTTTTTGCTAACGATTGTTTCTTTTGTGGAGTCAGCAGGACTCTTGTTCTTTTAATCACACAAGGCCTGGGCAACAGTCACGTGTCCTGGAGAGAAATTCATCTTCCACTACCATCACCATTATTATCCATGATACATATTAAACATTTACTCTCTGCTAAGCATTATGGTAGGAGCTGAGGCTACAAGAATCTATATAATTGTTCACTTCGAGAAGTAACATCTGAGGAGACAGGATATATGTAAGAAAAGAAAGCCCATGATAAATAGCAAGTGCTGCCAACAACTGTTAATGAATTTACATCTGAGGTGGTCAATGAAAAAAGCATCAAGCAGGAGGGACCTGCACTGGGCTTTCAGAAACAAAATAAACAAGTTGAGAATAAGATAGAGGATATTTCAAACCCATAGATCAGTGGTTCTCATATCTCCCTAGGAGTTTGTTTAAATTAATATTCCTGGACACTGCCTCCAGAGATTCTGAATCAATACATTGGCATAGGGCCTAGGTACCTGCATATTTGAAATATCTATTGACTGTCACAATTCAAAGTGTGATTAGGAGGACAACTGTGCTGATGTCCTCTGGAAGCTTATTAAGAAATACAAAATTTCATACCCCAGTCCAGTTCTGCTGCATCAGAACCTACATTTTAACAAGATCTAATGATGAGTTATATTTAAATTTGTTAAACAGTGTTTTTTATAAGACAATTCTTATTCAGTTCATTTCTGAGAAACACTACCAAATCAACAGAGCTTTCAAGACATGGAAAAAAAGAGTCAACTAACCTTCACTTTTATCAGCAAGATCATAGCAGACATTTACTGCTTACCAGAAATCTTGCCCAGCGGATTAGATTTATTGTTTGGATGTTGGAGGGTAACCAAGGAGACCCAGAACCCATCAAATCCAACAGCAGTGTCTAAGTGTGTTCAGCAGAGGAAGTGTAGTAGTTCCCCTAGTCTGGGAAAGCTCAGAGCTTTCATTTCTGTTGGAATTTGCCCATGGCATCCTGCATTTTTATTTGCTAAGCCTGGCAACATTAACTGTGGTTATGAAAAAGAATATCCTTCTTGGTCCCCGTATACAGTCATACATTGCTTAATAACAGGGATGTGTTCTGAGAAATGCATCATTAGGTGATTCTGTCATCTTAACATCATAGAGTATACAAACCTAGGTGGTATAGCCCACTACCCACCTAGGCTATATGGTACAGCTTATTGCTCCTAGGCTACAAACCTGTACAGTATGTTGCTGTACTGAATACTGTAGGGGACTGTAACACAATTGTAAGCATTTGGATATCTAAACATATCTCAATATAGAAAAGGTACAATTTTTGGTATAAAAATTATGATATAAAAAATATAAAATGGCACACCTATATAGTGCACTTACCATGAATGGAGCTTGCAGGACTGAAAGTAGCTCTTGAGTGAGTAAGTGAGTGAGTGGTGAGGGAATGGGAAGGTCTAGGACACTACTGTACACTACTGTAGACTTTATAAGCACCGTACACATTAGCCTAGGCCTACACTGGGTGAGGATCATCAAGACATCAACTCAGTCATAGGAATTTTTCAGCCCCATTATAATGTTATGGGACCACCATTGTATATGCCGTTCTTTGACCGAAACATCCTTATGCAGCACATGACTGTATTATATTTACTACATATATATAATATAATGTTTCAAATATTACATATAATGGACCTAATATTTTAGAATCATAATATATATAACTTACCCTCCAATGATTTAGAAAAAGACCACGTGTATGTCTATACAAATATTTATTATATATGTATATATGCAAACATATATATTACATAGTTAAATGAATAGCAAAGGACAAAGCAAATGGAGGAAAATGTTAATAGTGGGTGGATCTGGGTAAAGAATATGTGAATGGCTGGGTAAAGAATATATGAATGGCTTACATCTGTAATCCCGGCACTTTGGGAGGCCAAGGCAGGTGGATCACCTGAGGTCAGGAGTTCAAGACCAGCCTGGCCAACATAGTGAAACCCCATCACTACTAAAAATACAAAAATTAGCCAGGCATGGTGGCAGGCACCTGTAATCTTAGCTACTTGGGAGGCTGAGGCAGGAGGAAACACTTGAACCTGGGAGGTGGAGGTTGCAGTGAGCCAAGATCGCACATTACACTCCAGCCTCGGTGACAAGAGTGAAATCTGTCTCAAAAAAACATATATATATAGAGAGAGATATATATTATGTATATATATTATATATATTTTGTATATATAATATATATAATGTGTATATATAATGTATATTATGTGTATATATTATATATTGTGTATGTATTATATATATTATGTGTATATAATATATATTATGTAATATGTATACATATGTAATATATATTTTATATATACATGTATATATTATATATTATATATATATTTTATATATACACTAATATATATTATGTATACATAATATATATAATATATATATTATATATTATAATATATATAACATATATTATATATAATATATAATATATGTTATATATATTATAATATATAATTCACAGATTTATACATATATCACATACATATAATATATGTATATATAATATATATTATATATATTATGTATACATTATATATATTAGTGTATATATAAAATATATATATAATATATTATATATATTATGTATCTATTATATATATTATGTATACATAAAAATATATATGTGTATATATAAAATATATATTATGTATATATAATATATATTATGTATATATAATGTGTGTATATATACATATATATGTATAATATAATATATAATGTATATATACATAATATATATTATGTATATGTATTATATATATTATGTGTATATATTATATATATTATGTATATATAATATATATTATGTATATATATAATATATATATATGGGTATTGTTTGTACTATTTTTATTTTTGTAACTTTGACATCATTTTTTTCTTTTCTTTCTTTCTTTTTTTTTGAGACTGGGTCCTGCTCTGTTGCCCAGGCTGGAGTGAGGTGGCGCAACCATGGCTTGCTGCAGCCTTGACCTCCTGGGTTCAAATGATCCTCCCACCTCAGCCTCCTGAGTAGCTGGGACCACAGGTGCCCGCCACCATACCTGGCTAATTTTTTAATTATTTCTAGAGACAAGGTCTTGCCATGTTGCCCAGGCTGGTCTTGTGTTCCTGGGCTCGAGCAATCCTCCTGCTTCGGCCTCCCAAAGTGCTGGGATTACAGGTATGAGCCACCACATCCAGCTGTGAAATTATTTCAAAATCAAAAAGTTTAAAAGAAAAACCTCTACTGTATAAGAAATACACATTTCTTTATTATTAACAAAAAATCTAGCCAAGTGTGGTGGCTCATACCTCTAATCCCAACATTTTGGGAGGCCGAGGTAGGGGGATCGCTTTATCCCAGGAGTTTGACACCAGCCTGGGCAACATGGCAAGACCCTGTCTCTGCAAAACGACAACAAAAAAATTTTTTTTTAGTTAGCCGGGCATGGTGGCTCATGTCTGTAGTCCTCGCTACTTGGGAGGGTGAGGCAGGAGAATCCCTTGAGCCCAGAAGTTCCAGGCTCTAGTGAGCCTTGACTGTGCCACTGCACTCCAGCCTGGGCAACAGAACAGGACCCTGTCTCTAAAAAGAGAAAAAAAAATTTAATTAAAAGACTGGAATTTCTCATTCTGTTAGGGCAGCAAGAATTTGAATTTTCATTAATATCTGGAATTTTCTTCCCCACCCAGGCCTTATCTGGTACTTGGAAAACAGGAAGGGTCTGTAGCTCGAGTTCATTAAGGTTTCTGCAAGCATCTGCATTGTCCAGAGCCGTAGTGGTCACTGACACTGGAAGTCTGACAGCTTTCTCCCTGCATGCCATTTGTAAGCAATTACCAGGAAACTTGGTTGAGGCTAGGAACCCCAAGCCTCTGTCTAGGTTTGCCACATAGCCATCCCCTCTAAAATCTTGCCCATTCCTTGAAATGCTACCACCAGGCAGAGCTCAGGGCCTCTCTCTCTCATTACCTGCCTACTTTAAGACTTTAAATCTTGACAAAATGTATCATTCTGCTCTGTGATTGCTCTGAAAAGAGAAGTATTTTCTTATTGCTCACAAACATATTTGTCATAAACTCTAGTAAACTCTGTTAAAAAGAGAGAGCCCAAAAAGGAAGTATCTCACAAGCAATTTTCTACTTTTAGCCTTCTTACATAAAAGCCTCGAGGCAAGGGGATACAACAAGAAGAGCAAATAAAAAGATGATTATCTTTGTGAAAGGGGGGATGGATGCAGAACATATGCAGGAATATAGTGAAGCAAGGCAAAGAACCCAAGGTGCAAAATGTGAGGAAGCCTTTGCGCTTAGGTTTGTGAAGTGCAGGGTTGGCACCTGAGAGTCGGTGCCTCATTACATTTTTTAACACTTCACTGAGATATAAATCACATACTATACAATTCAACCACTTATTTATTTTTTATTATTATTATTTTTTATTTTTTACTGCTCCTTGCAGAGCAGGGCTAACTCATAGGCAGTGTGCCCAGAGCCTGCCCAGTTCACCCATTTAAAGTATACAATTCAATAGTTTTTGTTACATTTACAGATATGTATAAACATCACTATAGTCAATTAAAACGTTCATCACCTTGAAAAAAAAGCCCGTACCCTTTAGCCATCAGCTTTATCACCCTATCTCCCCACTCCCAGGCCTAAGCAACCTCTAATCTACTTTGTGTCTCTGTGGATTACCCTGTTGTGAACATTTCATCTAAAGGGAATTATATCATATGTGGTCTTTTGTGACTGGTTTCTTCCACTTAACATGTTTTCAGGGCTCATCTGTGTTGTAGCATATACTTCATTTTTTTTTACAGCTGAATAATATTCCAGTGTATGCATATGCCGTATTTGTTGATCCATCCGTTGGTGGACATTTGAGTCATCTCTGTCTTTTGACTATTGTGAATAATGCTTCTATAAACATTCTTGTATAATTTTTTGTATAAAATGTTTTTGGCCGGGTGTGGTAGCTCATGCCTGTAATCCCAGCACTTTGGGAGGACAAGACAGGTGCATAACTTGAGGTCAGGAGTAAGAGACCAGCCTGGCCAAAATGGTGAAACCCCGTCTCTACTAAAAATACAAAACTTACCCGGGTGTGGTAGCTCATGCCTGTAATCCCAGCACTTTGGGAGGACAAGACAGGTGGATAACTTGAGGTCAGGAGGCCAAAATGGTGAAACCCCATCTCTACTAAAAATACAAAACTTACCTGGGTGTGGTGGAGCATACCTGTAATCCCAGCTACTCGGGAGGCTAAAGCAGGAGAATGGCTTAAACCCGGGAGGCAGAGGTTGCAGTGAGCCGAGATGGCACCACTGCACTCCAGTCTGGGCAACAGAGTGAGGGAGACTCCATCTCAAAAAACAAAACAAAAAGTTTTCATTTCTTGTCAGTATACGCCTAAGAATGGATTTGTTGGATCATATGGTAACTCTATGTTTAACCATTAAAAAACTGCCAGATTGTTTTTCAAAGTGACTGTACCATTTTACATTCCCTCCAGCAGTGTACGAGGCTTCCAATTTTTCCACAGATTTGCCAATGCTTGTTATTATCCGACTTTTTTATTCTAGCCATTTTAGTGAGTGTGAAGTGGTATCTCATTGTGGTTTTGATTTGAATTTCCCTGATGACTAAAGATGTTGAGTATCTTTTCATGTGCTTATTGGCTACTTCTATATCTTCCTTTGAGAAGGAAATTAACATATTTTGTCCACTTGTGATTGGTTATTTGTCTCTTATTGAGTTTAAATGTTCTTTATATTTCTGGATATATGTCCCTGATATAGGTCAGATATATGACTTGCAAATACTTGTCCTCTGTGAATAGAGATTGTTTTATTTCTTCCTTTCCAATCTGGTCGCCTTTGACTTCTTTTTCTTGCCTACTGGCTCTGGCTACCTTCAGTACAGTGTTGAATAGAAGTGACAAGAGTCGACATTCTTGTCTTGTTCCTGATTTTAGGGGGAAAGTATTCAATCTTCCACCATTAAGTATATGTTAACTGTGGGGTTTTTTGTAGATGCCCTCATCAGATTGATGAAGTTCCCTTCTGTTTCTAGCTTGTTGAGTGTATTTATCGTGAGTGTTGGATTTTGTCAAATGCTTTCCCATATCTATTGAGATGATCATATGAGTTTTTTAATTATATTGGTATGATATAATTAATTACTAATTTTGGGAAATTAAACCAAACTTGCATCCCACTTGGTCATGGTGTATCATTGTTTTCATATGTTTCTGGATTTAGTTGCTAGTATTTTGCTGAGGATTTATTTGTTCATACTCAATGGAGATATTGGTTTATAGTTATCTTTTTTGTGATATATTAGTCTGGTTTCGATATCAGAGTAACACTGGTCTCACAAAATGAGTCTGGAAGTGTTTCCTTCTTCCTCAATTTTTGGAAGAGTTTGTGAAGAACTGACATTAATTCTTCCTTAAATGTTTAGTAGAATTCAGCAGTAAAGCTATCTGGACCTGGACTTTTCTTTGTGGGTAGTTTTCTCATTATTAATTCAATCCCTTCATGTGTTATAGATCTCTTCATTTGTCTATAGCCAATTTCAGTAGTTTGTGTCCTTGTAGGAATTTGTCCATTTAATCTAAATTATCTAATTTGTTGTCATACAGTTGTTTACAGTGTTCCTTTATAATCCTTTTTATTTCTGTAAGGTGAGTAGTAATGTCCTCTTTCACTTTTTATTTTAGTAATTTGAGTCTTCTCTCTTTTTCTTGGTCAATCTAGCTAAAGTTTTATCATTTTTGTCAATCTTTCAAAGAACCAACTTTAGGATTCATTGATTTTCTCTACTGCTTTTCTATTTTTTAATCTCATTAATTTATACTCTAATCATTATTATTTCTTTTATTCCAGTTTACTAATTCTCTTTCCAGCAGCATATAAGTGACTAAACTGACCCCTTGGTTTTGTTTGTGTGCATGTGCATATTCCAATGAAACTTTATTTGCAAAAGCAGGTGGCAAGCCAGATTTGTCCCATGGGCCACAGCTTGCCCATTCCTAATCCAGAGTAATGGTTCCCAACTCAGGATGCACATCTTTTAAAGGAATCAACTGCTGGGCTTCACTCCCTAAGATTGTGATTTAACTGATCTGGGTTGGAGCGTGGTCATCCGTGGGGTTTTTTTGTTTGTGCTTGGTTTTTGTTTTAAGCTTTCCCATGGGTTTCCAATGTGCAGCCAAAGCTGAGAGCCATTTATTTAGAGCAGGGATCTGATATTTGGGTTGTTTGTCTTTAAATCAACAGAATGTTATTATCTTGGGGTTCTGGAGGCCAGAAGTTCAACGTTAAGGTGTCAGCAGGACCAAACTCCTTTGAAGCCTATGGGGAAAATCTTTCTTTGCCTCTTCCAGTTTCTGGTAGCTCCAGGTGTTCCTTAGCTTGTAGCTGCATAACTCCAATCTCTGCCTCTATCTTCACATGACCTTCTTCTCCTCCAACTCAGAAATGGCCAAGTGGAAGAGGTGCATAGGGCAAGGTGTGGGAGCACGGGTGGCACGGAGCTTCCGTGGCTTCTCAGGTCACACCACCCTCCTAGCAGCTCAATGTGTTCCACCAATCCAGAAGCTTTACTTCTGGGTTTTTAATTAAGGTTATTGTATTTTCTATTTCTAGAATTATTTTAGATTCATTTGTAAATTTACTACAGCACTTTTCATAGTTTCCTATTCTCTACAGAGATCTTCAAACTTGTCTTTCACTTTTTAAACCTATAGCCAGCCTCGTTGTTTAAAATCTAAAATCTTTATGAGTCTGTTTCCCTTGTCTAATGTTTTTGCTAGCTCCTGCTCTGCAGTCTGGTTTCTTTGCGAGCCGTGTGTGTGTGTGTGTGTGTGTGTGTGTGTGTGTGTGTGTGTGTGATGGACATTGTATTTGAAAAAATATTTGTGGGAATAAATTTAGACTTGCAATGAAAGTTCTGTAGAGAGGATTTGCGTTTGCTTCTCTTTATAGAGAAAGTTCTTTTCTCTAGAGAGGAATTGCCAAGTACCTGGTAGTTCAACTATTTTAAGGCTTGAAATTATCTGGTGCTCGGGTGACCCTATGTTGGCTGTAATTCTATGTAAAATATTTCTCTTCTAGTTTATAGTTTACTTGGATTGCATAGCTCTTTGGGGTTCCAATATTGTGAGAAGTTTCTCCTGTTAGACCCTCAAGCTTACGCAGACCTTGGCTTTATTTTCTGTCTTGCCCGTGACAGTTTTAAAATTAAGGTTCAAAATTTTCAAGATTGGCAAATACTCTCAGGGCAAAAGCCACGTCTTGCACAGTTACATCTTCGGGATAACATTTTCCTTTCATTTTTGGCCTGGTAATTTTTTACTGACTTGTCATTTCTTCTTTGTGATTTAAAAGAAGGTTAAAATAATAACTGAGCTTTATTATTTAGTTTTAACAAGAAGGTTAATACAAATAACCTCATCTGCCATTTTGGGAACACTATACTATTTTGATAATCATCTTATGGCTGTAAAATATTATGTCAAGTTGATCTACCATGGTGTTTTTTAAAAAATTATTCTCATGTATAGGTTTCTTAGCTTGCCTCCATTTTTCCTATGTAAATAGCAATAACATTGAACGCCTTTGTGAATAAAGCCATTTTTGCCTTCTGCAGTATTCCATACCTAAATCCTTTAGAGTACAATTGCTGAGCAATGTACTATAAATGTTTAGAGGGTTTGATTCCTAAGGGTTGAACTAATGTCTTATGAATCAAATTGTGTGATCTTCATCTTTTTAGTTCCGTCATAGTAATATTAATATTTTTAAAGACCAAGTCCAATAAACCAGTCTTGGTCACCTGATTAAGCAGTTCTCAAGCAGAAAATGAACCTTTATGAGTTTTCTTTTAAAATATTAACTCTTTTATGTAAAGTATTTAAGTTCAATTTAATGTGGCAAATACTTGTATGTCTGTCATGTTACATCTTTCTAGGTGTTTCAGATTCAGGATAAACAAGATAGACAAGCCTTGTTCCTGCCCTTAAGAAGCCCAGGACGAGGAATACAGACAAATAACACATTATTGAAATGCCCTGATAAGTGCTTTTCATAGATAATACTATGGAATTACAGAGGAGGGGCACTTAATCCAGACTGGGAGGGGCATAAAAGGTATCCTTGAAGAAATCATAGCTAAACTTGGTAAGTCTTGAACTTGGGTGGCCTGCGTTCTCCAACTTTGTCCTTATTTTTCAAGATTCTTTGGGTTTTCTAGGTCCTTTGCGTTTCCATATAAATTTTAGAATAAACTTGTTAATTTCTACCAAAAAAAAGCCTGCTAGGATTATGATTGAGATTATGTTAACTCCCTAGATCAATTTAGAATTAATTGACATCTTTAGAATACTGAGTTTTCCAATCCATGAAAATGATCTATGTCTCTAATTTAAGAAGACTTTTAATTTCTCTCAGCAATGTTAATGTAGGTTTCAGTGCAGAGGTCTTATAAGTCTTTGACGTATTCCTAAACATTTTGTTTTTTTATGCACATGTAAATAGTTTTATTTTTATAGTTTAACTTGGAACTGAAGAACAAATAGGAGTTAGGAAAAAGGAATATGGCATGCTAGGCAAAGGAAACAAAACAAGAAGGATATTTGTGTGCTGAGAGCTCAATATTACAAATGTCTGCTACAAACCTCTTTTATCATGCTGACATGGAAGAAATATTGCTGAGGTGAGTAACAAAAACAACAAAGAAGGCATATTCTTCTTTTTGAATTCCAGGGTCTACAACTATACACCTAATAATACTATCTAGTAGTATCTATTAGATTGATATGATTATCTAATAATAGAGCAATAATAACTAATAAGTTGCTAAGTTAGTTTAAGCCCTTTCAGGGCAGAATAAAGTTGGAGAATTTACACCATCTGACTTCAAGACTTATAAATATGCAGCAATTCAGTGTGCAGTATTAGTATTAGGATAGACAAATAGATCAATGGAACGGACTATTTCTGCGGGCCCAGAAGTAGACCCACATTCATTTGATTTTCAACAAAAGCATCAAAGCAAGCCAATGAGAAATGGAAAATTCCTTCAACAGGTGATATTGAAAAAACAGAATATACATCTGGAAAAATATCAACCTCAACCTGTATCTCACACCAAATATAAAAATTAATTTTAGCCTGGGCTGAGTGGCTCAGGTAATCCCAGAACTTTGGGAGGCCAAGGCAGGAGGATCACTTGAGACCAGGAGTTCAAGACCATCCTGGGCAACATAGCAAGACACTCTCTACAAAAAAATCTAAAAATATATATATATATTAGCTGGGCCTGGTGGTGCACCTGTAGTCCTAGCTACTCAGGAGGCTGAGGCAGGAGGATTGCTTGAGCCCAGGAGTTTCAGGCTGCAGTGAGCTATGATTGATTGTGCCACTGTACTCCAGCCTGGGTGACAGAGTAAGATCTCATTTCTAAAAAAAATAAATAAAATAAAATAAAAAAATAAAGCTATACAGCTTCTAGAAGAAAACCAAGTAGAATATATTTGCAACTTGGGAATAGGTAAAGATTTCTTAGGATAGAGAAAGCATTAATCACAAAAATATAAAATTGATAAATTAGTTGTCATCAAAATTAACAACTTCTGCTTATCAAAAGACAGTCTTAAGAATCTAATTTGGTAAGCTATAGGTTAGGAGAAATTGTTTTCAAAATATATATCTGATAAAGAAGTAGTATCCAGAATATATATAGAATTCCTATAACACAATAATAAAAAGACAAAAACGAACCCAAAAAATCTACCGTTTTTTAAACTGCAAATGACAACACAAACTTAATCTAGCTTAAGTAGAAAATTGAGTTTTGGTACAACAATGTGAATGTACTTAATGCCACTGAACTATACACTTATTTTCAAATATCTATTTTTATATATAATTCAAAATTTAAAAAATTAAATGTCTTGGCATATGTACTGAGAAAGTCAGGAGTGGAGCCAGCTTCAGGGACCCCTGGATCCTGACATAAGGACTCTGTCTTCACCTTTCAGCTCCACTTCTGTTTCCTCCCAACCTCCCTTACTTATTTTTCAAAATAAGACAGTTGTGACTACATAGAGCTCTAGGCAAACATCACCCCAGCTAGCAACCCCAAAAAGAAAGACAAGATTTATCTCGCTGCTTCAGTAGATATAAATTTCAAGGAATAATTGGCCCAGATCGGGTTATGAGCCCACTACCCCTAAGGCCATGCCAGGAGGGTAATATGTTGAACCACCCCATAAAAATCACATAAAATGAATAGTTAAGGAACCTTTCCCCAAAGGAAGAGCAGGGTTCTGTCACTGGGAGATGAAGAAAAGGGATGCTAAACAACCAAACAAACAGATCCCTTTAATAATGACTTGTTATCTATTCCTTGACTTTAAACAAATTATTTACCATCTGCCAGTCATTTTTCTCAATTCTTTCTGAAAAAAAAGATCATTTATTTATTCAGCAACTTTATATTGTGCACCTACTGTTGTGCTATGCACTGTTCTAGGGATGAGAGAGAAGAATGGTAAATAGACAAAGTTCTGGTACTCTTGTAGCATGAATGATTTTCCCACTTATAAAAGCAGTATTTGCCAGCTCCACATCTTGGCATTTCCAAACATCACCAGTAAAGAAACTTTTTTTCTCTGTTGAAAGAAAAAGTTAAGTCTACTACATTTGGAAGGTCAAAAATAACCTTTCACTTTTAGGGAAAAAGTATTCTGTACCTAGAGCCACTTAATATATGTGTGTCATTCTAAACTTTGATTTCTCCAGTTTTTGTTCATTTTCTTTTCTCTCTGTTTTTTTTTTTTTGTTTTTTTTTTTTGAAACGGAGTCTTGCTCTGTCCAGCCCAGGCTGGAGTGCAGTGGCGGGATCACGGCTCACTGCAACGTCCGCCTCCTGGATTCAAGGGATTCTCCTGCCTCAGCCTCTCTAGTAGCTGGGATTACAGGCCCCCGCCACCACACCTGGCTAATTTTTGTATTTTTAGTAGAGACGGGGTTTCACCATCTTGGCCAGGAGCTCTGGAACTCCTGACCTCGTGATCCACCCGCCTTGGCCTCCCAAAGTGCTGGAATTACATTCGTGAGCCACTGCCCCCAGCCCATTTTCTTTTCTGCATACCTGATAGCTCATTTTGAAATTGTTGCTTTCTATTTTATTAAATGTCTGTGTTTGTGGATGCTAGATGACTATACTATGCTGTTGTAGGTTATCTTGCTTTCCTATAATTCTTGTGTGTTTGTGTGTGTGTTCTATTTATTCAATAAAAGAACTGGTAGCCTGTAGTCAATTTTCTATCCCTAATAGTTTTTCATTTTCTGATGAAATCCAAGATCGCTTTTTTATTATAATGTGTAGAAGACATGGCATATTGTAGACAAAGGGAAATTGAATCTGCTGGAACCAGCTCTTGGTGAGAAACTATGATTTGATGATGATGTTATATCCTCAGCTAAACGCTGGAAATTTTCTAGGATTAGAAGAAAATGACTCATTCTGGACTTGCAACAGGGAAAAAACTACATTATTTGGTAAGGTGAGGACTAAAAGATATGATTTTCTGTGGATTTTATTGTTTAAAAATACTATGCAAATCATAACTTGGAACAAGTTATAATATACTCATATATACATAGATATGGGTATAGATATAGATAGTATTTATACACATATGAGTTTTATCTTTACTTTTTCTGCCCACCCTTTAGTTAGGAATATTAGTGAGGAGTGAAATGACCAAAAGTATGTATCAATCTTGATAGCATTCAGCTGCATGTGACTAAAACAAAACTAAGCGGCTTAACAAAGAGATGTTCATTTTCTTTTCCAAATAACAAGAAGTCCCAGGGAAGGCAGACCAAGCGTAGGTAGTCAAAGACGTCATCAAGCACCCAGCCTCCTTTTATCTTTCTGCTCTTTCTTCCTTAACGTGGTTCTCACCCTCATAGTCAAAAGATGACTGTGCCACATTCCACATTGTACCTGAATTCTAGGCAAGAGGAAGGGGGAAGGGCAAAGGGCAAAAAGTTCACTTCAGCCAAGTTCGCCTGCGCCCCTTCTTAAAATGAGGAAAGCAGCTGCCGCTTTCCCACGCTCCGCCCCGCTCTGCACCCCCCGTAGACTTTTTCTTACATCTCACTGGCCAGAACTGTGTCCTATAACCACTCCTGGGAAATCAAGTTTTTGGCTGCACATGCTATTGCCTTGAGCAAAACAGAAGTTCTGATGGTAAGAAAAACAGGAATAATGGATATTAGGTAGGTAATTAGCAGAGCTGCCACAGGTGGCAATAGGGGGGAAAAATGCAGCTCAAGAGCTAGAAAATACAAACCATATAGTGTATAATTAAGAATTTACCATAGTAACTTATTTAGGAACTATAGCATGTATCCCATAAAGTTACTGAGCATATCTGCATAATTTATCCAACACTTAGATCAGTGCCTAGCCTGGTCCTGTTGCAAGCACAGCAGTAGATTTCAGTCTAGCAGTGGAAGCCCTGATCAATTACCCTCCCTAGAGTCGAAAGTCTTTGAGGTGTATTCTCAAGGCTGACACAGCATCCAGAACTCCATATTCTCCTTTCTTTCTTCCTACATTTATGGCTGTTCCTATTTTCATTGCTAACTTTTCTTCTATCAGCCCCTTATTTAAATGTTGGTATTTTTTGGTTCTTTCTGAAGCGCCACCACCCCCAACGGCTTTTTTTTTTTTTTTTTTTTTTTGAAACGGAGTCTCGCTCTGTCGCCCAGGCTGGAGTACAGTGGCGCAACTCGGCTCACTGCAACCTCCACCTCCCTGGTTCAAGCAATTCCCCTGCCTCAGCCTCCCAAGTAGCTGGGACTACAGGTGCCCGCCACCATGCCCGGCTAATTTTTTTGTATTTTAGTAGACACTGGGTTTCACCATGTTGGCCAGACTGGTCTCGAACTCCTGACCTCAGGCAATTCGCCCGCCTTGGCCTCCTGAAGTGCTGGGATTACAGGCGTGAGCCACCGCCCCCAGCCTGAAGCCCCTTTCTTAATCTTCACTTTAATCCTTGGTAATTTATTATAGTCCAGTGGCTTCAATTACGAATTAATTGATGATGTTTCTCAAACCATAACACCACTTTGTCTTCTGACCTCCCAACCCTATTAGCTGTTTTCACTTGGATATCTCATAGACCAGTATTAGGTATTCTTTTTAAAAATTATTTTATTTTTAAGTATTTATTTATTTATTTAAAGACCGGGTTATGAGACTGGCTCGTTTGTATTTTTGGTAGGGGTGGGATTTCAGTATGTTGCCCAGGCTGGTCTCGAACTCCTGGGCTCAAGCAGTCTGCCTGCCTTGGCCTCCCAAAGTGCTGTGATTACAGGCATGAGCCACCGCACCCAGCCAATATTAGGTGTTCTGACTCCGTTATTCTAATACTACCATTTTTACACCTCTGTTTCAATGCTAAGGACATGCTAAGTATAAACAGTTTCATCAAAATTAGGTCAATATTGATGAAGAAAAGGCTTTATGGAGTAACATCTAATTATTTAATGCCATGATAAATTTTGTGTTTTAAACTATTTCCTTCAAATTTCCCCTTTTATTTTTTAAAAATTATATTTGAAATAAGTTCCTCTGTCTTTACACTTTACAACGCAGGTTTGATTCATTGATCATATTTTGTTCATATCAAATGGACAAGAAATCCATTCTGCATCACCATTGTGCACTTTCTTTTGTGGTCACTATTTTCACAAAATCTAATTTTTTTCTGGAGTAGTTTTTAAATTTTTTTTTATTTTTGAGAAACAAATAAGTTGCAAGGAAAAAATAGGGAGAGAGAAAACTATAGATCAAAAGAGACTTAAGAAACATGTTAACCAAATGCAATCTGTGGATCTTGTCTGATCTTGATTTGAACAAATCTACCATCAAAGAAAATTAGGAGACAATCTGGGAAATTTGAACACTGACAGAATATTTAAGGATATTAATGAGTTACTAATTTTTGGTATGATAATGGTATTTCATTATATTTGTAAAAGAAATATGAGGTCTTGGATTTGCTTCAAAATATTCTGGAGGTAGGAAAAGTGGGTGTGCGTATAGGTGAAACAAAATGGCCTTGAGTTAGTAATTGTTGAAACTAAGAGAAAAGTACATGGGACTTCATAACATTAGTTTCTGTACTTTTGAATATTTTGAATTTTTCCATAATAAAATGTGAGATACATAAATAAGTCCTGTGAAGCAGATTTGTTTCTCTAAAAATTACAAATTTTACCATGTGCAATTTTAGCCATCAGTTTTATTTGGTGTTATTTCTTTTTAAAAAATATTTATTTTATTAATTAGTTTATTTATTTTGAGACAGAGTCTCACTCTGTCGCCCAGACTGGAGCACAGTGGTGCAATCTTGGCTCACTGCAACCTCCACCTCCAGGGTTCAAGCGATTCTCCTGTCTCAGCCTCCCAAGTAGCTGGGATTACAGGCATGTACCACCACGCATGGCTAATTTTTGTATTTTTGGCAGAGACAGGATTTCGCCATGTTAGTCAGGCTGGTCTCAAATTCCTAACCTCAAGTGATCCACCTGGCTCGGTCTCCCAAAGTGCTGGGATTACAGGTATGAGCCACCACACCCAGCCTTATTTGGTGTTATTTCTATCAGTAATGTTTCTTACAAATTGGATAGAAAACTGATCATTTGTATTCATTTCTTAGCTATCCAGGAAAAACTTGTGAGAAATTTTGTTAGGATGTTTCAGCTGCAAGTAACAACAAACCTTAACTCAATTGGTTTCAACCATAGAGGAATGCACTACTTCCCATAACAAGAAGTTCTACATTGGGACCACACCACTCCAGGATTGATTCATTCAATGGCTCATAAATCTGCCATCCTCAGGACCCAGTGATGTCCAAGGACTGAAAAGGATTGTGTGTCTCTACTTATTAGCTTGAGAAACCTTGCCAGAGGTCCTTGGACGCTTTCTACCTATTTGCCCAAATTAGATATATCCCTGGCAAGGTGAATGAGTGCCTTAGATCAGTCCCAATTCCCTTCTGTAGGCCTGAAGCTAGAGAGACTTAGCAGGAAGATGGAACTTACCCAAAAGTAGAGCTCTGCCAGCATGGGAAAAAGGAAAAGTGCCTGCAACAGGAAAAACAACAAAGAGAGAGAGGTGGAGAGGAACACGCCAAAGAAAGAGAGAGAGCCCACACTATCCTAAGCTCCTGAATGCACTGTGACATCCAGGTGTCCTGGGGAAGACATAAACACATCATACAGCACCCACAGGAACTTCAAGAGACTGGAGTTAATAAAGAGATTAAAGAGATTAACAGGGGCTCAATTCTTTTTCTTTCTTTCTTTCTTTTTTTTAGGGGGGAGGGTGGGGGGTTGGGGGTCTGAGTCTCACTCTGTCGCCCAGGCTGGAGTGCAGTGGCACGATCTTGGCTCACTGCAACCTCCACCTCCCTGGTTCAAGTAATTCCCCTGCCTCAGCCTCCCGAGTAGCTGGGATTACAGGCGCATGCCACCAGGCCTGGCCAATTTTTTTGTATTTTTTTTTGGTAGAGACGGAGTTTCACCATGTTGGCCAGACTAGTCTCGAACTCCTGACCTCAGGCAATCAGCCCACCTCAGCCTTCCAAAGTACTGGGATTACAGGCGTGAGCCACTGCACCCAGCCCTCAATTCTTATATTCGAGTGCATGAACTTTTATGTTAGAGTCAGTAATAATCTGGCCTGATGAAGTACCTTTCCAAATAATTGGTATAAAATCTGTCCCAAGAGTATAGTCCATTCTCTTTACAATATTTGCTCATTGAACAATTGGAGAAATTGTTTCTATGTTTGATCTCAATCATAGCAAAGTAAGCAAGGATGGATCTCTATGGACAACCTGCTTTTATGCAAAGCAGCCTTCTTATGAAGAAATGGGGGCTGGGTGTGGTGGCTCATACCTGCAATCCCAGCACATTGGGAGGCCAAGGCAGGAGGATCACTTGAGTCCAGAAGTTTGAGACCAGCCTGGGCAACATAGGGAGACCTCGTCTCTAGAAAACATTTAAAAATTAGATGGGCATGGTGGCATGCACTTGTGGTCTCAGCTACTCAGGAGGCTGAGGGGGAGGAATGCTTGAGCCCAGGAGGTTGAGGCTGCAGTGAGCTGTGATCATGCCACTGCATTCCAGACTGGGAAACAGAGTGAGACTTTATTTCAAATAAATAAATAAATAAAAAAGAAATGGAATATTATTTGTCTGAAGTGATTGGAATTTAATTAAATTATTTTGTAGGTCACTTTTGAAGTTTTTTTTTCCATAAGGTCTTTAAAAACTTGAGGCAATTAAAGCAGGCAACCTTAAAGGCTGCCAAGAAGCCTCTTTAAAACAGGTTGAGCTGGTTTTTCTCTAGCTTTTTAAACTAAGCATGTTAAACCGTTAAAGCTAACCACAAAGATTGTTGCTAATTTATTACATGTTTTCAAGATGAAAAGAAATGTGGTCTCAGCCAGTTATCTGGGGATAATCCAAGTTTGCATCTAGCCTTGCTATGTATTTTTTTTCTTTGTACCTGTCTTTTGGTTACCATGACAACTGAGAGGTCATAGGGGAGAAAAGATGTTTTGACTGCTGGATTGAGGGCAGGAGGAAGATTTGGGAGGGTTTAGAAACATGAAGTGGCTGACTAGATTCAGGTCAGGGAACAATGAGAGCCAGGGGCTATGTGGATGTCTTTATGCTGAGCATTTCATGCTAGCTGTAGAGAAGACAGGCCTGATGCTAAGAAATAGATCACAATGCAGAGTACACGAGTAAGGCTGGAGAACCCAAAGGCCAGTGGGGCAGAAAAGTTTTGTGTAAACACAGTGTCCCCCACTCTCACCCACTACAGATTCTGTGCCGCTGTCCACAGAGTATGAGTGCTGGATCCAACCAGTCCATCAGCCAGGCATGGACTGGTGACCAACCCATATGTTCACCAGCCCCACTCCCTATTGTCAGGGTGTCTTGAGTAGAAGAACACAACCACTTCAACAGGTGGCCTTAATAGGTCCTGTCTGAAGGGCAGAAGCTAGCCGACTCCCCAGCTCATGGAGCAGCCAAGGGGTATTGGGATACACAGTCTCCTATGGTGACCCTGGGGATAGATACTGACAATTGGCAAGCCAAAACTAACTTAGAAAAGGGCTGTTGTTGCCCAAGTTGGAACTGGCCAAATTTGAAACATGCTAGTAGTGACTGGGCCTTACACAGGATGCCCTTCTAAGCAGTCTGTTGTGTCCAATTCTGCTCTGGGAACAGCCACATTCTGCCTTAGGATCCAGCTGCCAGCCATAAGCGGAATTTTAGAACTGATTCTGGTTTCTACCCAACACAGATGCAGAACTACTCCCTCATATTTTTTTTTACTTTTTGAATTTTAAAAAATATTTTCGTATTTTAAAAATATGTTTTTATGTGTTACTTTTTATCTGTTGTAATACTGACTTGAAGTAGGGATAGGGCAACGTACTTGTCCCCCCACATAAGAATTGGAAAATTTTACTGCTTAAAATGGATGATGACTCATTTGACCCTCAGGAACTGTTTCCTAATGAATCACTGACTTGAATTATGTCATTTATTTATTCTGTCTCTCCTTTTGTGTTAGTTCCCTGGCCTCATGTTGGTGAAAAGGGAGTTTGGTGATGTGTAACCTTTAAAAAGTGCATTTATTACACATTTCCCAGCACCATGTAATTTGAGCATTGTGATTCTGGCTTTTTATTATGTCTCTTTTGTGCTTAATTTCAGTTTTTTTTTATTCCTGAATGTTCTGCAATCTCTCTTTACTAAATGCTTGAATTACAAGTATACGCAAAAAAAGCTGGCTTTTATGACTTGCTAAGACAAGGATGTTGTGTTCCGGATTTATAATTATAGCACTGGGGGAAAATATTTTATTTCAAAAAGACTAAATTAGTTCTACTTCAAAAGAGTTTCAGTTAATTAAATGTAGGATGGTGAAAAGCCTAAAGGGTAGTCCTTGGATCCTATAGTACTTTTATTTAACTATTAATTAGATATATTTTCTTGTGCTCATGGCCTTACCTATTAATACTTAGTTTTTAAATAGTCAAACAAAAATGGATGTGCATGTTGGGCTGCCTTTATCGTGTTTCATTGTTTCCTTTAGCTACATTATAGGCTATTTAAAGTAATTTCATATTTGCTGACACAGTATTGATCATTCACATTTATGGCACAGTTCATACACAAATATTTTGCATCTTGGAGTAGCAACCTGGTCATCTGTTCTCCTGCCCCCTCCCCTGCAAACTATCTCCTTTCTCTCATAACAGCTCTACTGGTTACATATTTCACATGCTGTCTTTGATAAAAATTCATTCATTTACTTCCTAAACATCTGATATGTCCAAGGCACAATTGAATTTATTGAAAGAAATGTAAAAAATAACATTACATGATATTATGTTTTCTAATTTAAAAAATGTTTAATAGATAGGGTCTTGCTCTGTTGCCCAGGCTGGAGTGCAGTGGTTCTATCCTAGCTCACTGCAGTCTTGGACTCCTGAGCTCAAGTGATCCTCCCACTTTAGCCTCCCAAAGTGCTGGATTACAGGTGTAAGCCACTGTGCCCAGCCTTAAAGAAACTATTTTTTACAATGTATGGTAGGTGGGAAGTAGTCAGGGAGGAGGTAGGATTCATTTGAGATGAACCTAGATGGGCAGGATATTGCCAGAAAATTGAGACGGAAGGGATTCTGTATACAGAGATGTGATGTAGGTAGTTTATCCTTGTTTCTCCCACCTTATCCTCTCTTCATTCAAAGCTTATTCCTACCACATCTCCTTATTCTCTACCTGAATGAATATAAGTTTCATAAGGGTAGGGGTCTTTAATCTATGTTGTTCACTGATGCATACTCAGGACCAGTAATGCCTGGCACATGGTTGATGCTTAAGTATTTTGAGTTGTTGAATTAATAAACATGTGAATGAAATGATAATTACCTGTAAGGTTTGGGGTCTCTAGCCTTCTAAAATGTCAGTTAGCTCATTATTTCCCCTCAAACCTTAGCCAATACAATTTATTATCAAATTTAAAATTGTTTTAATTTTAATTCATATTTTAAAAATTGTAGATGATGTTGCACACCATACTATATGTCTTTCAGCCATGCTTTTAGTTTTTTATTGTTACTAACTTTCTGTTCATGTCTTTCCCCATTTTTATGTTAGTAATTTGTCTCACTGATTTGTAAGTCCTCTTTAAATATTAAGGAAATCAACTTTTGTCTGTCTTATATATAGCAAATATTATTTCCAGTTTGTTATTTATACTTTGACTTCGTTTATTTTATTACTTACTGTGTGTTATTTTTAATTTTTATGAAGTCGTCTATATAAATATTTTATTTTACTTTTTGAGTTTCTCCTTGATTATTTAAGAATGATTATGCTGGGTGTGGTGGCTCACGCCTATAATCCTAGCACTTTGGGAGGCCAAGGTGGGTGGATCATGAGGTCAGGAGTTCAAGACCAGCTTGGCCAAGATGGTGAAACCCTGTCTCTACTAAAAATACAAAAACTAGCTGGGCTTGGTGGTGGGCACCTGTAATCCCAGCTACTCGGGAGGCTGAGGCAGAGAATTGTTTGAACCTGGGAGGCGAAAGTTACAGTGAGCCAAGACCGCAGTCACTGCACTCCAGCCTGGGCAACAGAGCGAGACTCTGTCTCAAAAAAAAAAAAAAGAAAAGAAAAAGAAAGAAAAGTAAAAGAAAAATTTTCCCATGCTGTCTCCTAGCTTTAATTAGTTTGCTTTCTTACTTATATATGTCTTAGATCTATTATTTAGGACAGAGAATATTTATTAAATGATCCATCTTTTGTCACTAATTTAAAATGTCATTTTGTCAGCTACTCAACTTTGGATCCATACTGGTCTTTCTTTTCCATTCATGTGTCTGAAACAACATGCTTAGAATACTGTAGCTTTCTTATGTACTGTTTTTGTGGGGTAGTGTATGTATAGTTCTATGCAATGTAATCTCATGTATAGATTTGTGTAACCACCACTACAGTCAAGATACAGGACTGTTTCCTCACCACAGAGAAACTTCCTAGTGCTACCCCTCTGAATTCACACCTTCACCCCGTCCTGTTCCTGACAAGTACTAATTTGTTCTCCATATCTATAGTTTTGTCACTGAGAATGTTATTAAGTGAAGTCATACAATGAATAGTCTTTTGAAATTGGCTTTCTTTGATAAGCATAATGCCCTTGATGTCCATTTAGGCTGTTGTGTGTATTGCAAGTTTTTACCTTTTTATTTCTGAGTGGTGGTTCACAGAATGGATGTGCTGGAGTTTATCCATTCACCAGCTGATGGACATTTGGGTTATTTTCAGGTTTTTGCTATTACAAACAAAGCTTCTATGAACATTCCTTGAGGAATGTTGTTTTTCCTAAGTACAAAGTATTGGATTAAATATAATCCTTCATTTATGGTACACAGTCATCATTGGATCCATGCAGAGCCATCTTACTCATTTATTTTCATTTATCTGTACTAATAAATGAACACCTATGAACCCGCCACCTAAGCCAAGAACAAATAACTCACATCTTTCTTTGTTCTCCGTCCCTATCCCATCACTTTGCCTTTCCTTCAGACACCTACCCTCTTGAATTGTGTTCTTATCATTCTCTTTGGGGATGGGGTGTTTTTATCACATTCATTGTTAGCTTTACAAAAATACTTTAATAATCTGTATTACCTTCTGGGATTTGCTTTGCTGCTAAAGTTTTGTTGCTTGTGACTTAATTTTCTTCCTGTGTAATATTCCATTGTGTGCACATAGTAAGAAAATTTAGATTGTTTTTAGTTTTTGCAATATGATTGGTGCTGTTCTGAACATTCTTTAAGTGTTTCCAGGTACATATATGCTAAGCTTTCTTTGGGTTATATATCTAGGAGTGGAATTGCTAGATCAGAGAGGATGCAAATATTCAATTTCATGAGATAATATCACACAATTTAACAAAGTAGCTGTTCCAATTTATACTCCCTCAGCAATGTGTCAGAGCGTCCTTTGATTCATATTTTCTTTAATGCTTTGCTTTTGTCAGACATCTTACCTTTTACCATTTGAAAAGATAAAAAATGGCATATCATTGAGACCTCAATTTGCATTTTTCCAATTTCCAGTGAGGTTTATTGTATTTTCATATGTTTATTAGCCTCATGTGTTTCTTCTGTGATATGTTTGATTATGTCTGTTGTACCTTTCACTATTGTACTATTTCCTTATTAATTGGTAAGAGTTTTTATATATCCTCGATATTTGTAGGATCTTTCAGCTTGTTGCTTGTCTTTTCACTTTCTTTAACGTGCAATCTTGGTTCTTAACCTCAGAACATACACAATTTATTTAACCACTCTCCTACAGATGGACGTTTTTACTGCTTCCAATATTTTACCATTATAACAATGGGACCTTAGATATTCTTGTATCTATATTTTTGGGAACATGTGAGAGTATCTACAGGAAAAACCCCTAGAAATAGAGTTAATGCTGACAAGGGGTATGTGCATTTTAAGTTTTGACAGATACTGTCAAATTGCTCTCCCTAGGAGCTGTGCTTATATTCCTACCAACTGTGAGAGTGCCTCTTACCCTACATTCTCTCCAACATTGTAAAAAATGGTCATCTCGATTTGCATTTCTTTTATAGTCAGTGAAGATGAGTTAAAAGCCCTTTGACATAATATTTTTATACTGTTATGATACAAACTTATATGCAGGAAAAATGAATAATGTTGGAACAGGTGCATCAGTCTTTTATCTGCAGGGTGAATATACAACCTTTGTGTAGATTTTTGTTTATTACTTGTTCTTTATTTTGGGCCTATAAAATGTAAAGTTGGACGATGATGATTAGAGGATTTTCATAAGATCATTGGCTTTGGCGCAAATCCAAGCACATTATGCAGGTAGTTTTAAGAAGCCTTTGAACTCATGTTTTTTTCCTTCTTTCAAGCATATCATATTTATTATAATGTATCAGGTAGAATAATGGCCTTCCAAAGATGTCCATATCCTAATTCCTGGAGCCTGTGAATATGTTCCCTTACATGCCAAAAGGGACTTTGCAGATGTGATCAAGTTTAGGATCTTCAGATAAGGAGCATTATCCTAGATCATCCAAGTGGCACCAGTGTAATCACAAGGGTCATTAACAGCAGAAGAAGGAGGAAGAAGAGATCAGAGAATGAAATATAATGATGGGAGCAGGGCCAGAGTCATGTGCTATGAGAACCTATCATTGCTGGCTTTAGAGAGAGAAGAAGGGCCCATGAGCCAAGGAAATCAGGAAGCCTCTAGAACTCGGAAAAAGCAAGGAAATGGATTCTCCCCTGGATCCTTCAGAAGGACTTCATCCCTCCTGACACCTTGATTTTGACTCTATGAGACCCATTTTGAACTTCTGACCTCCAGGCATAAGATAATAAATTTGTATTGGGTTAAGTTATTGAGTTCATGGTAATTTGTTACAGCAGCAATGCACAACTAAAACATATAGAAAATAAACAATATAAGCAAAATAAAGAAAATAAAAACTTTATGTGGTCCTTTCACCCAGAGAAGTATTATCAGTATTTTGGTATGTATCTATGGTTTTGTGCTTTTTTTTTTTTGAGACAGAGTCTCGCTCTGTCACCCAGGCTGGAGTGCAGTGGCATGATCTCGGCTCACTGCAACCTTGGCCTCCCGAGTTCAAGCAATTCTTCAGCCTCAGCCTCCTGAATAGCTGGGACTACAGGCGCGTGCCACCATGCCTGGGTAATTTATATATTTTTCTAGTAGAGACGGGGTTTCACCATGTTGACCAGGCTGGACCGGAACTCCTGACCTTGTGATCCACCTGCCTTGGCCCCCCAAAGTGCTGGGATTACAGGTGTGAGCCACCACGCCTGGCTGGTTTTGTGTATTTTTAAATTACACAAATAATTTTATACTTTATGCTCTTTTTGTAACTTGCTTGTCTCAGTCAAAATTACATTTATGGGATATCTTTATGTTGATAATGTAGCTCTCATTCATTTATTTAAAATTATGTATAATATTTCATGATAAGAATTCACCATGTGCAGCTGCTGGGAACCTGAAGGTACTGGGTAGGTGCAGGCTGAGCAGACAGGGCTCTGGATGGGTTCCCAAGCAGTGAGGAGAGATGGATCAAAACTACAGACCAACGATTCAGGCCTGGGGAGAGAAGGAAAATAGTATCAAGACAGCATCATTAGGTGACATTATAGAAAATGGCACAGTAGGGTGCTCAAAGAATTGGTGCTTCCACTGAAACAAACATAAGCTATCAAAGACTGACAGAATCAACTTTTTGGGACCCTGAAATATCCAAAACTTACAGGAACCAGGGGAATGCTTAATAAGGAAAAGGGCAGTTGACTTTTGGTAAGAGAGCACTATGGCTTTTTTTTTTTTTTTTTTTTGAGACAGTGTCTTGCTCTGTCGCCCAGGCTGGAGTGCGGTGGCGCAATCTCGGCTGTCTGCAACCTGCGCTTCCCGGGTTCAAGTGATTCTTGTGCCTCAACCTCCTCAGTAGCTGGGACTATAGGCATGCGTGACCACGCCCAGCTAATTTTTTGTATTTTTAGTAGAGACAGGGTTTTGCCATTTTGGCTAGGCGGGTCTCGAACTCCTGACCACAGGTGATCTGCCTGTCTCGGCCTCCCAAAATGCTGGGATGACCATGCATTCCCAGGACCATGTGCTTGCACAGCCAGGCATGGTGGCGGGCACCTCTAATCCCAGCTACTTGGGAGGCTGAGGCAGTAGAATGGCTTGAACCCGGGAGGTGGAGGTTGCAGTGAGCTGAGATCACATCATTGCACTCCAGCCTGGGCGACAAGAGCAAGACTTTGTCTAAAAAAAAAAAAAAAAAAGAAGAAAAGAAAAGAAAAGGCCTTAGAGGATCATAGGCTTGGCACCTCTGGAAGATCTGTGGGCTCCATGCATACAGGAAGTAAAGGCAAAGGCAGACCTGTAGGTGGCCTGGTGTAGGGGTGAAAAAAATGTCCCCACTCACAACCAAGATGCAAAGACCAGAAGAGTAGTATTTTTTTCTCTTTTTGGCTCTGAGTACTTAAGGAAATCTTTGTTAGGTCACTTCACTAAGCACTGAGATAATGGAACAGAGGCTTTGGTAACTGCACATGACAAGGAATACACTCTTTCCAAAAACAGTTTGAAAGCATCATTAAATAAATGGATGGCTACAGTCCTCAACAATTAACAACAGCAAACTTGGGGAAGGGGGAATATCTGACTTCCAGAGTTACCACATTAATCACATTATATTATTTAAATGCTCAGTTTTGTGTGTGGGTTTTTTGTTTTGTTTTGTTTTGTTTTTTTGAGTCAGAGTCTTGCTTTGTCATCCCGGCTAGAGTGCAGTGGTGCCATCTCAGCTCACTGCAACCTCTGCCTCCCAGATTCAAGCAATTCTCATGCCTCAGCCTCCTGAGCAGCTGGGAGTACAGGCATGTGCCACCATACCCAGCTAATTTTTGTATTTTTTGTAGAAATGAGGTTTTGCCATGTTGACCAGGCTGGTCTTGAATTCCTGGTCTCAAGTAACCAACCTCCCTCGGCCTGCCAAAGTGCTGGGATTATAGGCATGAGCCACCACACCCAGCTGCAAACGCTCAGTTTTCAACAAAAAATTACAAGACATGCAAAGATAAATCAAAGAGTGGCCCATTTAAAGGAACGAAATAGTTAGACAGAAACTGTCCCTGAAGAAGCCCAGACATTGGACTTAGTAGACAAAGACTTGAAATCAACTGTCTTAAATATGCTCAAAGAGCTAAAGGAAACCATGGACAAAGAATGAAAGGAGGCCGGGCGCAGTGGCTCACGCCTGTAATCCCAGCACTTTGGGAGGCCGAGGTGGGCGGATCACGAAGTCAGGAGATCGAGACCATCCTGGCCAACATGGTGAAACCCCATCTCTACTAAAAAAACAAAAATTAGCTAGGCATGGTGGTACGCACCTGTAGTCCCAGCTACTCAGGAGGCTGAGGCAGGAGAATCGCACCACTGCACTCCAGGTTGGCTATAGAGCTAGACTCCGTCTCAAAAAAGAAGAAAAAAAAAAGAATGAAAGGAGGCCAGGAAAACAGTGTGTGAACAAAATAAGAATAGTAATTAAAAAAAAAGAGTCATATAAAGGAACCAAATGGAAATTTTAGAGCTGAAAAGTATAATAACTGAGGATAAAACTTATTAGAGGGGTTCAACAGCAGATTTGAGCAGGTAGAATACTCAGTGAATTTAAGAGGACAGTTAAAATTATCCTATTTGAGGCGCAGAAAAAATTAACCTCAAGGTATCCAGTCCTTTATTGATAGACACTCACACTGTTTCCAACTTTTCCCTAATAATAAGCTATGTTACATTGAACATCCTTGTGCACCTTGGGCATATATGCAAGAGTTGCCTTAGGACAATGGTTCTTAACCTTAGCAGCATATTAGAGATTAAAATTTAAACACCTGATTCACATTTCCAAGAGATTCTTGTTTAATTGGTCTGAAGTGGAATCTGAATTTTTTTTTTTTTGAAGCAGGATCTTGCTCTGTTGCCCAGACTAGAGTGCAGTGGTGAGATCATAGCTCACTGTAGCCTCCAACTCCTGGGCTCAAGCAAAATCCTCTTGCCTCAGCGTCCCATGTAGCTGGGATTAGAGGCAAGAGTCACTGCACATGGCTATCAGTATGTTTTTTAAAAATTTCTTTCAGGCAACTGAGAACCACTCAATTGGGTATATACGTAGATGTGGGATGATCAGGTCACAGGATAGGCACGTCTTCACTTTGGTAATACTGATAAATTGTCCTTCAAAATAGTTGTATCAATATACACTCCCAATGACAACATATCAGAGTTCCCATTTCCCCACATTCTCACCAACACTCTGTGTTTTTATTATTTGCCAATTTGGATGAGTGCCAAATTGTATGTCATTTTTGTTTTAATTTGTATTTTCCTGGTTTTTAATGATGTTGAGCATTTTTGTCATGTATTTATTGGTCTTTGGGGTTCCCTCTTCTGTGAATTGCTTTTTTAAAAACATCTCTTGTCCATTTCATAATTGTCATTTATCTTTTTCTCATTGATCTGAAGGAATTATTTATATATTCCGGATATAATCCTTATTGCTTTGTTGTTGGCAAATATCTTTTCCCAATTTATGACTTGTCTTTTCGCTTGGTATTTGTAACATACAGAAGATTTCAGTTTAATATAATCAGATTTAGCAGTCTTTTCCTTTCGGTTTGTGCACCGTGTTTTCTTTTAAAAAATACTCTCTTAATTCTAATATCATGAAGACATTTTTAATATTTTTGTGATAGAATATTATAATAATGACTCCAGTGAATCACAGCATCCTGTATGCACATTCTTATGTAGTTCCCGCCCACATTGACTCTGGACTTGGCTAAATGAACTCTGTGACCTGCTCTGGCCAAGCCAACTTTGATGTAAATTGATGTAAGCAGAGATTTGAAAAGTGCTTGTGCATTGAAACTTGCATCTTGCATCTCAGCCACCTTCAGGCTTGCCTGCTGGAGACAGTGGCCTAGTGAATGGCCAGCACCAGCTGCCAGACATGTGAATGAGGCTATCGTAGACCTCTCTGGTCAAGCTGATCCTCCCAATGACTGCAGCATGGTGAAAACACTATAAGCAGCACCCAGCTCAAATTTCTGACCACAGAATTGAGAGCAAATAAAATGGTTGTTTTAGCCACTAAGTTATGGGGTTGTTTGTTACGGAGCAATAGCTAAATAATACAATTTTCTTTTTTTTAGAAAAGAAACCCTTCTTCTTAAGTTTTGCTTCTCAGACTTGGATTTATAATTCATCTGCAATTTATTTTTGAGTATGGTAAGAGACAGGGGTCTTATTATATATATTATACATATATAAAAATTTCATATTTTTTCATAAGATTAGCCTATTTTTCTAGCACCATTTATTAAATAATCAATTTTTCCATTTGAAATGCTATTTTTTTTTTTTTGAGACAGGGTCTTACCCTGTCACCCAGGCTGGGAGTATAGCAGCACTATCTTGGCTCACTGCAACCACTGCTTCCCCAGTTCAAGTGATTCTCCTGCCTCAGCCTCCTGTTAGCTGAGATTACATCGTGTGCCACCACGCCTGACTAATTTTTGTTTTTTGTTTTAGCAGAGATGGGGTTTCACCACGTTGGCCAGGCTCGTCTCAAACTCCCGACCTCAAGTGATACGCTCGCCTTGGCCTCCCGTGGTGTTGGGATTATAGGCGTAAGCCACTGCACCCGGCCTGAAATACTACCTTTATTATACAGCTAGTTCTAACACATCTTGGTCTTTTTCTAGGTTCTTTGTTTTATTACTTATTTAGCTATCTCTGCACCAATACCACATTGCTTCACATATTACGGCTTTATACAGTTTTCATATCTAATAGGAAACTTACTAATATGCCTATCCAATATGTCGTCTTTTCTCCCATCTTGATTAACGGAATATCAATTTTATTTGGTGTAGCCGTGTCTTCAGCTCCAGGCAATGGATCATGATCAGACTAACCTAGGGGTCAGCAAACTATGGTCCATTGGCCAAACCCATTTTACTCCTGTTTTTGTGCAACCCATGAGCTAAGAATTGTTTCTACATTTTTAGAAAAATATGATGTGAAAATTATGTGAAGTTAATAGTTTAGTATCCACAATAAAGTTTTATTGTAACACAGCTACATTCATTTACATACTGTCTATAGCTGTTTTCACACTAAAATGAGAATTGAGTAGTTATGATAGAGACTGTATGACTCTCAAAGCCTAAAATATTTACTACCTGGCTATTTACAGAAAAAATTTGCCAGTCCCTGGTCTATGCCAACCTTATATGCAGTTGGATGACAATGCACATAGAAGATTCTTCCAGAGGACACATTCAAGGGCTGCCAGATTGGCTAACCAGAGAACTTAGCCCAGCAGGATTTAATATCTTGTTTGAACCGATGATTTACATATTTTCCATTCTTCCCTTTCTCAAATGGGAACTTTCACTGCGATTATCCTGTTCCTTCTCTGCTACAGTACATCGGGTGTGTTGGGAGCAGATAATTGTCTTCTAGCCTTAGGTTGCTGGACCACAGGATCCATATTCAGACCTAGCAAAAAGGATTGCACATCACTCAGAGATCTTTCACTTCAGGCTGGTTTATTTTTATGTAAAGCGTACATAGGAGAAAAAGAGTGTGTTTGGATGATTGATTGCCAAAGAAGTCAACTGGCAGATAGTGTTAGTTGCTACACAATACTGATTCCTTCTAACAGAACTCTGTGTTCTGGGCAGTACTGCCTGTCTGGATAATGAATTGTCTGAGTCAATCATGAAATCTGCCTCTCTCTTATCCACTACTTCCTTCGTTCCCTCCTTCCTTCCTTCCTTCCCTTCCTTCCTTCCTTCCTTCCTTCCTTCCTTCCTTCCTTCCTTCCTTCCTTCCTTCCTTCTTTCTTTTTTTTTTTTTTAAAGGGTCTTGCTCTGTCGTCCAGGCTGGAGTTCAGTGGTGCGATTTCAGCTCACTGCAACCTCCGCCTCCTGGGTTCAAGCGATTCTCCTGCCTCAGCCTCCTGAGTAGCTGGGACTACAGGCGCATGCCACCATGCCTGGCTAATTTTTTGTATTTTTATTAGAGACGGGGTTTCACTGTGTTAGCCAGGATGGTCTCAACCTCCTGACCTTGTGATCCACCCGCCTCGGCCTCTCAAAGTGCTGGGATTACAGGCGTGAGCCACCGCACCCAGTCCACTCTTTTTTTTCTGCTAGGGAAGACTTATAATCTCATTCTAGCCAATGAAAATATGTAAATCAATGGGGTTTGCTGTGTTCCAATAAAACTTTATTTACAAAAACAGGTGGCAGACCTGATTTGGCCCATGAGCCATAGTCTACCAATCTCTTCCATAGAACACATAAGAAGAAAGAGGGTAATGGGGGGCTGATAGTCTCTGACATGGTATCTAATATGAATTGCTTTAAACTTTATAAGCAGTTAAACACATTTTTGTTAAAATTAGCCAATTGTACAATTTGGTCACTCAGTAAATGGTCAATATGTAAGTCAATTTGTGATCTTGTGAGTGAACTCTCTAAAAATTATATAAGTGGTTGTTTTCTGTACATAGGAGAGCTATTGATTTTTGTATATTGCTCTTGTATTCACCAATCATGCTCCTATTGTCTCTGATAGATTGTCCATAAAGTCTGTTGGATTTTCTATATGAAATATTAAACTATTTGGAAACAATGTGTTTTGTGTCTTTTCAATTCCTTAAATCTTATCTTGTGTTTTCTTACCTTGTTGCATTGGCTAAGTCCTGCAGTATAATTTCAAATAGAAAGTCCTGTCTTTAAGCAATCTTTTTTAAAGTTATTATCTAAAAAGATAATTGATATATGCAGTGTACATGTATGTGAATATGCTTTATAAAGGGATTATCACAAAATAATTTATATAAATAAGCCTCCTGATTTATTATTATATAAATAATTTATATAATTTATATAAATTATAATATCACCTTAATCATATTTTATCTTCGTTTGACCCTCCCAGCATTTTCCTGTGATTATACAAGTATTGTTATTCCTATTTAACAAAATAGGAAAGTGATACCCAAAGAAATAACAAAATGGTACTTTTAATATTATAAATTATATTATATTATAGTCTCATAGTTGTGTGGGAGACTTTTTCTCTTCTCCCAGTCACATGCCTCAACTTACAAAATAGAAGCTCCCCCAGCTCTCTAACTTTCTTCCCCTCACAGGAGAAGGAGGGACTTAATTGATTGGAGAAATTATGAGAGCATGACTTCCATTGGTTGCATCACTATTAAGTGATGTAACATGTTAGAATTTAACATGTTATAATATGCCAGATGACTAGATCCATTATCTTTTCTCTCTGACCACTTAAAAAAAAACATAGTCAAAGTGATGTTTATTGATTTTTCAAGTTCAAAGTCTAAAAGAATCTACTGAATTAATAAGAATTGGAAAAGATCTCTAGATCCAAAACTAACACAAAATATTAATCAATTTCTAGATGGAGGACGAACATTAAGAAATACGCCTTTTTTTCTCTTTTTTTTTTTTTTTTTTTTTGAGATGGAGTATGCCTTTTTTTCTTTTTTCTTTTCTTTTTTTTTTTTTTGAGATGGAGTCCCGCTCTGTCGCCCAGTCTGGAGTGCAATGGCGCGATCTTGGCTCACTGCAACCTCCATCTCCCGGGGTCCAGCAATTCTCCTGCCTCAGCCTCCCGAGTAGCTGGGATTACAGGGGACCGCCACCACGCACAGCTAATTTTTGTATTTTTAGTAGAGACGGGGTTTCACTATGTTGGCCAGGCTGGTCTCAAGCTCCTGACCTTAAGTGATCCACCCACCTCAGCCTCCCAAAGTGCTGGGATTACAGGAGTGAGCCACTGCACCCAGCCAAGAAATATGCCTTTTAAAATGGCATCCAATATAATGTTTCTAGGAATAAATCTAAATAAAGATGTTGAAGGCACTATGGAGACGTAAGAAAAACCTAAATGAAAAAGTAAATTATATTCATGAAATGGAAGATTTAGCCATGTAATCAATTTTCTCTAAACAGATTTATAGATTCAATACAATTCCAATTAAAATCCTACCAGATGTTTGATGAAACTTGGTAATTTTATTCTAAAATAATCTATATAAAAATTCAAAGACTCAGTCGGATGCAGTGCTCACTCCTGTAATCCCAGCACTTCGGGAGGCCGAGGCAGGCGGATCACCTGAGGTCAGGAGTTTGAGACCAGCCTGGCCAACATGGTGAAATCCTGTCTCTACAAAAAATACTAAAATTAGCCAAGCGTGGTGGCGGACACCTGTAACCCCAGCTACTCAGGAGGCTGAGGCCGGAGAATCGCTTGAACCTGGGAGGCAGAGGTTGCAGTGAGCCGAGATTGTGCCACACTGCACTCCAGCCTGGGAGACAGAGAAAGACTCCATCTCAAAAAATAAAAACAAAACAAAACAAAAAATTCAGAGAGTCAAGAAAATCCAAGATGCTCTTGAGAAAGAACAAGGTAGAAGGACTTGGTTTCACAGATATCAAGGTTCATTATAAAGCTAGAGGAATAATGACAATATTGTAATAGTAAAAAAATAGGCATATAGACCCCTCAAACCTAATATGCAGCTCAGCAGCAGACTATTGTCTTAATAAACCAATAATACATGACAGAGATGATGTTGCAGATCAGTGGGAAAACAACAGATCTTTTCAGTAAATAGTGGCAGACTAGTTAGTATCCATCAGATAAACTGAAATTGAATTCCTGCCTCACAATATGCACATCACACATACCAATTAATTTCAAGTGTATTAAAGACCTAAATGCAAAAATTAAACCAGAAAGCTTTTAGAAAATAATAAACGTGGCTGGGCACATTGGCTCACGACTGTAATCCCAGCACTTTGGGAGGCCGAGTCAGGCAGATTGCTTGAGCCCAAGAGTTTAAGATCAGCCTGGGCAACATGGCGAAACCCTGTCTCTACAAAAAGTACAAAAATTAGCTGAGTATGGCAGAACACGGCTGGAGTCCCAGCTACTAAGGAGGCTGAGGTAGGAGGATTGCTTGAGCCTAGGAGGTCGAGGCTGCATCATGCCATTGCACTCCAGCCTGGGCAACAGAGCAAGACTTTGCCTCAAAAAAGGAAAAAAAGAAAATAATAAACACAATGTCTTCATGGTCTTGTGTAGACTCTATGGAAGATTTTTTTTTTTTTAACAAACAGGAAAAAGGCATAAATCTAAAGGATGAGGAATAACAACTCTTTTATATCAAGATTCTGTCTTCATTAAAGTCACCATAAAGAGTGAAAAAACAAGCTACAAAATAAGAGAAGATATTTACAACTCAACTATCTGATAAAGGAATAGTATCCAGGATCTATAAAGAACTCATTCAGGGCAGGTGCAGTGGGTCACACCTGTAATCCCAGCACTTTGGGAGGCTAAGGCAGGCAGATCACTTGAGAACAGGAGTTTGAAATCAGCCCGGGCAACATGGGTAAACCCCCGTCTCTACAAAAAAATACAAACGTTAGCCGGGTGTGGTGGTGGCACACGCCTGTAGCCTTAGCTACTTGGGAGACTGAGATGAAAGGATTACTTGAGCCCAAGAGTTTTAGGCTTCAGTGGGCCATGATCATGCCACTGCACTCCAGCCTGGGTCACAGAGTGAGACCCTGTCTAAAAAACAAAAAACAGAAAGCCAAAAGAACTTGTTCAAATTAATTAGAAAAAAATTTTCAAAAGACTTAAACAGGTGCTTCATATTTATTGGCCAATGTTAATGTCCAATAAATAGATTATAAGCACTTAACCTCAATAGTCATGAGGGAAATGCAAATTAAAACCACCACGAAATATATCCACATAGTTACCAGATTAACAAATATTTTATTTATTTATTTATTTTATTTTTGAGACAGAGTCTGGCTCTGTTGCCCAGGCTGGAATGTAGTAGCACAATCTGGGCTATCTGGAACCTCTGCCTCCTGGGTTCAAGATATTCTCCTGCTTCAGCCTCCTGAGTAGCTGGGATCAGATTAACAAGTATTTTAAAAGATTGTCTCCTAATCTTAAATACTGGCTAAAATGCTGAGCAACAGGAACTCTCATACACTACTGGGTAGAAGTATAAGAGAATCAATTTATTAAACTGTTTGGTAATAACTTCCAAAGGCAAACATAGGCAGACCCTATGACCAAGCAATTTCACTTCTAGGTGTATACCCAACAGAAATGCATATAAAAACATCATTATTGGAAATAGCTCAAAAGTGGAAACACGGCCGGGCGCGGTGGCTCACGCCTGTAATCCCAGCACTTTGGGAGGCCGAGGCGGGTGGATCATGAGGTCAGGAGATCGAGACCATCCTGGCTAACAAGGTGAAACCCCGTCTCTACTAAAAATACAAAAAATTAGCCGGGCGCGGTGGCGGGCGCCTGTAGTCCCAGCTACTTGGGAGGCTGAGGCAGGAGAATGGCGTGAACCCGGGAAGCGGAGCTTGCAGTGAGCCGAGATTGCGCCACTGCAGTCCGCAGTCCGGCCTGGGCGACAGAGCGAGACTCCGTCTCAAAAAAAAAAAAAAAAAAAAAAAAAAAAAAAAAAAAAAAAAAAAAAAAAGTGGAAACACCCCAGATGTCCATCAACAGAAGAACAGATAAATAAGTTTGTAGAGTATTTCTAAAACAAAATACTTAGCAATGAAAACTAATGAACCACAGCTGTACATGAAAATATGGTTAAATCTCTGATATGGTTAGGCTTTGTGTCCACCCAAATCTCATCTTGAATTATAATCCCCAGGTGTTGAGGGAGAGATCCGGTGGGAGGTAATTGGATCTTGGGGGCGGTTTTCCCCCATGCCTTTCTCGTGATAGTGAGTGAATTCTCACGAGAGCTGATGGTTTTATAAGGGGCTCTTCTGCTTTCCCTCTCTGACTTGCTCTCTCTCCTGCTGCCTTGTGAAGAAGGTGCTTGCTTCCCCTTCTGCCGTGGCTGTAAGTTTCCTGCGGCCTCCCCAGCCATGTGAAACTGTGAGTCAATGAAATCTCCTTTGTTTATATATTACCCAGTCTTGTGTAATATCTTTATAGCAGTGTAAGAACGGACTAATACAATCTCATAAACATATATAGTTGTTATAGGGTTTGTCAAGTTTTCCCTCCCAAGAGATCTATAGGTCATTTTAGTGGCCAGACTGTTCTCTAAATTCAAATTGGACCTAGTGTATAATTATTTAATTCTAGAGAGTCAGTACCAGCATGGGATGAAAGCCTCATGAGAAAGTAGATGTAGAAGCCACTGCAGGGGTCTAGGTGTGAGGGGTGCTCAATGGGGCCAGGGAAAATTTTAGACCCTGATGTAAAGTTCATGGCACAAATGTTGTGCCCTGTTGGAGGCAGTAAGTTCTGCTGCTGTGGGAATTTACCAAGGGTTGGATGGAGAAGCTACTCAGAAACCTGAGACTCCCATGGGATGTGATTGGCAAAGACGCTGAATAATATTCCTGGTTCACTCCTGTCTGCATGTCTCTGTTCTGTTCTGGTTCCTCAGTAGTCGCTATTGCTGCCACAAATGCTGTTGACAGTATTTGGCTCAGCAGTTCTTGAACCACACCTGTACTTTGTGCTTGGTCAAGTTGAGCTTTTTAGCCAGTTTTTCCCTCTCTTTGGAGCTTTGAGTACAGGTTATCCTCAAAGAGTTTCCCCAACTCTTTCAGATGTTCCCACTATAGATGGTGCATTCCTGATGCTGTCTCTGATAAGGGGAGGGGGCCATAAGCCCAAGCTGCTTCTTGCATCCTTTACTCTTGCACAGCTCCCTCTTGGGTGCCAGTTGTCTGAGTCCTTTGCTCTGGTCAACACAGCATGAAGCCAACTTTGGTCTTCCATATGTCTGCTTGGGTAATTATGCTCTGCAGAAATAATGCTCCCCATGTGCAGGTTTAAAGCCTAGTCTTTGAGGGTGATCCAATTCATGTTCTCTAATTCAATTTCCCAGAAATAGATACCGTTTTAACTCTTCCCTGACATATATGTCCATTTCCAAATTATTTCAGCATTTAAAAGAGCAAAAGAGGATGGGACACCCATCAAATCTCAACAATTTTTAAAGGCTGATCTGAGGCTTGAACCTCATTCTCTTGACTCAAAGGCCAGCATGTGTTCTATTGCACATGCAGAGTCCGTTAGTTTCTTCCGATACTAGAAACCATTTACAGAGCCCCTTCTATTTATTGCCAGCAATGGTGCTAATTGCTTTATATACATTATCTTATTTAGCCCTCACAACTCTATAAGATCCTATTATCCAAATTTTATATATGAAGCTTAGATAAGTGACTTGCTCAACTTCATAGAGCTGATGAGTGGAAGAGTTGGAATTTAAACTCAGATTGCTCTAATTACAAAGGTCCTGCTGCTAACCATTAAGTTATAATTTAATAATAATAATAATGCTTTAACAATAATGAAGTAATGTTATAATCTAATAACAAAAGTAATACTGTGGTTGCCCATCATAACACTGTTGCATGGGCCTGAGATGCTTTATGATAGCCTTAGCTTTTCACAGTCCTCCCTTGGTATACACAGGGGATTTTTAAGTGTACAATATAGTATTGTCATCTGTAGGCACAGTAGCAGTGCTTTACCATACCTGGAGAGCATATTGTTCTCTTTATTGAGCAAATTAAATACTCCCACCTGACTCAGAAATGCTAAATTGCTAACAACCTCCCTAAGGCCTTATCCTCTTCCCTTTTCTTAAGAAACTTCTCTCTGAGCTACTAAGAACTAGATTAAAATAGAAGCTTTTAGCCAAGTGTGATGGCTCACACCTGTAATCCCAGCACTTTGGGAGGCTGAGGTGGGAGGACTGCTTGAGCCCAAGACTTCGAGACCAGCCTGGGTAACATGGTGAAACCGCATCTCTACTAAAATACAAAAATTAGCTGGGCACAGTAGTGTGCACTTGTAGTCCCAGCTACTTGAGGGGCTGAGGTGGGAGGATCGCTTCAGTTGAGCCTGGGAGGTGGAGGTTGCAGTGAGCCAAGATTGTGCCACTGCACTCCAGCCTGGGTGACACAGCGAGACTCTATTCCCCTCACACCCATAAATAAAAAAAAAAAAAAAAAAAAAAGAGAAGAAAAAAAATACAGGCTTTTCTCCACTGCCCTGACAAAACCCAAAATATACAGGTCATTATAATCAGTCAATACAAAAGTACTTATTAAGCACTTTCTGGTGTCTCCTACTGTACTAGACACAAACATAACCATAATAGTCAGTGTGGATTATCACAGAGAAAGCAGGCTTCTATGCAACTGATTAGTCAAGCCCCAGGCATTTGTTGTGCTACCTTCAAGGCCTTATGAGAGCTCCTACCAATGTATAGACTTTTATGAGTTGACTGTGATAAGGAGGAAAGCATTGAAGGAAATGATTTTATGGGTAGGAAATTTGGCAAGGTAGGTTTTGTAAGTCGACTGTAGAGAGCTTAGGACATCTGTGAATCTCAGTGTTTCTCTTTCCAGCCCCCTGGAGATGAATACCCTACTTTGAGAAAACAGTAGCTGGGTTCAGTTAAATAGCAACAGCTTTTGGTAATCAAAATAGCATGGAGAGATGGAGAAAGAAGCTTCCTCCTGCAACTTCACAAAGCTATTAAGAGTTAACTACACTGAGTAATCTCAGAGTCTAAGGCTATGTTGGTTCTCACACCAACAATGTCTGTAAAAGTTAAGTAATGTTTTCTAAATACATCTCTCTCCTACCCTGTCCCATCCTGAGGTACAGCGCAATGAGTAAGGGAAGGGAGGGAACAGGCCTGTGTGTTTTGATAAAAAGTGACACTTCACAACTTTAAGGCCCACTGGCCTAAGATAATGAGTATGGAGTACCCAGACTTTTCATGCATTGTTTTCTCCCACTGTACCAGAGAAGTTCAAGGAATGAGTCACTTTTTGGTCTACAGAGTTAGAGCAAGTATATAAGCTTGGATCCTGTGATTGTAAATCCAGTTTGTTTTTTTCCCCACTGTTCCATAGCTGCTTTATGGAACATTGTCCCCAGGGCCCTAAAAAGGAGTAGCTGGGAAACATGCATTGCTTTCTATTCTGAAATTCTGAATACTACTGAATTCTATTATGTGTAGGGCCCTATAATAGAGCTTCAAGATAAATATATGTGCACATGTTTACACATATGTATGTCTATATTAAGGTCCTTGGTTTTATTAGTAGTTTTAATCTACTTAGGAAGATAGGACATATTCATAAAAGAATTTAAAAAATAAAGTTCTGTGTGCTTAGCCCCAAATAAGTGATTTAGACCACAGAAGCATGGCAAGTAATGTGTTGCTAATATTGAAGATGCAAGTTTTGCAAATAATTTCCCTTTAGAACAAATAAGGATAATAAAGACATTCTCATTCACTTGCATGTCAGTATGCCTTCTTAAATTGGGGATAAAGAGGTAGAATTATGACACCAACTAGACAGAAATTACAAATTGTGCATAACAATAAATAATTTTACATATAAAATTAATCTATTAGATTTTTTTTTTCCTGTCGGGATGGGGAAAAGCCTGAAAATAGTTAATTTATACATAGAACTTTGGAATTTCCTAGGACAGACAATTATTGCAAGCTAATAATTTTAAAAATTGTATAACATGAGACAGAAGAGTACAGCTGCATCTTGATTGGAGTGAGGGATTTATGTGGACTGTAGGAGATTATGGGGAGTAAGAGGAAGGCTTCACTCCAGGCCCAAGAAATGCAACGGAAACTAACATTGGAAAAATGGTGGTTGTATGGCAGGAAGTTTTTACATTATCTCATTTAATAATTACATATATTATCTCATTTAATACTTACAAGAATCTGGGACAATTGGGATTGCTCTCTCAATTGTAAACACAAAGAAACTGATCTCAGGAGAGAAAAAGTAAATTGTCCAAGGTAAGCCATCTAGGAAATGAGATAGATTAAATAAAGCCACAAATTCTTTTCAGCTCTTCTCATCAAGACCAATATTTTAAAAAGCTGGTCTAGCTTTTGGGAGGATGACAGTCCACATAGAAGTCACCCCAGTCAAGCAAGATATGTGAGGTCATGGGCAACCTTCCAGCCCAGCCAGCCCTCCTGCTGAATGCAGCAGTGTGAGCAAGCTCAGGTGATACCAACAGAGAAGCTGCCCAGCCAGTCCATGTAATCATGAGAAACAAGAAATTGCTGCTGTTCTAAGAGTCTGTGTTATAGAGTGGTTTGTTATATAGTAATCGATAATTGAAAGAGCCAGACTTTGACTTTAGGGCCTCCTTGTTCCAAAGCTGATGTTCTTTCCATAACACATACCACCATTTTGTCATCTATAACATAGAAGTCTTTGATAAAATAATCTATAAGTCTCCTCTGAATTCTTCATAAAATCATATTCCAGACACACAGAATTGGAAAAGTCCAAGGTCTATTCGGATAACAGGAAGAAGGCAGTCTAAACAAGACAGAAGGTTGCTGTAGAAGTAATAGAAGAGTCTTTTTATTTTCTTTTTTCTTTTTTTTGAGACAGGATCTTGATATATTGCCCAGGCTGGAGTGCAGTGGCATGACTGTGGCTCTCTGCAACTACTATCTCCTGGACTCAAGGGATCCTCTTGCCTCTGCCTCCTGAGTAGCTGGGATTACAGGCATGTGCCACCACACCCAGCTAATTTTGTATTTTTAGTAGAGATGCGGTTTCTCCATGTTGGTCAGGCTGGTCTCAAACTTCCGAACTCAGGTGATCCTCCTGCCTTGGCCTCCCAAAGTGCTGGGATTACAGGTGTGAACCACCACGCCCGGCCTAATTTTTGTATTTTTTAATAGAGATGGGGTTTCACCATGTTGCCCAGGCTGGCCTTGAACTCCTGAGCTCAAGTGATCCACCCACCTCAGCCTTCCCTAGTGCTGGGAATACAGGCGTGAGCCACAGCACCCAGCCAAAAGAAGAGTCTTATATAGCGTAGTGATTCAGAGCAAGAGCTGGGTTTGAATCCTGGCTCCACCACTCAGTTGCTTTGTGACTTTGAACAAGTCATGTAACCTCCCTGTGCTTTGATATTCCCATCTGTTAAAGGGTAGTAGAAATAGAACCTTTCTCACAACCTTGTTGTAAATGAGGTAACATATGGAAAAACTTAGGACAGGGACGCCAAGTGGACTGAGACCAGAGGCAGAGTGTAACCTGCCATTGAGGTGAGGGAAATGTCACAAAGGCAGTGTTTGATGCTGGTGATGAAGTTTGCCTATGGCAGTAGCACAGCCCTTCCAATCATGTAAGAGTCTGGGAAACTTTCGTGGATGGACTACTGAATATTTTTTTTGGCATCTCCAAGCAGAGAAGGCTTTTATTATAGTGATAGATGGTATAATGAGTGCTTTTAGGATAACAAATCCTCAACAGCTACATAATGTCTTCACCTATAAAGTATTTCACATCCTTTTGTCATTTGATGGCTACTGTGCAAATAATTAGGAACCACAGAGTCAGTGTTCTAGTCATTCATTCAACAAATATTTATGCAACATTTCCTGGAGGAAATAACGGTAAAGGGAATAGGAATGACCTCTGTTCTTATAGAAATTATAGTAGAATGAAGAAAAGAGACACAGTAAGCAGGCAATGATTGTCTAGAGTGCTAAATATTTTACTGGGGGAGGTGTGGAGTACTATGAGTTGCATATAGAAAGTATTCCTCATACATATTTTATATTTTACCATCTGAAATGATATGGTTTGGCTCTGTGTCCCACCCATATCTCATGTCAAATTGTAATCCCCAATGTTGGAGGTGGGGCCTGGTGGGAGGTAACTAAATCATGGGAGTGGTTTCTAATGGTTTAGCACCATCCCCCTAGTGCTGTCTCATGATAGAGTTCTCACAAGATCTGGTTGTTTTAGCACCTCCCCACCACCTCTCCTGCTGGCCATGTGAAGATGGGCCTGTTTCCCCTTTGCCGTCATTGTAAGTTTCCTGAGGCCTCCCCAGAAACAAAAGCCCATACAGCCTGCAGAAGCATGAGCTGATTAAACCTCTTTTCTTTATAAATTACCCAGTCTCAGGTAGTTATCTTTAGCAGTGTGAGAATGAACTAATACGTATGGGGTACTATGAGTTGCTTATAGAAAGTATTCTTGGTATACATTTTATATATTACCTTCTGAAATAAAGTGATCTAAATGGATATCTGGAAGGTAAGTAGGAGTTAGCTAGGATGATGCCTGCAATTTTGCTACAAGTTAAGACTAGCTTAAATAGTGAACTCCTGCTAAAGAGCATCCTACTGCATCAGTAGGATGGGATCTCTGGTATTGGAATTTCATTCCTGATAGCAGAGGATAAGAAAACTGCTAGCTGACTGGGATCCAGAGGTGACTAAATAGGAGTATAGTGAAGCTGACCTTGATAAATCCTCTTAAAAAGTGACCCAGAAAGACAAAAGAACCAGAAGAAGGTGAGATTAAGAGGTGAACTACATCTCTTAGGTTATAAACATGCAGAAAAACAAAGGATGGTATAATAGAAAAAACACAAGTCAGATGACCTACAATCTGATCTTGTCTTAACCATGAACTCCCTTTTAGTGTATGATGTTAGATAATAAATTTTCCCTCTCTGGGACTCTGGCTTGTCCATTTATAAGATATGTGAGTTGGACTGCTTAAAAGGAGACAAGAAGGGGATGCTACAGTACAAGAAGTGAAAGTGGTCAGACATGTAGTTCACAAACATTGCTCTCAAGCCGCAACCTGGCCAAAGCACAGAGGAATTTAGGACCTGACTTTGAGCAGGTGAAGTCATTTGCTATCAATCCTAGGAAGGGAATAAATTTTTCTAGACACAGGGCTCACTTCTCTGGTTATTTATTGCAGGTCTGCAGAGGAAAGCACACTGTGAGTTTACTTAGTTGCTTGTCCCTCTCCTGCACTTGGCACCCTTCTGTTCCCTTCCTTCTATTATAAGGAACTCAGGGTATATGAAAGAATGGTCCTAGAGGAGCACAGCCCAAACCAAAGCTAATTGATTGCTAATGGGAGGTCTCAGTGGGGGAATGATCTTTAGAAAATTGTAGTGGAAATCCTAGTACCTAGCCTTTCTTAGAACAGTACCTCCCTTCTTTTTGAACACTGATCCCCCACTTCAACTATATAGTTCCAGTAGGAGCTGGAAATCACAGAATCTCTCACCCTTGGCACAGGGATGAACATGTCTCTTCCAGCCAGGGCCAAAGAGAAATTTTGCAAATTAGAGGTAAGGGGAAGGGCTCAGTCCCCCTCAGATAGCAAAAGTGTGAGATGGAGCCAGGAGGTATCGGTAGCCACATCCCTTGCAGTGTGGAGGAAGCCAGTCTGTAGTTGGTAGGCTGACAGATGGGGTGTGGTGGGGTGGGAGGTGGGGTGGGGATCGGGGGGAGGACAAGCATGCAATCTACCTTGTGGCATTATTGTGCCTATTTCCAGTTGTCCTGGAGGTCCAGCTATAACTTTACCCTTACTTATATGAAACAATAAATGTGTCTTTTGACATTTTGAGATTTCTACCCTTAGCAACCAAAAAAGTATTGCTTGACCCAAAAATCATTAGTTTTCTGCCGGAGGTGACTACTTAACTATGTTCAGATGTAAGGTCACTCCTGGTCCTGGACCCCTTGTAGTCCAAGTTTCCTGGAATGGCCTATACTTCCCATGTGTTCAATATTTTAATAAGTTTACCAAGTAATACTTCTAAACTACTCCGCATAATGACCCTCTGAGGTGGACAGGGTAGGGTTATCCCTATTTTACATCAAAAATACTGGGGTGAAGTGACTTGCCAACATCGTGTAGTAAGTTAGAGGTAGAGCAAGGACTCAAACCCTGGACATGACTAGTACTCTATTATGACAAGCTCTCTGTCCACTTAGGCAAGAGCGTTGGAATGGCTGAGAATATGTTGCTTATTCATTCAACAAATACCATTGAGCCTGTGCTCGGGCCAAGCGTTCTGGGGCCCAGAGTACAGTGTCAAATGAGACACAGCCTCTGACTCACAAAAGCTGATAATCTAGACTGTGTATACACTAGTAAAAAGGCAATTAGAATAAAGTGTGGTAAATACCATGGTAGATGGAGTCCTTCTGGAACAGATAGGAGGGGCACTAAACCTGTTCTGATAAGAATTAGGAAAGGATTCTCAGCAAGGTCACTGCCAGTCCAGTACCTTTTTGTGAATCAGAGAAAAAAAGAGTGCTCTTTCCTTAAAACACCAACTGCCGGGACATTTTTATAAAAGCATATAAACCTGTAATATATTTTCTGTGATCAGCACACCCTTGGTATGTGCAGCAGGCAACCAGTTCAACTGTGTGTGGCACCCTGCTTCCCAGAGGAAATAACATTGAAGCTGAGATCCAAAGGGTGAGTGTGTGTTAGCAGACAGCCTACCTGTCGGCTCCAGGCCTGTCTGAGAATTGGGTCTGCTGCCAAACATGCCATTATTTATTTAGGCAGCACAGCCCTCCTGTGGCTGCTCCTATGTCCTCACTGACACCACAATCCCTTTTTTCTTTGCTTCAGTCTGGTCTCCCATGGATCCCAGAGGACTCTCTCCCTGCAGGTTATTCAATCTCCCTAGACCTGTTTGTCTACCAGGGACTAGATTAAGAGTTTGTGTTTCTGGACCGTAGCCCTCAGTGGTGCTTAATTCAAAAAGAAACCCCAAGAGAAAACCCGATCCTCTCTGGGAGGGCCCAGCCTAGAGGATAAAGTATCTAAAGGCCTAGGGATTGTACAGCCTTTTCCTGATTGGCTGCTAATTATGTTCTTCTCTTGACTGCAGTTTTTCATTTCGTTTTGGTTTATCTGTGGCATTTTCTGAGCTCAACGAGAGAAATAAATAAGAAGGGAGCATGCAACCCTGTTGTTGTTAGAATCCTAAAATAGTAGGACTGGGGGAAAAAAAAACAGTATGCTCTCCCTTCCCAGCATTCTTATCTAGGTGAAAACAAACTGCGAATGCAGATTTAAAGGGGAGTAGAAACGGCTTTTATAAGAGAAAACTGGAGGAGCGTTCAGGAAAGGACAGAGACAGTTCCATCTCTTTGCTTTAGTGACATTAGGGGTTCATGTGTTGACGGAATGTATATGAAGCTCAGATCTTTTAGAATCAGCTGACAGGTGGAACTATTTTCCTTCCCAACCATCTGCACACTCTGTAAAGATAGAACAGCGTCACGTTTCAATGCACTGGATGTCTTGATCATGAAATTACCTCTACTTTAGAGATGTTACTGGCTCCCATTCCCAGATTCCCCCGCCTGTTGTAATGCTTGCTATGATTAGGTTAGGTTATTAGGTTGTATTATATTATTGCTCCTGAGTTCACAGGAAATTCTTTTTTATCCTTCCCCCGCCAACCCCCCCCCGCCCCGCCGCCCATTTCATACTAGGCTCTTCCAAGATTATTTTAAGGAAGGTTGTTCGATTCCTAGACTGTTCAAATGGAAGAATTTTAGGTGTCTGGCTTAGCTCTGCAGATTACAGCCAAGGAGCACAGGCCCAGAGGGGCATTGAGTGACAAAGGTCAGCTGAGGAGTTAGCAGCAGAGCTTAAGTGTCCTCTCCAATGTTCTTTCTACCACTGACACTATCTCTTTTTTGGCAGGTGATTAGCCTGGGATGAATTCTGGCACGGTTCTGAAAAGCGTGCTGTCTTTCTTCTTCTAGCTACAAATTCCTCTTTTCCAGTTCCTTCCTCTTCTGTCTTTTCTCCTTATATTTTGAATCTCATCCAGCAGCCACAACAGGTGTTGGGCCTGCCTCTCAAAAAATCCTACAGCTTGGCTGGCAGGGTCCTAGGGGTGGAGCATGTCCTTGCACCACCCAGTTGGCTGCCAGATCAATTTCAAGGTCTCTCTGGTAGCCTCCAGGGCCAGTTCTACTAAGAAGCTCCTCCCTCCTTGGAGCATCCAGTGATTGGCATGTAAACTCTTCAAAAGTCTGCTCTGAGCGCCTCGTGTGAGGAATATTTTATTGCAAACTTAAGCTCCCTGAGAATTGTTCTCTCGTACTAAGCTTGACACAGTGTTAATCTATAATGGAGGCTGTTGTTGACAATCATGGTAAGAAAAACTCACTTGTTTACCTGAAACCTTCCCAGACTAGTCCTTTTTCGCTTCGATTGTTCCACTGGTGAGGGTGGGGCTGCTGCTGTGCCAAGTGCAATACTTTTTGTACACTCAACAAAAAATTGTAATAAATGTACATTTGGGGCTCCGTTTGAGCTTAAATTATGTCCACTTTTGGAATTCACACAGGTGTGGGTATTCGTGATATGGCAGCCACCAGGAGTGAGCTGTTCAGGTCTCCCACAGGGAGCCTGCTGGGAGAAGAGCAGTTAGTGGCCGGCCTCAGGCAGCAGCACCTTTGGGCTCTCCTGCAGTGTTTACACCCCGGTTATGCTCACCCTGGCCTTCTCCCTGCCACTGACCAAGCTCTGCAGACGTATGAAAGTCAAGCCATTCCTGCCCAACATGGGACTCCTGTAATGGGCAGTCTCTGCTCTGGGGCTCCTCATCAGCCTGGCTGAGACTTTCTCAGAGCTGCATTGAAACCTGACGCTCCTCCTGCCTGGTCCTTCTTCCTTCCCTCTTTTTTTCGCTGGTGTCAGATCTGCATCACCATCTGAGGCTCCCGCATCTACTCCTGCTCCCTCACAGGCATTCCCCGCCCCAGTACATTTCTGGCACTTCTCACTCCATTTTGGCATCTGCTTCCTGGAGGAACCAATTGGGCATATTCGACCTAGTAGGCCCAACTCACCCAAAGTCCATTTTTTGTGAGGGCTTTGGGTCTCTCCTGGGAGAGAACTCATCTTAAGGAAAGTAAGGAGATAGGCAACATGGATCCAGTAATAGAATCTTCAAAATCAAGGAGGAATGAGCCAACATTTAACATTAGGTTTGTCATACAGATTTGTTTCTTGACCTTGCTGCAGCTCAGGCTTAGGAATTTGTAGAGGGAAACTGGGGTTAGGAAGGAATCAGCAAAATATAGAAGAGCTGCTTTACTGAAAGCAAAGGACATAAATATTACCCATTAGAAACCCATGTGACAAAGTATAGCACGATGGGGAGAGAGAGTTTCCTCACCTCCATGCATTCCATGTAACAGATGCTATGTACTGGGAACTCCAGAAGTGTCCAAGTCACCTGGCATCTCATCAATTCAGCATGTGAGAATCACTCTCCAGGCCTCTCAGAAATTAAGAGGTGCATTTCTCAGGGAACTAGGGTCCTTGGTTAATAGGCAGAGGCAATAGGTCGCAAAACTGTATATAAATTTGAATCACAGACTATTATAGCTGAAAGGAACTATAGTTCCTTTCCCTATAGATTCTGTATAGATTTCATCCATCCATATAGACTGGATGATCTATAGTAATCATCCAATCTGCTGATTTTCAAACTACATTCCATAGAGATTCTCAAAGTCCTGGGGGGAGAGTGCTACAGATGAAATAATGGTAGTTCAACAAAGGGAGAAATTAATTTAATTTGATGCAAGAAGGTATTTGATAAAAGCAAAGTGACGAGCTGATGAATTGATCAATTTAGGTCAAACAGCTAATAAATGAAGGTGCTGAGATAAGAATCCTGATTTCCCAGCTTCTTATGTGACTTTATAGGGGACTTTGGCTATTACTTTTGCAATGTGATGTCTGTGAGCAAATTACCCAGAATGGAAAGAATTTTGGGATCCTAGTGTATGTTTTGTCTGTGTTCTACTCTTGGGAGAGAGGCATATTGCATCTGCCTTATGGATGCAGCTGGGTGACTCTAAACAAGTGTGCTTTTCCTGGAGTCTGGTTTTCATTATCTTTATATCCTCAGGCTCACAAGTCAGCTGGGACAGGGATGCTGACAGAAAGGACTAGTGGAAATAATATATTTGCTTCTAATTTAGAATAAAAACAACCACACCCCACAGATCAAAACCCATGGAAACTTCCATCACCCTGGGGCAGTGTTTAGAGTGGCATTTCTGAAAGAGTTCTGAGAGACGCTTAATATGCTCCTGCAAAAGGGTCCCACATCAAATACTTTTGTGCAATGTTTCATATTATATCCCTGTCTTGGAGACTCCTGTTGCACATAAAAGTCTCTGAAGAGCTCTGCAAAAGATGTCTCTTTAATCTTAATCCAGTGTTTTATAAACTTGCTTGTTGATGGAAACTTTTATACATGGAATATCTATTATCATCATATAGAACACAGGCTTTGGAAATGCTGGGTAAAGACCACTGGCTAGGAACAAAGGAGGTCTGGTTGTGGTCTTGGCTCTGGTACTAAGTTGTGTTCCCCCCCTCCACCAAGAAGGAGTCTTGCTCTATTGCCCAGGCTGGAGTGCAGTAGGGTGAACTCAGCTCACTGCAACCTCTGCCTCCCGGATTCAAGCGATTCTCCTGTCTTAGCCTCCTGAGTAGCTGGGATCACAGGCACATGCCACTGAACCTGGCTAATTTTTTAATTTTTAATAGAGACGGTGTTTCACCAGGTTGGCCAGGCTGGTCTCGAACTCCTGACCTCATGATCTACCCACCTTGGCCTCCCAAAGTGCTGGGATTACAGGTATGAGCCCCCGTGCCCGGCCCTGATTTGCATTTTTAAACTCTTCTTTGGACTCCAGTTTCCTCATCTGCAAAAGGAGAGGGTTATAATCAGTGATCTAGAGAGAAAAAGGACTACAATTTATTGCAGACCCACTCTGTGCCAGGCTGTGGATGTGCCACCATGGCCTATGCTTACAAGGGCCCCCACACTTGGTTTAATACTCTGCTGTCACCATCTTTAAATTATCGGTAATTTTTGAACAAGGTGCCAGCATTTTCATTTTGTGCTGGGACTTGCATTTTTGCACTTGTTCCATGTGACATTATCTCTACTCTTCATATTAGTCTAGAGAGAATGTGCATATATTTGTGATATACAGATATGGAAGCTGAGAATTAGGTTAAATAAATTGCTCAAGGTCATATACAGAATGAATAGCAGAGCCAACATTCCAAGCTAGTCCACCTGGTTCTAAAGCTTTGCTCTTCCCTCTAGACCAGCTGCCAGTGCAAACATTCTATGATTCTAAGATTCTTTTGTTCTCTAAACTACAACTAGATCTGTCTCAATGTTTAAGGAACAGAATAACTGTTAATTCTATTTACTGTCTGAGTGCATATCTGGCTAAACAGATTAGTAAATGATGGATTAGATGTCAGTCAATGAATGGCTAGACAACAGGGAATGAATGGCTATAGAAGTTAGACATGGAGTCCAACAAACTTGGTTTGCCATTTACTAACCATGTGACCTTGGGCAACCCACTTGACTTCTCTAAGTCTCAGTCTACCTCATAGGTATATTGTGAGGATTAAATGAAAGAATGCACTGCCTAACACGTGGCAACCCCTCAATAGAGTATTACTATTCTTTTATTAACCGGGCCAGGCTAGGTTTGCTATTGCGATGTCAGAGCTCCCAATATTGTAACCCATTTAATTTGCTCTATAGCAAGTAGAAGAACATTATATTTATTTATTTATTTCTGAATCAAATCAAACTTTTATCTGTCTAATTCAAATCCAATTAAATTTAGCTTCACCCCCACCTGCCAGGTTTGTGGAACATCTAATTTCAGAGACTTTGTGGGGATGCAAAAACCCCAGGGCTTACCCAATCCGGAAAACCTGGGGGACCATCTCAGTCCATTGCAGTTGTGGTGAAGGTGCTCATTGTCCAAGCAGGTGTGGAGCAGCCAGAGGTATCTGGCCCACTTGCGTAAGATATTTACTGCTTCCATTGTAAACCTGGCCACCCAGAACTCCTGTATGGTCCCAAAGCTATGGTTTGGTAACTATCCCCCAGGTGTCTTTGTAGTCATCACTGCCAGAGATACTATGAGGGCAATGGGGGAGAGTTCACGGGCTGACTTCCACCACCCCTCCATCCTCCTGGTCTTGTAGAATCCAGCTCTTGTCCCTTTAATCCTCAGAGTTTTCCCTCTCACAGACAATCTAACTCTGACCCTTGAGAAATTTATAGAGACCTCCCAATATTTTCCTCCTGAGGTAAGGGAAGTCCCCCAACCTACAAAGGACTGTCCTTCCAAATAGGGTACAGAAGAAAATTTCCTTTAAGTCTTTAAATAAATCCATGGTAGAAATAATTCATTAATTCACTCAATTATACAATGTTCTCAAACTTTTTCATCTTCTGAGAAGGCTCTCATATCCCCTTTCTCCCTTGGCTACTATATTTTGCATCTAAGTCTGTGTGTCTTATCTTTATTACAAATTGGTGGGTGGGGGGATGGGGGGTAGAGAAAGTGGCAGAACTAGACAATATGTTGCTGATTCTCTCCATTCCTAGGTGAGGATGGTCACAACCAATTATTTGGATTTCACATTTCACATCTTCAGAGTCCCTTGAAACAATGAGAACAGTGGGTATTAAAAACAGGCTCTGGAAGCCTTGATTTATGGGAATAGGCTCATATGTAATGGCACGGGGGCTTGGTGCTGGGGTATTGGAACAGGCCAGGACACTGGTGTCTCCAGAATAGGTAAAAGAGAAGGAAGCATGGCCAACAATGTTCCCCCACTGTGTAGACAATTACACTGGATGTCTGCCAGATGAAGGGCAAAATTCTGTGCTCTAAAAAGTAGCAGCAGAGCTGTAAACCTGTAGTGTTGGGCCCTCTAGTGGCTAGTTCTTCTTTTTCAATGAATATAGCTGGCTGTTTCCTACACTGCTGGTCTCTCACTGCCTTGCCATCTTTTTGGTTTGCTGGAACCACTAACTGCCTCATCTACATTCTATCATCCCATTGCTCAATTATCACTGGTACTGACTTTGGAATGGACTCCATGTTAGGGCACAGTTCTTGAGGAAGGGATGGATTCTCTTGGAAACAGACTGAAATGGAGAATCGCATGCAGAAGGTTGTTGGGGGAAGTACTCTTGGGAAATAGGAAGTGAGAAAGCAGGGGTGGGCGGAGGAAGAAGCTAATTCACAATGTGGTTGCCACTGAAGCCTCAGCTGATCCTATGGGGAATTCTGGAGCCAAGATGGCCTCTCAGAGTTGCCCCAAATCAGTGATGGAATCAGACCTTTGGATCCCTGTATCAGCTCCTCATTGGTTGTGAGCCGCTCCAAGAAGGAGCTGTAACCTTGGTGAGACAGCTCCCTGTGTCCCAGGGCAACAGGCAGTGAGGAATTCAGTTGTTCATCAAATATTAATTTTTCTTTCCTGTTCATGAATTTCTGACTTTCTTGTTCCCAGGAGCTCATTCTCCATCACAGTTCAACCACTTCCACAGATGGTTCTCTCATTTCATCCAGGGAAATAATGTTCTTGGTTTCTTAGCAGCACCTGAAAGAAGATTCTTTTTCCATACAAGTTTGGCTGAAAGCCTTGCTTTGTCTATTTCTTCTATGCCTAAACCGAAATCTTGGATATTATTCTAATGAGAGGAGAGACCAGACTCACCTGTGCTAGAAAAAAAAAAAAAAAAAAAAAGAGCACAAGTCACACTCCCAGGATAGGCTAAGTTATACTCTCAAAAGGCTCCCGTCTTCACCCCCTCCCTCCAAAACATGATCTAATCAGAATAACAGCACTTCTTCCTTCCCAGCAGGTTTATAAATGTTTTTATCTTGACTAATCCTGCGGGGGAGAATTAGGAGGGTGGGGTGAAGACAGACTGTGGGGGAGCGTGAGGAGGGTGGGGTAAAGATTTCTGGGGCTGTCTACCAGAAATCATTCTCTCCTTATTCCATAGTGATAGATGTTTGGCTGGGACTTGACTACTCAGACAGGCACCTCATGTGCCAGCTCCCCTTGCAGCCAGTTTGTGGCCACGTTTTTTAAGCCGTCGTCAATGGAGCTGAGCAGAAGAGATGTACGCAGCTTTTGCCTTGCTTTCTTGAGAGTAAGTCCCTGGCCCTGGAATTCTATTCTGTTTCTTTCCTCACCAACCAGAAAATGCTTTGACAATGAGCGACCTTGGAAGCTACATGTTGAAGATGGCAGTTGCCATCCTCAGTCTCTGAATGTTTGAGTAGAGCGAAGCCATCCACCTACTTTGAACACTGAGCTTGGATCATACTATATTGGACCTTCATTTTTTATTTTAATTAATTAATTAATTTATTTTTTGAGAGCTGGAGTGCAGTGGTGTTATCACAGCTCACTGCAGCCACTTGACTTTCCAGGCTCAGGTTGATCCACCCACCTCAGCCTCCTGAGTAGCTGGGAGTACAGTCACACACCACCATGCCTGGCTTTTTTAAAAATTATTTTTAGTAGAGATGGGATTTTACCATGTTGCCCATGCTGGTCTTGAATTCCTGGGCTGGGATCCTCCTGTGATCCTCCTGCCTTGGCCTCCCAAAGTGCTGGGATTACAAGTGTGAGCCACCACACCCAGCCTACATTGGACTTTTTTTTTTTTTTTTTTTTTTTTTTTTTTTTTTTTGAGACAGAGTTTCGCTACTGTTGCCCAGACTGGAGTACAATGGTGCAATCTCGGCTCAATGCAACCTCCGCCTCCCTGGTTCAAGCAATTCTCCTGCCTCAGCCTCCTGAGTAGCTGGGATTACAGGTGCCCACCACCATGCCTGGCTAATTTTTGTATTTTTAGTAGAGATGAGGTTTCGCCATGTTGGCCAGGCTGATCTCGAACTCCTGACCTCAGGTGACCCACCCGCCTCAGCCCCCCAAAGTGCTAGGATTACAGGAGTGAGCCACTGCACCTGGCCCTTCATTGGGCTTTCTAACCAAATCCTACCAGTTGTTCATATTCCACCACAAATTCTACTTCTTCCCAGAAATATGCATGAACTTCCCTCTCCCCCTCCCCACCCCCCCCCTTTTTTTTTTTTTTGAGACAGAGTCTTGCTCTGTCACCCAGGCTGGAGTACAGTGGCACCATCTCAGCTCACTGCAACCTCCACCTTCTGGGTTCAAGCGATTCTCCTGCCTCAGCCTCCTGAGTTGCTGGGATTACAGGTGCACGCCACCACACCCAGCTAATTTTTTTTTTTTTTTTTTTTTAGTAGAGAGGAGATTTCACCATGTTGTGCTGGCTGGTCTTGAAATCCTGACCTCAAGTGATCCACCTGTCTTGGCCTCCCAAAGTGCTGGGATTACAGGCGTGAGCCACTGTGCCCGATGTCCTCTCCTCTTCTTGACCACCACATTAGTATCTGTCCCCCACACTTTCTGATGCTTAATGATACTGTTTCCTACTTAGTTCTATTTGGTATTGTCTTATTTTTGTTCATTATTTGGTGTGTGCTTCTTGTCTCTTAAACTAGAAGGAGCTCCCAAGATGTGACACTCTGCTTCTACTTTCGTTTCCCCAACAGCACAGCTATCATGGATGCTGTTGGAGCCCCAGAGGCCCCCTTCACCAGGCTGCCATAATCAGCCTAGAGCTGTCCCCATCCCCAGAGATTTTGCCTGAGTCAAATATGAGCACACCCTGGGAGAGTAAGTACCTCTGTAGCAACTAGCAGCCGATGACTGATATAGGATAGTAAAAAAGGTCACAAAAGGTGGGGCCAATTCTGTGATTGAAAAAAGAGCTTCAGAACCTTCCCAAGGAACGAGGCTATTGCTAGTCTCCAACCAAGAGCACTCCTTTGCTTACCTTTCTTCCACTGCTCTATTCTGCAGTAGCTCACAGCTGTTCCCTTCCCCACAGCTGATGGGAACCTCCTCAAAACCCTCTTGTCCCTCTTCCCTGCCAGGGTGGCCCACAACCAATGACTGGCTGCTTTGGGGATACAAAAGGCCAGCTGCCTTGCCTCAAGGGAGTGTAATTCTGCTGTGGGACTTATGCCACCATATATGACAGTTCCCCGTGGATCAGGCCAAGGCTAGATGTGACCGAGACACACTTTGTATGATGCTTTCCCTTTCCTGTCTACTCCACTCTCTCCCTTGCAGGTTTTTCCTGAAAAATACTTCCCATCAATAAATGTCTGTCAGATGGCCAGGTGTGGTGGCTCACGTCCGTAATCTCAGCACTTTGGAAGGCTGAGGCGGGAGGACTGCTTGAGCTCAGGAGTTTGAGACCAGCCTGGGCAACATAGCGAGACCTCATCTCTACTAAAATAAAATATTAGCTGGATATGATGGAACACGCCTGTAGTCCTAGCTACTTGGGGAGCTGATGCGGGAGGATCGCTTGAGCCTGGGAAATCGAGGCTGCAGTGAACCCTGATTAGGCCACTGCACTCCAGCCTGAGCCACAGAGCGAGACCCTGTCTCAAAAAAAAAAAATTCTGCCTCAAGGTCTGTTTCTAGGAAACCCAACTTCAGGCCACTGGTGTCAGTACTCTGCCATCCTTTTCCCAAATCACTTTCTCATTCATCTCTGGAGACTGTTCAGATCCATGCTCTGGGCTGTGCGTACCATGGGACCTAAATTGGGCTGAAAGTACATGAAGGTGCTAGGTCAAAAACAACTGGGCTCTGTGGAAGTACTTGTAAGGAATACCTACTTACTACATAGGGTTGTTATGAGGGTTTTAAAAGCTAAATGAATTCAAGTGTGTAAAACGCTGAGACCAATGCCTGGCATGGAGTAAATGCTCTTAAGTATTAGTGCAGGGATTTCTGGGATGTTTTTGTTTACTTATGTATTCCAAGTGTGCCTAGGTGAATGCGTGGCACATAGTAGGCACTCAACAATACCTGTTGAATCCATGATTGGTTTTGCTTTGAGGGCTTAAGGCGATGTGCCGAGATTTGGCCAGCAGAGGGCAGAACCTGGGAAGACAAAGCTCCTACAGGCTTTGACCTACAAGAGGTGGCAGGACAGGCTCCCAGACGACTGGGTTGGAGGGAGGGCTGCGTGAAGTGCCTATACCATAGGATATGGATAGAGATAGAGATAGAGATATAGAGATACAGAGATACAGAGATACAGAGATACAGATATATAGATATATAGATATATAGATATAGATATATAGATATAGATATCTTTTGAGACGGAGTTTCACTCTTGTTGCCCAGGCTGGAGAGCAATGGTGCGATCTTGGCTCACTGGAACCTCTGCCTCCCGTGTTCAAGAGATTCTCTTGCCTCAGCCTCCCAAGTAGCTGGGATTACAGGCGTGCACCACCAAACCTGGCTAATTTTGTGGGTTTTTTTAGAAGAGATGGGGTTTCACCATGTTGGTCAGGCTGGCTCGAACTCCTGACCTCAAGTAATCCACACTCCTCAGCCTCCCAAAGTGTTGGGATTACAGGCGTGAGCCACTGCGCCTGGCCACCATAGGATATTAGAATGTTTAAATTTTACTCCCTTCAAATCCTAGATTTTTATTTAGTCCAACCTGGGTGTGTGTAAGGAAACATACCAAGTTCTTAGTTTGTGAATTCAGACAGATCCGTTGTTCCAGGCCCCGAGATCCCTGGAGTTGCCCTGGTGTCTGCAGCTCCTTCTTTAAACTTTGAGCTACCCCATACACCTCAGAAATTCCCTTTTGTACTTATGCTAATATACATCAGGTGCCTGTAACTCACAACCAAAATAATTTGTATTATTTTATGATTATGCCCATGGAGTGTGAGGACTGTGTGAAGGGGAGCCTTCTCCACTGGGGACACTGAAGTCATGGAGTAGCCCCAGGAGGCCTGCTTCCTGCTGTCTCCCCAGCCTACCTGCCCTCTCCAGGAGGGAGCTCCCCAACATCTGCCTCCAAGCTTCCCTGATCTTGATCCCTTCATTCACTCTGCCCATTTAGCTCTGTCCTAGCTTTCAAAGCCCAGTTCAAGTTCTACCTCTCTCAAGTTCTACCATGGGACCTAAACTGGGCTGAAGGTACATGAAGGTGCTACAGCAGAAACACCTCTGTGGAAATACTTGTAAGGAATACCTACTTACTACATAGGGTTGTTATGAGGGTTTTAAAAGCTAAATGAATTCAAGTGTCTGACTCCTCCTAGTCAATTTCATTTCTCAAAATCCTTATGGCATTCATCACCTAACCATTCATTCTTACACCCAATTGCGTTCCATATTTTATTTGGAAGTTTGGGCTGGGTGGTGTCTAAAGTCCTATCCACGTAAATTTCTGAATCTGTTGTCTTCCCATATGTCACATCTCCTTAAGGAAGTCTCCACCTTCTCCCTCAAGAAGAGATGAGGAAGGGCTTGAGCAACAGGGCTCAGCACAGGTTTGCAGAGCATCAACATAACTGCATATGGCAGCAAATGTGTTCCATGATCCTCCATTCAAGAACCCAAAGGCTTTTATTTTTATTTTTTCAAAATAGAAGTACCTTTTTTCCTTTTATTATACAAGTAACATACTTACGGTCAAGTCAGTCAAATATTACATAAATTTATCATGCGGAAAGGGAAAATCACCTATAACCCAATTCCTCAGAGATAACTGCTGTCAGAATATTATTTCAGAGTTCTGCTATACACAAATACGCATGTTTCAATGGGTACTTCCAGGGACCGCATGGAGATCCCTTAAGTTGAAACTGGACAAACAGAACAGTGGATGGTTCTAGCTGAGATCTGGGATAGTTTCTGAATTCAGAAGTGTTCACCAGCCACATTGCATGTATTAGCTGGAACCATATATGAAACTACGATACTCAGCTGTTTCTAACCTACAAACACAGTGATTACATATGGCTCAACTTAATGTATATGAAGCCTAGAATGTCAGAACTGATAGAGCCTTAGAGACTTTCAAGTCTATTTCATTATGTTGAAGAGGAAAACGGATGAGGGAGAGAAGTGTCCAGCCTAAGATCATACATCACCTTAAGTGGTAGAATCAGGGCTGCTTCTCTTCCTACTGGACCATGTACCTGTCTCTCATACTCTGCTTCTTTTAATATAATAATAATTTAGGTGCGATATCAGTCTTTTTTGTTTTTGTTTTTGTTTTTTTTTGAGACAGAGCCTTGCTCTGTCACCCAGGCTGGAGTGCAGTGGCGTGATCTTGGCTTACTGCAACCTCCACCTCCCGGGTTCAAACAATTCTCCTGCCTCAGCCTCCCAAGTAGCTGGGAATACGGGCACCCGCCACCAGGTCTGGCTAATTTTTGTATTTTTTTAGTAGATGGGGTTTCACCATGTTGGCCAGGCTGGTCTCGAACTCCTGACCTCAGGTGATCCGCCCACCTTGGCAGTATCAGTCTTTTAGAAGCAGATTCAACATGACATCAGAAAACTTCTCTCAGATAGTCGTGGTGGCTTACACTTGTAATCCCAGCACTTTGGGAGACCAAAATGGGCAGATAACTTGAGGACAGGAGTTCGAGACCAGCCTGGGCAACATGTGAAACCCTGTCTCTACTTAAATATATATATATATATATATATATAAATTAACTGGGTGTGGTGACAGGAACCTGTAATCCCAGCTACTCAGGTGGCTGAGGCAGGATAATTGCTTGAACCCGGGAGGTGGGGGTTGCAGTGAGCCAAGATTGGGTTGCTGCACCACAGCCTGGGTGACATAGGGAGACTGTCTCAAAAAAAAAAAAAGAAAAGAAAAGAAAAGAAGTTTCTCACATCACTCAGTCAAAACTGAAAAGACTGCTTGCTTTGGAGGTAGTTTAGTCCTGTTGCCTGGCAATGTGGCTGGGAAGTGCCCTGTGACTTGGTTCAAGAAGCATATGAACCATAGAGCTAACGAGGCCTAACATTCAGGGTCCTGACTCACATGAGCTCCTTCTTAAGGTCCTAGCAGGGGCCCTAGCAACATATTAATGTGGCAGTATATTTTCATAATGTTTGCAAAAGTAAGATATTTTAGAATTCTTTTTCTTAAAGAGAGTCCCCAGAATTGTATGACCTTCAGGCCTGGATCCACTCCTGTGTAGCACAGAGTTTTGAAAAGCACTAGGCAAGGAGACCAGAGTTCCTGGGTTCCAATCATGGCACTATGCAGGCCCAAATGGGCAGCACAGCACTTGCCCTGCTTTCTTCACGGGAGCGGGGGCAGGGTGGTGGTGGTAAATCATATCTGTGATATGGGATAGTCATCACTGCTTCTCATGGCTGAAGATAACACATAAAAAATGTGTCCCCAGAGCATCTTCCTGTCTCATTTCCCTCTGCTACAACTTCTTCTCCGTTCTCCAATCCCCAGGCCCCTAATACTCCAGCCACTGAACCAGTTATTGGTCATTATCTGTTGCTACTTTTATATGTTTGTTCATGGGCTCCCACTGTTTATAAAGTCTATCTTTTCCTGGGAAAAAATCCTTATGCACAAGGCTTCGGTCTACCAGCCCCTCTTCTCCCACCCCAGTGACGACCTCCCTTAACCGTGTTTCTTGTTGATCTTACAGATAGGGACACTGAGACCTGATGCAGTCCACAGCAGAGTTCTGGAGGCCCCAGACGCAATCCCCAGGTGTCTTGGTCTTCCACCGTCCCAGCCCTCTCGTGTTAGATCATAGACACACGGTTCTTGATATACACATGATAGGGGTCACTACGCTTGTCCACTTTGCGGGAGCGGGTGTATCCCAGGATGAGGCTGCCCACAGTTACAGCAAATAGAAACATGACAAAGAGAATGTACATGTAGGAGTTGTCATCACGGCCAGGTAGGCTGGCCCGCCTCTCTTCAGTCTGGTTGTCTGGCCCCAGCCCTGGCCCTGGCCGGCAGAGCAAATTGCTGTGAAGAGTGGCATTTAGAGCCTTCAGCACGGCATGCAGGCTCTCATACCAGGTCTCCGTTCCATTGGTAGTCTCCATAGCAACAGGGATTGAGGTGGGGGAAGACTCGGTAGAAGCTCTGGTGGCAAAAGAAAAGAGAGAGGGGATGGCTCTGTCACCTGCAGCTCAAATGACCTCCTCCCTTCAGATCCCAGGTAAAATCTTAGCATCATGGCTGATATGGTTTGGCTGTGTCCCCACCCAAATCTCATCTGGAATCATAGCTCCCATAATCCCCATGTGTCATGGGAGGGACCCAGTAGGAGGTAACTGAATCATGGGGGTGGGTTTTTCCCATGCTGTTCTCATGATAGTGAATAAGTCTCACGAGATCTGATGGTTTAGAAAGGGCAGTTCCCCTGCACCTGCTCTCTTGCCTGCCACTGTTTAAGATGTGCCTTTGCTCCTCCTTTGCCTTCTGCCGTGATTGTGAGGCCTACCCAGCCGTGTGGAACTGTGAGTCCATTAAACTTCTTTTTCTTTATAAACTACCCAGGCTCAGGTATTTCTTCATGGCAGTATGAAAATGGACTAATACAATAGCTTATTCTAGCTGCTTGATTACATGTTTGTCTTCTCCATTAGACCATACACTAAACAATAAGGGCAGGGCCTATATTTGTTTTACTCACTGCTATATGCAATCACTTATGACAGCATTCAATAAGTAAGTACTCAATAAATAATTGTACAACAAAGCCTTCCCTGACCATCAGAACCCATATTAATCTCTCCTTTCTTTGGTTTCTATAAATCACTGAACTTTAGATTAGAAGGAACTTAAGGATTATTTAATATAACTCTTGCCATTTTATACACAGGGAAACTGAGGCCTTGAGAGAATAAGTGGCTTGTCCATGATCACAGAATATTGGAAGTAGAGCCAAGACAGAAAGCCCTGCTCTTTGTGGCTAGCTTAGAGCTGCTTCCACTTCCATGCTAGCTCTCAGCAGGACTGTGCAGCACCATTAGAAGACATTCATCACAACTCTCCTTGAGCACAGTTCTCTTTAGACTGCACAGACAGGTTGGGCACAGTGGCTCACGCCTGTAATCCCAGCACTTTGGGAGGCTGAGGCGGGTGGGATCACTTGAGATCAGGAGTTGGAGACCAGCCTGGCAAATGTGGTGAAACCCGTCTCTACTAAAAATACAAAAATTAGCTGGGCGTGGTGGTGAGCGCTTGGTAATCCCAGCTACTTGGGAGGCTGAGGCAGGAGAATCACTTGGACTCAGAAGGTGGAGGTTGCAGTGAGCCAAGATAGAGCCACTGCACTCCAGCCTGGGCCACAGAGCGTGACTTTGTCTCAAAAGAAAAAAAAAAAAAGACTCCACGGACACCTTTTGGAAGACACCTGGGGATGGTTTAAATTTCATCCTGCCTGGAGGCCAGAAGCTGGATCATTTGCCCTCTCAAGCATCCTGTGTCCCAAAGACTAGATATTCCTAGCTATTTGTAGAAATTCTGTTGGAAAGAGGTGGTCAGGGAAACGGGAACAGGTTGGTAACCACTGCAGGCACTGGAGAAGAGAACAGCAGCTTGGGCCTGAGGGCGGGAGAGTGAAAGGAGTTCTCAGTCTGGCTTGGGGTTTACCTGCCCACAAAAAGAAGACACAAGCACGCCAACTATCTTGTCTCCTGAAATAAAGTCATTATGTACCTGGCATATAGTAAGTGATTATAAATGTTCCTTTCCCTTCTTCTCAGAGATCCTTAGTCTATAATATAGAAAACATTTTTTTTTTTTTTTTTTTTGAGACGGAGTCTCACTCTGTCGCCCAGGCTGCAGTGCAGTGGCGCAATCTCGGCTCACTGCAAGTTCCGCCTCCTGGGTTCACGCCATTCTCCTGCCTCAGCCTCCCCAGTAGCTGGGACTACAGGCGCCCGCCATCACGCCAGGCTAATTTTTTTGTATTTTTAGTAGAGACAGGGTTTCACCATGTTAGCCAGGATGGTCTCGATCTCCTGACTTTGTGATTCGCCCACCTCGGCCTCCCAAAGTGCTGGGATTACAGGCGCCCAGCCAGAAAGAACATCTTAAAACAGACTTGCATCCTTGTCTCTGAAAAACCATATGTAATTCCCTATAAACAAGGCCCCACACTCACTTCCTTTAGGAAGCCTCCATTCAGTGCTCCCCACCTCTCAGCCACACTACACTGCCTTTATCATCACAGCCTTCCCTTCCCCCCAGCACTTACATATAAGGCAATATGTGGCTGTCCTCTTGTTTTTGATAAGGATATCATCAGACCACATGCGTCTGGTCAGCAGGGCTATGTCTCTTACCCCAGTCTGGAGGACTACCCTGAGACTGGGTGTTCTCCTTTCCCAGGGCACTACCTTGAGACTGGCTGGGTATTCCCTTTTTCTAGATTGGCTGGGTGCTCTCCTTCTCTCAATAGTTTCTAGTAGAGATGTTCACTTTAAGGAATTCTCTATGGGCCAAGCATTCAGTCCTCCATCATATGGGTAGAACTGTTAACAAACTAATATGTGACTATTAACCATAAGATCTCTTCCCTGGAAAAGATGATCATTCTGACTATGAAAAATATTCATCAATGGCTCTATGAACACAATCAGCCAGGACTGGGCAGCATTTCATGCAAGGCCTTTGGGGCCTTCTGACATCTAGTACTTGTGCTGCCTTGTCTGGATGGAGGAGGGGAAAAGAACAAGAGCTCACTGAGTTAAGATCCAGGAGATACACGTTCTCATCTACTACCCCATGTGTCAGGCAAGAACTCTGTGGCTGCTGCTTCCCTCGTGTGGGCCAATAGCAAGTAGGAGCAGCATGATGAAATAAATAACTCAAAAAATAATCTAGATAGTTATCACCAATATGGGCCACACCCTGTGATGGGAGTTCGGGGTGGCTCAGATCCAGTGCCTTCGCCCAGGGGCTCTGATACAATGCAGGGGACAAGCAAAGAGCTACTAAGGCTGAAAGGAATAAGTGATGGATACTGATCAGGGCTCAGAGAGTGTCCACAGTGATGGAGGCATTTGAGTTGGACCTTGAAGGGTTTTTAAGAGGCAGAAAAGATGAAGGAAACATGAGCAAAGGCAGAACAAGAAAGTGTGTAAATGTTTAGAAGAATGGAAAGTAGCATAAAGAGGTTGGAGTGTAAGATGTGTGGAAGAATAGTGTAGGATGTGGGGCAGGAGAGAGAGGATCCAGATCATGGGGGGCCTTGAGTGCCACGCTGTAGAGTTGGAACTTTATTCTGTAGCTAGGGAAAAGCCATGGAATGGTATCTTAAAAGAAGATAAAATGGTCAGATCTGTGCCTGGAAAGGATACTCTGGCTGTCATGTGGACTGGAGGGAGCTGGAATTGAGGCAGTGAGCCCAGCTACCAGAGTCTTGAAATAGTTTAGTGTAAGATGCTGAGTCATGAATTGGGGCAGAGAGGATAACAAAGTAGGGAAGTGGGGGTAGAGACAGTCGTAAGACCTGAGGAGGAAATGGCTAAGTGAGGGTTGAAGGAGGAAGGGGCCTCAGGCAATTTCATAGGTAGACAACAAACAAACAGTGTAAGTGTCTTGATGAGCCTACTCTGAAGGAAATAAGTTCCTTTCCCTGGGTGGGCTTTGGTTTCCTCATCTACCAAAAGACATTATCATGGAGTTGTTGTATGGTAGGTATAGAGTTTCAATTTTACAAGATGAGGAGATTCTGGGGATCTGCTGCACAACAAGGTGAATCTAGTTAACACTACTGAGTGTACACTCAAGAATGACTAAGATGGTATATTTTTATGTTTTGTGTGTGTGTGTGTGTGTGTGTGTGTGTGTGTTTTAAGCACAATTTTAAAAAATAGGCCAGCTGTGGTGCCTCACTCCTTTAATCCCGGTACTTTGGGAGGCTGAGGCCAGTGGGTCACCTGAGGTCAGGAGTTCGAGACCAGCCTGGCCAACGTGGAGAAACCCCGTCTCTACTAAAAATACAAAAATTAGCCGGGTACACGCCTGTATTCCCAGCTGCTCAGGAGGCTGAGGCAGGAGAACCGCTTGAACTCAGGAGGTGGAAGTTGCAGTGAGCCGAGATCACACCACTGCACTCCAGCCTGGGCAGGAAAGCAAGACCTCTGTCTCAAAAAACAAACAAACAAACAAACAAAAAACCCCACAAAGAAAGATGATCATCCTTTCCCTCCTCCTTCAAGGCTTGCTATGAGCATATACTTGTATTATGTAGAAGAGGATTAAAAACTTTTTTTTTATTTTCAAGAAGCAAATATGTACACATAGGTTTAAAAAAAAAAAAAAAGAATGGACGCAGCACATACAGTGAAGGTGAAAGCTCCTAGTCGTCCCAAGCTCCATCCCAGGGCAGGGCAGTTACCATTCAGTTTTCTTAGGTATCATTGGAAAGGGGTTTTAACTGACAGGGAGAGGGAGGGAAATCTCAATCTGGAAGACTCACCAGACTGCTGGCAAATCCACTGGCTCTCAGTCAGTTTCAGGAGTCCCTTTGTGGACACACTAAGGCTCCTCCACCCCCGAGCCTCTTCAGGATGTCTCTGGACACATCTGGGATCTCAGTATTGACTTCGGAGCTGGGAAAGCCCAGAGCTAGAAAGCAGGAGAGAAGGCAGAAAAGGAAGGAACCAGACACAAAGCACAAACTTCAGAACCAGGGTGGATTGCCCAAGGCCAGGCCCCAAGGATTATGCAACAGTCCTGCTGTGGGCTCTGACCCCCTCCCATGGCCCCTCCCCTTCCTGCAGCAGCTGGGTCAGGCCAGCCTAGGGTTGCAGTTAAAGGAACTGTGCAGTGACCAAAGGGCCTCTGATTGCTGTCCCCTACCTCCAGACTTACAGTGTCTTCACTGGGTGACTTCATGAGAAACCTGTTTAAAATGTGGACTCCCACTCAGGGACCAGCTGATGGTGCAGCCTAAAACATTCCCTTTCCTAAGGGTTACCTTAGCAAGGTCCTTTTCGAATCCCAAGGGAATTGACATGAGTGGGAGAATGCCAACTGGCAGCTGGGTTGATATTTTACATAGGAACAAATGATGTGTTACCACCCAATCTATTCAGATAGACAGGATATGAACACGGTCACAGAATGAACACTATCTGTAGCATAGCTTTGTTGTGAAAATTAAAGAACATCATGTAGTGCTTGGCACTAGACACTGCACATACGGTGGTTGTTTTTGTAGAGCAAGGCTGGAAGGGCCTTCAGAGCCCATCTAGGCTATATGCCCTCACTTTACGGTGAAGGAAATGGAAACCAGGGGAGTTGTCCCAGCTCAGCTGCTCCTTGTGTGACTTTGGACATAAGACTTCCCTTTTCTGGGCCTCAGCTTCTGTCCGCATCTGTAAAATGAAGGGGTCTCAGTTGGTTCTAACGTCCTGTGATGATACGAATCATGAAACCATGCTGTGAGACCATGGGAAGTTGGAGAGGCTGATGGGAGAGGCATTTTGGGGGCTTTCTAGAGCTTCTCAAATCCCAAGATAGAGAAGGCTGTGGACCTCTTCCTCACAGGTTAAGATGCTTCTGAGCCCTGGGACTGACTGACATCTAATATCCCAGTCGAGCCAAACTGAGAGATTTACTCATTTTTCCTCTTCACAGCTCACCTGCCAGGATGATCTAGCCTGAGGAGGGGATAGACTCTGCAGAAGGTGGGGGAAGGGGACAGTGTGGAGGGTAGGGTGGGCTTTGAGGCAGGGTTCCATGAGGGGAATAAAGATTCATGAGACCTTTCATGCCTCAGGGTCTCTCTGAATAGACTAGGATGTTTGTGCTTCTGACAGGAGGAGGAAAGGGGCCATAGTTCCACATCTCTAGGTGCTGGGTTTGTATGGGAGGGAAGGCTGGGGTGCCAGGGCCTCCTGTCTGCGTTAGGAGAGGCAGAAAGCTGATGAAGGCACAAGTTGGTTCTCTATGGGGCTCTGGGGCTGCCTCTGGGGCTCAAGCTGGGGACTGGCAGTCAGCAACAGGGGAGTTTTGCCACTGTTTCTGAGCTCCTTGGCTTCCCTGTCCAGGAGAGTCCCTGATTACTGAGATCCTTGGATGGGGGAGATGGAGCTCCTGCCCTGGAGAGGTCTTGCCTTGAAATAGAAGATAGGCCAGTGAGGAAGGAAGGTGAGCAGATGGCCAAGCTGAGAGGGACTTTAAGGATCATCTAGAATCTAGATTCCAGGCCAACCCCTCCATTTCGTAGATGAGGAAACTGAGGCTCAGAAGGGAGAAGTGACTAGTCCAAAATGACATGGCCCATAAATGGCAGCACTCAGACAAGAACCCAGGTGTTTGGGCTACTGTTCAGGTGCTCTTTCCACTACAAATGGCAGTGTTTCCTCACACCTAAGCTTCACATCACACCAGACACAGCCTGTTAGTGTCATGGGGCATCATCTCCTCTAACTTCGTCACTATGGCCTTTTCATGCACCACAGATTCTCGCCAATCTTAGTCAATGATCCAGTGAGATGGAGGTTGGTAAGCTTGGGAGGAGGAGTTAGACTTCGTTTATGCTCTCATCTTCCATGCACCCCACTGCTCCAGACCTACTCCTGATTCCCCAGATGAGCCAGGTTCACTCTCTGTTCCTGCTATTTCCCATACATTCACAGGTTCTCACAAACTGCACTTGCCTTACACTTGTCCAACCCCTAACTTGGAAGTTGGGGAATAAAGCTGTGATCTGAGGGATGAACTGGGGATCTTAGTGGGGTTTTCATTCAGGTTGCTCTGGGGAAAAGTGAAACTCTACCCTTGGGTCTTTCTTTCCCGTCACTCCGTTTCAGCTACTCTTTCAGAATGAGCGTCTTCAGTGTCTGGAAATGAAGTACAGAGAGGTAGGTAGAAAAAGTCACATAAAGCAGGTAGGTGATCCAAAGACAGTTCCTGGGGTGCACAGTTTTACCACTGTCCCCTTGGTGGTCTTACCACTCCTGTGGATTGGAGAGCTGGTGGAGTGGGAGAGGAGTTGAAGGAGTAGCCCTTAGCATCCAGTTGGAAGGACAAAGGAATAGAATCTGAGCTGGAAGAGATCTTCATGATCATGTTGTTGGTGCAACCCCCTCATTCAACCAGTGGGAAAATAGACCCTCCTCCCCAAGGGAATCACCTGCTTAAGGTCTCACAGCTCAGTAGTGGCAGAGTTGGAGCCAGAAACCAAGTATCTTGACTTCCCCTCCACAGACCTTTCCACTATAAGTTCCCTTCTGCCAGTAGGGCAGACTCTAAACTCTTCTGATTACCACTGAAGCTCCTTGAAATGTGACTCTGACACTGGCCTCATCTCCCCACAGCTCTTTTCAGTGGCCTGCACCCATGACACTGAAGTACAGGCCACTCTCCAAATATTCCTTGCACTTGCACATCTCTTGCCTTTGCTCATGCTGTTTTCTTAAACAAGAATGCCCTTCCTCTTTTTACCTGCCTGGCAAACTCCTACTCATCCTTCAAGACCCAACTCCAATTCATCTCTGCAGACCTTCTCCTGGGACTCCTCCTTCCTCACTCCCTAGCCAGTTAGTCTCTCCCTCTTGTTTTTTCCCAAAAGTGCTTTGCACGAAGGCTTATTAGAGCACTATACTGTACTGAAACTCTGTGTGTGTGTGTGTGTGTGTGTATGTGTGTGTGTGTATGTGTATGTGTGTAACTGTGCGCTTTAAGGTAAGAGGGCAGGGTCCTGTGCCTCATACATTTCTTTATTTCCCAGCCCTGATACCTAGCAGGCATTCAAGAATAAATGAATCAATGCCTCTTCTCTAAGAGCATTCCCCCGCTCTGGCACACGCACATACATTCATGAAAACAGTTTACAATATTTAAAAAGCAACCTCCAGGGCAGGGCAAAACAGATTTCATTTGGTCTGGGGAAGGGATGGCTCAAAGAAAAGAAGCCATCTCAGTCAGGTGGGGTGAGTCAGAGGAGGAAGAATTCTAAGCCTTCTTTGGAAGCCCAGATGCTCCCTGCACCTGGACCCCATTCAATCCAAAGGGCAAACATTCTTGGCCTCAAAACACCAGCAATGGCTTTGCAACCCTCTTCCCTGTGTACCTACCCAGGGTGTGGCCACATACACCCACCCACTGCACACACACACACAGTCCAACTCCCCAGTCCCTCAGCCTGTGATCTTGCCGTTCAAGTGTTCCTTTCATGATTCTAATCTTGGCTGTATGCTTGGCTCTGTGTCCTTGAGCACTGCATTTACTTCCTCTGAACCTCATCTATAAGATGGGGATAATGATCCCTGCCCTGCCTACCACACATGAGAACTAGAGGAGACAAGAGATGGGAATGTTTTAGAAATTGCAAACATACAAGATAATTATCAGGCAGGCTGGTCACACTGTTTTCCTTTTCTGTCTCCACATCTTTCCTTTCCCCCCATATTACCAAGAACAACCATCTCTGTGTCTCCTTTCCCACTCCAGGTCTCCTAGCCTCAGAAGCAGCCAGGAGGTTCTTATTATTCTTCTTGATTCCCAGGAACCTCACCTTCTCCAGAAGCCTTCCTGTTTCCTACCCTCTATGATCATTCCCGCAGTCCCTTATCATTGAGGGGTACCATTCTGTAGTCCTGTAGCTGGTGGAGAACACATCAGAGGGGGAATCAGGAGACCTGGGTTCCTGCCCCTACTAGGCCAACACGTCTAGCCGTGCGTTTTGGTTAAGTAACTTTATCACTCTAAGTCTATATCCCTCTAGGCCTCATTTTCCTCATCAGTAAGATGGAGTTTCTTGTCTTGCTTCCCTCTTAGAAGGTATTTTGAGCACTCGCACATTAAGTTTATGGATGTGCTTTGAGACGTATAGACTGAGTGAGGGATGGAGAAGGTGATGGTTATCATCTCAAGGAGTCAAGAAAATCTGAAAGCAGCTTCTAGGCCCCCAGCATGGGTCTTCCTCCATCAGGAACAGACAAAGTGGACGGATGCAAGGAAATAAGGAGGAGCTCACACGTTTACAACATGCCTTTGTAGGTGAAGTGGAGAGAGCCCTGGGCTAGGACTGAGGAAACTTGGGTTCTAATTCTGTTTGGTCTCTGTTGTAACCTTAGGTAAATCATCTCCCCTGGGGCATCAGTTTCCCTATATGCAAATTAGTGGAGAGGATTTTAGGAGGGATACTCTGGTGGGCTTTCACGCAAGAACTAAACTCATTTATTTTCGAGATAAGAGACTCTGAGGTCCAATCCCCCTTTCCCCTTCTGTCCCATGGGGTATGCAGGCAACAGGAGCAGGAGGCCCGTTTTACAAATGGTGGCCCAGGAAAAGCGAGCACAAGGCGCAGAGCTGAGGGATGACTGCCCGGGTTTACACAGCCTGTAAACTAGAACTCAAGTCTCCCGACTCCCAGCCTCGACCTATGTTACTGGCAGCAGAAGATGCTTTTGGGAGTCACCAGGTTTCCCGGGACTAGGTCAGACAGGGTGAAGGACACAGTGAGGTGTAGAGGGAATGGGCAAGTCAGCTCCGCAGAGCCGGTGGCTCCAGCCAAATGAGACTGTGCTGGGTCCTGAAATGTCGTTTCTGCGTGTGCACTGGCTGCCAGCTGCAAGTGTTCGCTTGCACGTCTGTGGGTGTGGAGGAACTTTTCTTGTGGCCGTCTTGAGGGCTGGGAATAACGGCGCAAGTCCCCACGGTTTCCAGACGGGGCGCGCAGAGCCCAGCTCCCTACTCCCACATGCTGCTCCACGATCACTGCGCTCGGGAGGATCGGGGAGGATCCGGGAGGACTAGCTTGGTATTTGCAGCGCCCACCCCTCCCCCACTCCCCCTCGGTTCCACAGTCTCACGGAGAGCGCGCCGTGGCCCTTGGAAGGGAGGCGGGAAGACCCCTCATTTCCACCCCAGGCCGCAGCTCAGCCTTCCCAGCTGGGTGGGTGCCTTACCTGCCTCTCAGCAAGGCTCCGGGGCGCCCGTTTGCTCGCTGGACACGGCGCCCTCTGACCGAGGGTGGCCCAAGCGCTGCGACCCTGTGCATTCCACCAGCCCCGTTCCACTCCGCGGGTGCCCAGCACCGCCCAGCGCGCTCTCTGGCTCTGGGCTCCCACCCGCGCTCGGCTCCCTTTTCCCTCCCCCGGGCGTCCCCTCCCCCTGCCCCGCCCGGGCCCCAGCACACCCACTTCTCCCCGGGCTGGCCTGGAGTGCCTCCGCCCAGCTCCTTGGCCTCCCCCGGCTGTGGGCTCCGACCCTTCCGTCCCCTGCAGCGCCTGCTTCCTGGACCAGAGACCGAAAGCCTCTCGCTCCGCTGGGCCTCAGCAAGCCCAGCATGAGGCCGATCTCCAGGAGTCGGTTTTGCTCCAGTGTGGCTGTGTGGTGGTGGGCGAGTCGCTGCCCCTCACTGGGCCTTGGCCTGGCTGTAAAGTTGGTACAGTTCCTCCATGCATTCTTCACAGGCTTATGGTTGAGGTCAGATGAGACCTTTGAGTCCAAAGTATTAAAACCAAAGGGTCAACAGCAAAATAATATGATTCTTACACAAACTCTTTTCCACACAGGACGCAGAGGCCCAGTTGGAGAAGGGATTTGCCCAGGTAGCAGAGCCCAGACCCAAAATCCACTACACACCCCTCTGTCTCTGAGTAGCACCAGCAAATGTTTCCTCCACCAAGCCTCAAAAGTTCGTGACAGTGCCTGACCAACTTGTGTTCAGCCGCACCTTACTCATCTCTGTCCCAGAACAGTTTATTTTCCCACCACCATGCCCTCACTCAAACTGTTGTTTCCTTGCTGGTGACATTGCAGGCTTCAGAGAACTGGGGCAGCCGGGGCAGCTGAGGAATAAGAGCCAGGAGGCTAGTGGCAGAGGAAGGGACAGTTGCAGAGAATTTCTCCGGGGGACCCTGTGGGGTGCCCTTTTACCAGCTCACTGCCTCAGAATAATTAATAACAGCCTCAGGCCAGCTCTTTCACTCCCTTGCAAAGGTCTGCTCCAGGATATCTGAAGCACATACTCTCAATTACAGAATCCCAGAATATATCTAAGAAGTGCTATCGTTTTAAAAAGACCTACTACAAGGTGGGTATATTGTATATTGTATACAATATACAAGGTGGGTATATTGTACCCACCTTGTTTTGACCCTACTATTCCTTTTTCTCAGTCTGGAGATCACCTCTCAGAAAAGTCATCCTAATCACCTAAGCATGCAATCTCAGTTTCCTTCCTTCCTTCCTTTCTTTCTTCCTTCCTTCCTTCCTTCCTTCCTTCCTTCCTTCCTTTAGACAGGATCTCACTGTGTCACCCAGGCTGGAGTGCAGTGGAGTGATTATGGCTCACAGCAGCCTTGAACTCCTGGGCTCAGGTGATCCTCCTCCCTTAACCTCCTGAGTAACTGGGACACACCACTATGTCTGGCTAATTTTTGTATTTTATAGAAATTGGGTTACTCCATGTTGCCCAGGCTGATCTCGAACTCCTGGGCTCAAGTGACCTGCACACCTCCACCTCCCAAAGTTCTGGGATTACAGGCATGAACCACTGTGCCCATCCTGCAACCTCAGTTTTCAATCTGCCTAAGAATCCCCTGGGGAGCTTGTTTTACTAAGTAGACTTTTGGGCTCCACTCCAGAGGTTCTAATTCAGGAAATCTGGAGTAGAGCCTAGAAATCAGCATTTTCAAACAAGATTTCCAAATGACTCTGATGCAAATGGTTCTTGAGACTAGCCATGAGGAAGCAGTCCTGGCTTGGTCAGGGTTCTTTCTCAGATCCTGCCCACGGCCTTGCATTTACTCTGTAGGACTGTCTATGACAGTTATAGAAAGTAACCATTTGTCCACCCCATCTGCTAGGTTGTGAGTTCTTTGAAGATAGGGATTGTCTTTTGTTCTAATAAAATCTTAGAACCAAAGTCTTAGAATCATATCATCTTAGGGTTCTGGAATGTAAATTGGAAGAACTCTCAAGAGTTTCCTAGTCAAATCCCTCATGAGCCTAACAGATTCTCCCATTTCTTTATTTTTGGAAACATATCACCCAGGCTGGAGTGCAGTGGTGTGATCTCAGCTTACTGCAAACTCTGCCTCCCAGGTTCAAACAATTCTTGTGCCTCAGCCTCCTGAGTAGCTGGAATTACAGGTGTACCACCACACCCAGCTAATTTTTGTATTTTTAGTAGAGACGGGGTTTTGCCATGTTAGCCAGGCTGGTCTCGAACACTTGACCTCAAGTAATCTGCCCGCCTTGGCCTCCCGAAGTGTTGGGATTACAGGTGTGAGCCACCACACTCTGCCTCTATTTCATTTTTGAAATGAGGCTATCCAGCTTCTCTTGCACACCTCTAGGGAGCTCAATGCCTGCAAGGCAGCCAGACAGCTCTGATTGTTAGGATGTTCTCACATTTTAACAAAAACTGCTTCCTGTTGACTTCTACCCTTTGGTCCTTGCACCCATTGGAGACATGAAATAGAAGTCTGATCTGTGTTCCCTTTTACAGTCTTTCAAGAATTTAAGGTCGGCCAGGAGCAGTGGCTCATGCCTGTAATCCCAACACTTTGGGAGGCTGAGGTGGGTGGATCACTTGAGCTCAGGAGTTCAAGACCAACCTGGATAACATAGTGGGACTTCATTTCTACAAAAAATAAAAAAATTAGTTGGGCATGATGCTATGTGCCTGTAGTACCAGCTACTTGAGAGGCTGAGGTGGGAGGATTGCTTGAGCCCAGGAGGTTGAGGCTGCAGTGAGCCAAGATTGTGCCACTGCACTCACTACAGCCTAGACAACAAAGTGAGACCCTATCTCAAGAAAAAAAAAATTTGCTGGGCGTGGTGACTCACGTCTGTAATCCCAGCACTTTGGGAGGTGGCGGATCACGACGTCAGGAGTTCAAGACCAGCTTGCTCAATATGGTGAAACTCCGTCTCTACTAAAGATTAAAAAAAAAAAATTAGCTGGGTGTGGTGGCATGCACCTGTAATCCCAGCTACTTGGGAAGCTGAGGCAGAAGAATCGCCTGAACCTGGGAGGCAGAGGTTGCAGTGAGCTGAGATTGCGCCACTGCACTCCAGCCTGGGTGACAGAGCAAGACTCTGTCTCAAAGAAAAAAAAAAAAAGAATTTAAGGTCTATCCTCTACTCCCCCTTCTCTGGGGTGAGGATAAGGCAGCAACCATGTCAGGGAAGGCAGCTGGCCATTGGAAAGGGGGCTGAGCTGCCTCATGTTCCCCACCTGTGCCCTGGAGCCTTGCCAGCAGGCTTAGATGAAGTGATGCGTTTAATATGCCTGGAGCCGGGCCTAGCATGAGGCATAGGCTTAATAAATGGCAGCTTCTATTGTCACTGGATGAGAAAGAGCAGGAGGAAACAGAGTTCCTGTCTCTGGGGATCTCTAGTCTGACAGGGACTTCAAGGAGCTCCCTAATCCAAAGACATTGGAGACATGGCCCTGACCCTGGGAAGATGGGGGAGTGGGGTGGATGGAATTTGAGGGTAGGATGAGCTGATTGAAGGGATGAGGGGAAGACTCACCTAGAGACATGCCACAAACAAGTCTTGGCTTAAATGTTACCTTCTTGGTGAGGCCTTCCCTGAGCATCCAATCTATAAATGCTAATTCCTCCCTTCTCCTGCCTCCCTACCTCCATCCCCTGCCTTGTTTTTCAGTAACACCTTAACAGATGATTCTGATATATTTCACTTACTTAAAAAAAAAAGTCTTTTGTTGTTGTTCTTGCTGCATCTTCAACTGAGGCCCACAGCTCCCGCTGCCCTCAGCCCTATCTTAGAGCTCTCCCTGAGTCTGGATTCCTGTAACCACCTCCTTCTCTTTCCTCTTCAGTCCTAGGGGTGGTAGTGATGCCCAGGTGCTTTCAGCTCCAGGATACCTCACAACCCCTGTGGTTTCCCCACTCCCTGCCCATCTCTGAATAGAGCCTTCTTGAATTATCCATATGAGATGGCCATCTTCTTCCTGAAGGACCTGGCTGGCACAGAAGCCCACTTTCTCTGCTCCTACAGCCCCTCGGGCTTTCCTCTCACACAGCACTTACCATTCTGTGTTACAATTGTCTCCTCTATTGGTTGACTCCACACCTAGAACATAAATTCATTGAGGGCACTAAGCCATTCCCAGCACCAAGCCTAGCACAGAGGAGATCTTAGTAAAAATTTGTTGAATATATGAGTGAGTGAATAATGGTCATGAGAGGGAAGATCCCTAGGAATTATGTTATCAGAGAAAGCTTCCAAGAAGAGATAGAACCTGAGAGAGCCTCAAAGGTCAGTAGGAGACTTTTTCAACCTCTGGGCCAAACCTTTCCTCTGAGCATCGAACTCCCATATCCAACAACCTCCCTGATGTCTCTGTTTGGATAATGTGGGGACTGGGACTCTTGACTTCTTTCCCTTTCACTTTCCTATGTCTCAGTCAATGGCACCATCATCCATCCAGTTCCCTGTTTGTTTTCTTCATAGAACTCAACCCAATCTTCTGTTTATCTGTTTGGGGCCTGCCTTTCCCATTGGACTGGAAGCGCTATGAGAACAGAGACCAGTTGTTTCTTTTCCACCTTGGTATCCCTTGAGTTACATCTTGATTTTTCAGTAACGCCTAACCAGATGACTCTGATATATTTGATGTTCCTAACTTAAGGTCTAGGAAGTGGGGGGAAAATGTTGAGAGGTAGGGTGAGTGTGGATGGTACCTGTCAACAGTTTCAGAAGACTGGGTCACCAGGGGGAAATGCAGTGTGACTCACAGAGGAAGTTTCACAGTCACATCAAGTTACTTTATTCTATTATTCATGAGGAGCCCGTGTCTGTGCCTTCAGGGTCTTATCTCCTCCTGGCTTGTCAGTTTGGTCCTTAATCCCTTGCATTCCCCAAATCTGAAATGCTACAGCCCAGAAATCAGCTCGTTCCCTCTTCTCTATCCCCTCTTCTTCTCTCTCTTCCAAATCCCTCTCTAAGGGGAGTGCTACATCCTTCTCACTGATGTGTTTATGAGGTGTCTGAAGATGTGCGTCTCATTCTGATTCCAACAGCAAATATTCATCTTTGGCGGAACTACTTGTCCTCTCTGGACCTGTTTCCCTCTCTGCACAGGATGGTGTGAGACTGTCTCATCTCTAGGGCTCCTGCCAGATCTGACCTTCTTCAAAACTCAGCCTTGTGGGGAGGGTCAGGCACCACACCACAGTTCTTAGCTTGGACAGGTATGGTGGCTCTTCATAGTTGCAAAAGCATCTTCACTCTTGCTGTCTCATTGGGTCCTTTGGAGTCTAGACTGGAGTTCAAACAGTGGACTTGCCTCTAACTACATGAATTTGGGCAATTTCTTTTTCTGAAACTCAGTTTCCTTTTCTGAAAACAGGGTCAGTAATACATCCCTGTGGATTTGTTATTTGCTGCAAATATTGTGCTTAGAACAGCTCTGGACCCTCGTGAGTTGGGCTGGAGAGAGGCAAGTGAGGGGCCGGGCACGGTGGCTCATGCCTGTAATCCCGGCACTTTGGGAGGCTGAGGCGGGTGGATTACCTGAGGTCAGGAGTTCAAGACCAGACTGGCCAACATGGTGAAACCTATCTCTATTAAAAATACAAAAAATTAGCCAGGCGTGGTGGCGGGCACCTGTAATCCTAGCTACTTGGGAGGCTGAGGCAGGAGAATTGCTCAATCCCAGGAAGTGAAGGTAGCAGTGAGCCGAGATCATGCCATTGAACTCCAGCCTGGGCGACAGAGCAAGGCTCTGTCTCAGGGGAAAAAAAAAAAAAAAAAAAAAAGATAGGCAAGTGAGGTGGAATTGAGCTGAATACCAATAACTCAATAACTCCTCCCAGGTTCCCAGCATTTTGCAGGGCTTAGCATACCCCGTCCATCCTCTAACTGTGGATTAGGGCTGTGCGTCACCAGGGTCCAGGTAGGAAACAGATGGCACCCTGAAAATGGGTAATTCAGAGTGTGGCGAGGGCTTAGGAAATCAAGACAAAATAGTGCAGTATGTCTGGCTAGCAACAGTGAGGATGAAAACTACCTGGGCTGACAGGGCAAGGGGAGGAAGGGGTTACTGGAACTCAGAGAGGGCAGTGGTGGGGAGGGCATCTCGGCTGGAGCTGTGGCCTTTGGTAGAGGCTAACCTCTCGCAGGGAGAGAGCCAGGGGAACAAGCACCTTTCCCTCTCTCCCCTCCCATCCTGTGGTCTTCTACCACTGCCTCCTGTTGGCTCAACCCAGTTGGAAGCTCCAGAGTCAGGCGGCCTACTGTGGGTGGAGAAGGGTGGTGAACCCATGAAGGGACACGTGGAAGGATCCAGCACAGGCAGTGCATCTGTCAGATGAGTAGGGTCCTCCCCTGATCCTTTTCAGCGTGCTCCAGGCAAGGGGTGGGAGGAAGGAGTAGAAGAACTAAGGAATGTGGGTGGAGGATGCGAGCTTGGGTTTTCACCCCAGAAAGGAGCAGGAGGGGACAATCTCAGTTCCTCAAATATCCACATACTCTCTGTCATCTTCAGGCCTTTGCCTATGCTGTTCTCTCTGCCTGGAACATACTTCCTCCTGGGGCCGGCTAACTCACCCTTAGATGCTACTTCCTCCCGGAAATCTCCCCTGCCCTAAATTAGATGCCTTTGTCTGTGTCCCCTGACTGCTCCCATCCCACGTATCTCCCCTTTTTCATATGTATCATCCTTGTGTAAGTCCCTGTTCTTGGGCAGGGTACAGTCTGATATGGGAAGAATGGCCCTGACTGCATGGAAAATGTTGCTCTCACTGGGAGAGCCCCTAGTCCAAGAGGGAGCAATAGACGAAGCAGCCCCTGGGGGGATCAGAATGCTGTTTGGTTTTTGGTGCTTCTAATCTTCTACCTCCAAAGTCATCAATGTTTAGAAAACAAGCAACAGATGTGGGTGTCTTTACTGGAGGTCTGGCTGAACCTACAGAGAAGGAGGGATTCCCTAATTCTTCTTAGTGATAAGAGACCACCTGGATGGTGCTGACACAGGCACAAGCCAAGAAAGGGGTCAGCCAAGGATCATCGGCCCTGGGACCTGGGCCAAGTCACTGCCCCACTTTGAGCCTCTGTGTTCCTCACTTGCACAACAACAATCTTGGTCCTGCAAACCTTGCAGTGTTCCAAGGAGCAAATGGACTCACAGCTGAGAAGGCACTTTGAAAACCATGAAATGCTTATTATTGCCTTCCCCTCAGACCAGGAGCTCCTGGAAGGAGGGGCTGTACCTCAGATGTTATGCATATTTGTTATCCCACCTAAGTAAATAGGATAGTGTGGCAGCAAAACAAAACAAAAACAAAAAGTGTTGACACTGACTTAAGCTTTGTTTTTAGAAGAATGTGTTTGGGGCTATCTTGGATTCTCCCAGAAGCAGGCCCTGGGACATGGATTTGAGTACAAGTGGTTCATGTGTGACGTGATCCCAGGAAACACAATTAGAAGAGTGGTGAAGTAACACAGGAGTGAATGGAGCCTTTCATAAGGTGTACCCTTAGCAAGCTTAGCCCTGCTAGGGAACCCTAGAGGCCTGGGTAGAACACACATCCAGAGTTACCCCTCATTAGAGGCAAGGGGGCTAGGGGAGTCAGTCATTGGCTGAGGGCTGCTCGGGGGATATGAATTCTCCAGCATGTCCAGCCTGACACATGGGTTGACAGCCCCGGTCCCTCCAAAAGTCCTGAGAAAAAAGGTACAGATGCTGGCAGGTGGAAATAGACACTGAAATGTCTATTTCTCTTCTTCTTCTTCTTCTTTTTTTTTTTTTAAGACAGGGTCTCACTCTGTCACCCAGGCTCCAGGCTGGAGTGCAGTGGTGATGATCTTGGCTCATTGCAGCCTTCACTTCCTGGACTCAAGCAATCTTTTTGCCTCAGCTTCCCAAGTAGCTGGGACTACAAGTGTACGCCACCATGCCCGGCTAATTTTTGCATTTTTTGTAAAGACAGGCTTTTACTACGTTGCCCAGGCTGGTCTCAAACTCCTGAGCTCAAGTGATCCTCCTGCCTCGGCCTCCCAAAGTGCTGATATTACAGGATTGTGCCACTGTGCCCAGCCTGAAATGACTGTTTCTAACAGATATTTGAAATGGCACTGAAATGGAAGGGCCAGGCAAATATACATGGAGCACCTAAAACACCTGCTATAGTCTGGGGCAAGATAGGCACTTGAGTTCCCCAGATTAGCTTCACACTTCAGAGACTCTCATGCTTCTTATTCTGCCTGGAACACACCATGTCTTCTTATCTATCCCACAATTCTTATCTTCTGAAGCCATAGTGGACATCTGATGTCTTGGCCTTCCCAGAATTCCTTCTTTTGGGAATAGAACCTCTCTCTTCCTTTTGGGGAGTCACCCTTCCCTCTCTTGCTCTCAGCCCATATGGTTCAGGTGGGGCTAAGCCCCATCTGTTTGTTCCAAGAGGGTCATGACGCTCCTTGGAGTGATGATTTATCCAGAATCCTTCCTGGGCCTTAGGCTGAATGTATACGGAAGTAAGGGTGGCTAAGCTATAGAATCTAAGTGTGGTGTGACCAACAGCCATCTTTGGCACCACACAGGAGAGAGTGAAGCCAATTCTGAGGTCAGCAGAGCTAAGGAATAGAGGAAGAAAAACCAAGTCCTGATGCCATTGTTTGAGTCCCTGGATCAATCTGTGCCTGAAGTCTATCCACAGACTTTTCAGTTATGAGATCTAAAATATTCTCTTTTCACTTGAGCTAGTTTGAGCTGGGTTTCCTGTTACCTACAACCCAAAGTCCTCACTAATTCAGTGTCACTTTGAGCCTTTTCTGCCCTCATCCTCCCTTTTAAGACTTAGTACTTCTTTTATTTCCCCACAGTTCCCTATGCAAGCTTCTCTCAGTGTGTATAACACTTTACTGCATGTGTTTGTTTACAGGTGTGTCTTCTCTACAAGGCGGTGAGCTCCTTGAAGATGGACCAAGTTGGATCCATCTCTGTCCTCAGGGTCCAGCACAGGCTGGAACCTGGCCAGACCATACCATACATGTTATCTTCAAGCTGCATAGATTAAGGGCACATTAGCCAATTGGAGCCTATGGAGATGAGGGCAGTGGTGTGGGGTCTGGAAGCCATGAAGAACATAAGAATAAGGAATGTTTAACTTGAAGTAGAGACCACTTCTGAGACAATCCATTCTCTGATTCCACAGACTGTTTCTGGGTGCCTCCTCTGTGGGAGGCCCGGGACTGGGGGCTGAAAAGGCCATGGATGACACAGCTATAGTCCCTGCCTGGGGAGCTCACAGTCTGGTTGGGATCGGGCATGGAAACAAGGAACTATAATAGAGTGTGGTCAGTACCACTAGAAAGGGATGTAGGGCATGGCCAGGGAAGTCCTCTTAGTGCAGGGGGGCAGAATTATGACAATGTTGGTGGCACATTTTAGCTTTGAGGAGTAACTTTCTAACAATCAGAACTGTGCAAGAATGGAAGGCTGCCTCAGGAGGCAGTAAGTGTTCTGTGTCTGGAGGTGTGTGAGCAGGGCTGGGACAACCACTTAACAGACTGGATATATATTTTTTTCTTTTTTATCATTTTATTTTCAAATTGTCTATGTCTTTTAATGTTAAAGTACGTTTTTTGATAATAACATATAATTGCTTGCATTTATAAAAGGTCAGCAAATGCTGCCTTTTCATGAGAGTATTTAATCCATTTACATTAAATTAGTGTTTCATGTTTGGATTTATCTGTCATGGTGTTTGATTTCTATTTCTGTTTTCAGATTTTCATTTCTCTACCTTTAGTTGGAAAATTATTCTTATTCAATTTTATCTCCTATGTGAATTATCATTATTAATTTAATTTGTGTCACCGCTATTGAATTTCTGCTTATGTCCATTTGACTTATTTTTGGTGGTTGCTGTATAGATGCATACGCATCTTCTTTTTATCATAGCCTGCCTGCCAAAAATACTCTAGTACTTACGAATATAAGAATTTTGGCAGGGCATGGTACCTCATGCCTGCAATCCCAGCACTTTGGGAGGCCAAGGCAGGCGGATCACGAGGTCAGGAGTTTGAGGCCAGCCTGGCCAATATGGTGAAACCCCTTCTCTACTAAAACTACAAAAATTAGCTGGGTGTGGTGGCATGCACCTGTAGTCCCAGCTACGTTGGAGACTGAGACAAAAGAATCACTTGAACCAAGGAGGTAGAGGTTGCAGTGAGCTGAGATCACACCACTGCACACAAGCCTGGGCGACAGAGTGAGACTCCTTAAAAAAAAAAAAAAAAAAAAAGAATCTTAAAACTGTATACTTACTTCTTTTTTTTTTTTTTTTCCTGAGACAGAGTTTTGCTCTGTCACCCAGGCTGTAGTGCAATGGCGCAATCTCAGCTCACTACAACCTCTACCTCCTGGGTTCAAGAGATTCTCCTGCCTCAGCCTCCTGAGTAGCTGGGACTACAGGCATGTGCCACCACTCCCGGCTAATTTTTATATTTTTAGTAGAGATAGGGTTGGCCAGGCTGGTCTCAAACTCCTGACCTCAAGTGATACCCCACCTTGGCCTCCCAAAGTGCTGGGTTTATAGGCGTGAGCCACTATGCCCTGCCTTAAAACAGTATACTTCTAAATACCACCCTTCTATCTTCATGGTTATATACTTTACATTCATATATGCTATAAATTCCACATTATGTAGTATTATTTTGACTTTATGGTAGTTATGTTCTATAAAGTTGTTGAAATCATGAATACTGAACCATGGCTCCTAGAGGAAATAAAGAGTTAGGTTCCTGCTTGTCTCTGGTCACACCATTTTCTTTTTTCTTTTTGAGATGGAGTCTCACTGTGATGCCTAGGTTGGAGTGCAGTGGCGCCATCTCAGCTCACTGCAACCTCTGCCTCTCAGGTTCAAGCAATTCTCCCACCCCAGCCCCCCGAGTAGCTAGGATTACAGGTGCACACCACCACACCCGACTAATTTTTGTATTTTTAGTAGAGACGGGTTTTCACCATGTTGGCCAGGCTGGTCTCAAATTCCTGGCCTCAAGTGATGATCCGCCTGCCTTGGCCTCCCAAAGTGCTGGGATTACAGGCATGAGCCACTACGCCCGGCCTATTTTCATCTATTGAAAAATGTATATCCTTGTTTTATGTGTGTTTCCATTTAAAAACATCTTATTTCATATATATTGTTGATTCATTAACACTGAACTCACAGCCAACTGCACTATGAGTTGTGCCTGAACAAAGCTTACGTAACACATGTGTCTTTTCCATAAGGCCCATTATAGTTTTCTTGTGCAGCATTTCAGCACTACTATTGGGAACCATTTTAAATAGTGAAATTGCCATTGAAAAGCACAATTTTTAACAGACTGGATGTTGATGTTTATCAACAAAGAGGACCAATGTGGAGGCTGCAGGGAATTCCTCACAATAAGACAAGCCATTAAAGCTCTGCTTCCTTCTGTATGTCAGGTACTGGGATATTAAGACAAAAACAAAAATAAAAAAGAAACAATCTCTGGCTCACAGTAGAAAAGCTCACAGTTTACAGAAATTTTTAAAATGTAACACTATGGCCTGATACCAGTGTCTCTTGAACTAGAATAATGTACAGACCCCCCTTTGAAAGGAAAAAAAATTATTGGGTTACTCATTGTTGACTTAATCTAAATATGTTAAAATTTAAACTCAATATAAATTCCAATGTATGTAACTGTAAAAGCAAATCTTTTATATAAACAATTTTTATTCAGTACAAACATTGAATATGAACAAAACTAAAAAATGAATAAAATGCTAATAACAACACCGCTGCTGCTGCTGGTCATGATGAGTTCTTTTGAGCTCATCCTGTTGGTTTTGTAGAAATATTCTGGCTGGGTTAGGTGGCTCACGCCTGTGATCCCAGCACTTTGGGAGGCCAAAGTGGGTGGATCGTTTGAGCCCAGCAGTTTAAGACCAACCTTGACATGGCAAGACCCTGTCTCTATAAAAAATACAAAAATTAGCCGGGCATAGTGGCACGTGCCTGTAGTCCCAGCCACTCAGGAGGCTGAAGCGGGAGAATCACCCGAGCCCAGGAAGTCAAGGCTGCCGTGATACAGTGAGCCGTGATTGCGTCACTCACTGCACTGCAGCCTGGGTGAAAAAGTGAGACCCTATCTCTAAAAACAGAGAAAGATTCCATCTGGTAAGTGAAGGAGGGATGATAGAATCTAATAAGAGAATGCATCTAAGAAATGATCATTACAAAAAAGAGAGAGAAAAAAAAAAGCCTAGTATTACATCCCTCTTGCTGTAAGAACACACTACCACCTAGCAGGAGACATGAAAAAGAAAAAAAATCATACCTGAATCAGACCAAGCCTCAGGAGCTACCTTTCAGTGTTCAGGAAATAGAGGAGATAGAGAGACACATGAAATAATACCAGGAGGACACGATGAACAAAATCTGGACTGTGGAAAACTTGATAGGACAAACATCTGTTTCCTCAACAAATAACAAGAGGAGCAAAGATAAAAAGATGGAGGAGGAACTTACAGATAAAAAAAGACTTAAGAGACATTTGTGAGACACATGAACCAAATACAGTGTCCAGATCTTGTTTGGATCCTGATTTGAATAAAACAACTAAAAGTAAAGAAAAAAGCAATTGGAGAAATGTGAACATTAACTGAATATTTGTTGATATTGAAGAAGTATTTTCTACATGTGGTGATGATGTTGTGGTTAAAGAGTTTAAAAAGAGTCAGGTTTTTTTGTTTTTGAGACAGGGTCTGACTCTGTTGCCTAGGCTGGAGTGCAGTGGTGCAATCTCGGCTCACTGTAGCCTCGACCTCATGGGCTCAAGTGATCCTCCCATCTCAGCCTCCCGAGTAGCTGGAACTACAGATGTGCACCACCATGCCTGGCTAATTTTTGTATTTTTTTGTACAGACGAGGTTTCGCCATGTTGCCCAGGTTGGTGTCAAACTCCTGAGCTGAAGCAATCCACCCACCTTGGCCTCCCAAAGTGCTAGGATTATAGGCATGAGCCACCATGCCTAGCCAAGAGTATTTATCTTTTGGGAATACATACTGAAATATTTCTGAATGAAACAGTATATTTGTTATTCGCGTCACAATAATCCAGGGGGAGGCAGGAAGTGGGTACCAGTTTAGATAAACTTATCTGGCCATGAGCTGAGGATGGCTTTAGCTGCATGACGGTTCATTATTGTATGTTTAAAATATTTTATAATAAAAAGCTTTAAGGCCAAACACAACACCTGTAATCCCAGCGCTTTTGGAGGTGGAGGAAAGAGGATTGCTTAAGGCCAGAAGTTCAAGACCAGCCTGGCAAAATAGCCAGATTTCATCTCTACTTTGAAAAAAAAAACACAAAAAAAATTAGTTAGGCGTGGTGGCACATGCCTAGCTAGTCCTAGCTACTCAGGAGGCTGAGGTGGAAAGATCACTTTAGCCCAGAAGGTCAAGGCTGCAATGAGCCATTATCATGCTGCTGCACTCCAGCTTGGGTGACAGAGTGAGACCCTGTTTCAACAACAACAAAAAAAGTCTTTAAAAATAAAAAAAGACACTTGTCTTTCAAGTCGCCCACTTGGCCCTCTTCCAAGTGTACTTTCCTTCCTTTTGTTCCTGCTCTAAAGTTTTTTAACTTTCATTCCTGCTCTAAAACTTGCCTTGAAAAAAAAATGAAAAAGCTTTCTAAGGTGCTGGAAATTTAAAATGCAGGCATTACATCATTATATTGCTGACAGGAGTATAAATTGGTATAACTTTTATGGAAGGCAATTATGACAATGTCTACTAAATTTAAAATACACATATCCTTTGACTCAGAAAACCATTTCTAGAAATGCAGCCTCTGTACTCACCATGTATGAAACACACACAGACACACATACACACATACATGCACACAAATTCTCACTATAGCTTTGTTTGTAAAAGCCTAAGATTAGTAATAAACTAAATGTCCTCAATAGAGACTAAATAAGTCATGGTAAATCATTCAATGGAATACTACATAGTCACTAAAAAGAATGAGGATGCCCTTTATAAACTGGTCTGAAACAATCACCCAAGTGCAAGACTGTGCATAGGGTATGCTACTATACAAAAAAGAATGTGTATAGTCATGTGTGCTTATATATGTATAAAATAACTCTGAAGTATATAAATAAGACACTTTTCATTATGTAGCCCTCCAGGGAAGGGATCTGGGTTTACAGGGGAGAGGGGGAGGAGCAAGACTTACATTTCAATGCCACTATTCTGCACCTTTTAAATTTTATTCCATATGTATGGATTATCTCTATTAAAAATTGATCAAAGTTAAAAAAATTAAGGCATTCAAAAATATAGTTATAAAGACTAGGAATGTGGGAAAATGTTTGTAGCATGATATTTGGTTTAAAAGAGTACACAGAGAGGGCCAGGTGCCGTGGCTTACCCCTGTAATCCCAGCACTTTGGGAGGCCGAGGTGGGCGGATCACGAGGTCAGGAGATCGAGACCATCCTGGCTAATATGGTGAAACCCTATCTCTACTAAAAATACAAAAAATTAGCCGGGCGTGGTGGCGGGCGCCTGTAGTCCCAGCTACTCGGGAGGCTGAGGCAGGAGAATGGCGTGAACTCGGGAGGCGGAGCGTGCAATGAGCAGAGATCGTGCCACTGCACTCCAGCCTGGGCGACAGAGTGAGACTCCATCTCAAAAAAAAAAAAAAAAAAAAAAAAAGTACACAGAGCGGGACGTCCGGCTTCTGAGTGGGAACCTTCCTAGCGCCAGCGACAAAAGAGAGAATTAAATATGGGTGATATTGAGAAAGGCAAGAGGATTTGTACTGAGAAGTATGCCCAGTGCTACACCGTGGAAAACAAAGGCAAGGACAAAACGAGGCCTAATCTCCACCGTCCAGGCCATTGGATTCTCTTTAACAGATGCCAGTAAGAACAAACGCATCACCTGGGGAGAGGATACCCTGATGGAGCATTTGGAGAATCCCTAGAAGTACATCTCTGGAACAAAAATGATCTTTGCCCACATTAAGAAGAAGGCAGAAAGGGCAGACTTGATAGCTTATCTCAAAAAAGCTACTAATGAGTAATAATTGGCCACTGCCTTATTTATTACAAAACAGAAATGTCTCATGACTTTTTTATGTGTACCACAATTTGATAGCTCTCATACACCAGAATTCAGATCATGAATGACTGACAGAATATTTTGTTGGGCAGTCCTGATTTAAAACTAAGATGGGGTTGTAGTTAAATGAATATGTTTGGTTTTTTGAATTTTAATAGTAATTGCGATTCAGTAAATGCTATCACCGTTTACCCCTTCTAAAGCTATGATTAGACTTTGTTAGTAATGTTCAACTTTCCAAAGATGGTGAATGCCATCTTAAAACTTATTGGAGATTGGGCTGGGTGTGGTGGCTCACACCTGTAATCGCAGCACTTTGGGAGGCTGAGGTGGGCAGATCACTTGAGGTCAGGAGTTCAAGACCAGCCTGGCCAACATGGTGAAACCCCATCTCTACTAAAAATACAAAAATTAGCCGGGCATGGTGGTGCACGCCTGCAGTCCCCAGCTACTCTACTGAGGCGGCTGAGGCAGAGGAATCGCTTGAACCCAGGAGGCAGAGGTTGCAGTGAGCCGAGATCGCACCACTGCACTCCAGCCTGGGCAACAGAGCAAGACTCCGCCTCAAAAAAAAAAAAAACTTATTGGAGATTGGTTTTATATTTAGATTAATATAACTGGATATGTAAATATATTTAAATACTGGGAAATTCCTTCACTGTCTCAGAACCAAGCAAGGTTCACCTGTGTTTTGTGTTCACTTGCTTCTTAAAGGCAAGGGTTGATGATAAGGTAGCAATGTATACTTTAAATTTTTGGCCTTAACTATGCCAATCTAATTTGAATTCCCTGTGTCTAAAATGGTTCCTTTTACTTATTGAAAGGTATTTTAGTGTGGTTTATGTGTAATATCAAATAAGGATTATTTAACACTTCTCACATTTTATAGATGATCTATAAGGTCAAATGCTTTAAAAATAGTAGCAAGTTAAACCTCACTCTTGAATTCTTTACAATCTAAGTCAGACTAAGTTGTAATTTAGGATTGTCTTTAAACAGCCATTCAGAAACCTAAAACTGTAGAACTCTTGTGTATTTGTGATCGGGAATGGTGCTTTTGCTGACTTAAAAGGATTAAAGTAGAGGAGATATACACAAATTTAAAAATTATGTGTGATCATAAGACTTAATTAAAAACAAAATCACAGATGATGAAAAAAAGTATACAAAATGTTGTCCACATATTAGAAGTACATAAAAATATGTCTGCTCATGATCAAATACTGAAAACACACATCAGTGAAAAGGATTGTGTTAGATGTGAGTACAAGTTTTTTTAACTTTATAGATATTATAAAATGGTATGATAATATTATAAAAATTTGGTTGAAAAATCAGATTTAGATTACAAAAATCTGGTTTCCATGGGAGTTTTCAGAGAGAGACTTTTTAAAAAATCACTTAATAAATCATTTATTTGTAAATCAGCACGTGTAGTATAAAGAACCTAAGAATTTAGACAATTTTAATAACCCATAAGCATGTTGATTCTATTTGCAGATTTAAATTTTGTATAAATAGCAGTCATTGCATACATACATCTTAACTGTACTTTGTTTATAATCACATTTATGCTACCGATACTCCTCAGAAAAAAACAGATTCTACTTGGTTCTAGCTGAAGTATTATCAACTCCAAATAACGCTTTGAGGACCTCCAAAGGTAAAGTACTAATCCCTTTGGCCATTTATTGAGAGAGAGAGAGAGAGAGAGAGAGAGTTTTGAAGCAACAATGTACCCTTAGTAAAGCTGCTATGCAAAATTACCCCTCAGTCCTATTCTAAGCTTACAGTTCAGTTGATTTTATTGTCCTCACCTAAGTATATACAATTCACATATGGGAGAAAAACACTAAATCAAGATGATTATTTTCACTATTTTGCTTAAGATTCATATTTAAATATAAATCAAGAAGTTAATCTACAGTTTGAGACATACTTTTTACATTAGAAATGTTTTTTAAAATGTTAAACTGATACATAATTGTAAATATGGTGTATGTACTGTTTCACACACAATGTGTGTCGATCAAATCAGTGTAATTAGCATGCCCATCAACTCAAACATTTATCATTTATTTGTAGCAAGAACATTCAATACATTAACTGTACTCACCCTACTGTGCAATAGGGCATCTGAACATATTCCTCCTAATTTAACTTTGTACCCATTAAAAGTGGTTTTGTGTGCAAATAACAGACAGATGTTCTACCCATACATTGTTTTCCAAAATTATTGTGTGGCTTTTTAAAAGAAAACCACACAACAAATTTTAAAAGGCACTGAGATAACATCTGCTTCTAGATCACTGCTAGGCTCGAAAAATAAAGCTTGTTCTACCAGGAATCACAAGTTAGAACTGAGTATTTGCCAAAGCAGAAATTATATAGTGTCAGTCATTTCAGGCAAACACTATTTGGCCCTCATCCCCAATTATCTGTCAGAACAATTAAAACAGGTCAAAAACAGTCCAGCATAACTGGGCTTCATTATATAAGGCCATTTTGTTCTAAGATGCTAATAAACCAAAATAAGAAATACTAAAATCAAAATAGAAGATATTATTTGAGCTATTTTCATACAAACTGTTGGTTCCTTATATCCTCCCTTCTATAACAATAAAAGGCATATTTTACTGCAAAGAAAATTTTACTTTATATATATCACTAGCCATAAATTTTTGAATGTCATTAATTACAGAAATGTTGCCTAGTACCATTAACCAAATAGCATAACCATTTTATGCCCACATTTCACTTCCATATTTACAAACATATCTATCAGTAAAGAGTTAACAATGAGATGCAATCTAACATCCATATTGTCTGATGTTTTGTAGACAGCAATGTAGATGATTTTTTAATCACCTTTCATTTGAGTGACCTTATATAAAAAATAAGTCAATAATTTAGAGGTTCTAAGTCTCCAAAGGAGATTTTCAAATGTAAATATAGAAACGGTTATAGACAATGAGATTTTTAGGAAACCTCTTCCGTGTCTGCATCCTGTTATAACTGTTGTATCACCTTTTCTTCCAGCTGCTTTCCTTTGCCTGCAAGAGGTGTCAAGATGAGTTTTGCCTGACTTCTTTGATGTCCTGAACTTTCTGTAGTCCTTTTTTTTCTTCAATTTGTTCATTATAAATTTAGCTTAGCATTTGTTTGATCTTTTCAACTGTCTTCATTGCATCAGTAGTTTTATTCCATAGTTCTTGCCGGTATTTGACAGGCTCATTTCTGTATTTTTCAAATTCAAATGAATTACCCACTGTAAGCTCATTATTACCAGTTGCTTTACAAAATGCTTTAGTCCACCTAATCTTTCCAGAATTGCGCTTCTTTTAAAGTTTTTATGCCATTTGTATTTACACAATCTGAACACCTTGCAATAGCTGCAGATGAACATCATGATGTGGTCAGGGTAGATGGGCCCCAAAGAAACTAACACTTCTTAGTACACATGCTGAGCTCGCATGGGCCTCCACTGACCACACATGGAGCTTGAGAGGAAGTCAAGAGCTATCTTGGAATTCCACATTCTGACCCTGTCATTCTTGAAAGAAAATGATGCATAATTTCTGAATAATTCAGAAAGAACATATAATCTTTCCAGTTAGTTTTTAAATAGTTCTGTTTATCAAATTTCTGAATTAACTTTTCTGAATTCAAGGGTTTCTAAAACTAGCCTTAAGCAAAATTCTGAAACCTAGGCTGGGAACCATGTAACCCAGCCCAAGAAGGTACTTTAAAGCGTCTTCGAGTTGTTTTTCAACCTAGGGGAAACAATAGATTCCGTTAAATCCTGAAAAGGATGTTTTTGTGTGTGAAAAATGGCCTGATACACTAGGTTAGACTCAGGAGGCTTTAACAAGTTTTGTCTTATGGGTAAATGGTGGCGATTTTCACAGATAACATCATTACTCCCATCCCTTACTATGGTTTATACAAAAGAGGCTGGAGAATAAGTACATTTTTACAGCCAGGTGTGGTGGCTCGTGCCTGTAATCCTACTTAGCACTTCGGGAGGCTGAGACAGGAGGATCTCTTGAGCCCAGGAGTTCGAGACCAGCCTGGGCAACATAGGGACACCCTGTCAGAGACTTTTACACAAAGCGAGGTGCCTGATACCTGATCACGCTGCCAGAGCTGGCTCTGTTCAGTTTCCTGCCAGCCTCAGTGGGGGAACAAGACACTGGACTAGTAACTGCAGTTGGTCACGTCCTCACCCTCAGCACTCATTCACCAGACTCTGGACAATCTGTTTATTTTGAGGAAAAGACTCTGAACAAACAAGAAGAGGCTTTTTCAAAGGAGGAAAGCCAGGGTGTTAAATATCCTCCTTCATACGCTCAGCTTCCTTCCTTAAGGAAAGGCCCCAGTGGGAAACCGGAGGTGGGATCTGTCCAAGCAGGAAGGAGAGCCAGGAACCCACAGCAGTAGCCTGACCTGATGCCACAGCTAGACCTCAGCCTAACTCTGGCCTCCTGTTCTACATCCTCCTGCTTTGCCTACCCACTGACCACCTGTTCCTGGGGGCTCCTCCTGCAGGCCTGCCTCACTTGCCCTTCAGAGCCCACACTGGGAGCCCAGACTCACCCTGCCCTTATCAACAACATGACCTCTCACAAGGCACTTGGCCTTTCGGAGCCTTGGTTTTCTCATCCATAAAACAACCTTGCCTATCTTGCCGGGTTGCCAGAGGAAGAGACTGCCAGAGGATGAGACGGTCATAATGTCCCATTCTGTGTCCCTGCACCACTTATTCTCTACTTCTCGGTCTACTTGGCCTACTCCTCCTTGCCAGCCTGTGCCTCACACAGCCTATGTCTCACATTTATCAGTCCTCTGCTCTCCTCTGTTAGAGCTTCTGCACCTAAACCTTCACTCATCCCACTCATGCTCCAGACCCAACTGCCTCTTGGCTCTCTCTGCTTGCCTCTCCCATGAGTATCTCAAACTTGATTTATTAAAAACTGAACTCATCATCTTCCTCTCCAAACTTGATCCTTATCTGGTGTTCTCCATCCCAGCAGTATCTTTAGCATCCATCCACCCAGCTGCTCAAATAAGAAACCTTGACTCTACCCCAACATTCATGGATAGCAGCAGCAGTGGCAGGAGCAGCAGCAGCCATTTTCTACCAGGTGGCCTGGGAAATAGAGAAAGCTGGACTGAAGCGAGACAAAATGAAGCAAACACATGCCACAAAGCATGACAGAGAGTGGGAGGGAAAAGACTACCTAAGTTCCTAAAGAGCTTCACACTCTGGTTCTGTTCTTCAGCTGCTGCCTTACTCTTGGATTCTATGAGACTCCAGTACCTTTTCCAATAACCCCCACCCTTGTTCTTTTTTTTGGCTTATGTTAGAATTGGGTTTCTACACTTACAAATATAAGAGTTCTGATTAATATAAACAATTACATTAGTTATAGCAGGCTAGGTTGTGCTGTGACATGTAAGTGGCTGAACTCCAATGCATGTCCATCGTCAGCAGGGGGCTCTGATCATTGCAGTCCCTCAGGAAGCAGCCACCATCTTCAGTGTTGTTGGTCACTGTTCCAGAGGGAAACTCTGAAGGGCCTGGCACCAGCTAGTCAATGCTCCAGCTCAGAAGTGACATGCCACCTCCATTCATAAATTAACCAAAAGAAGTTAACCTTGCTCCTACTCACCCATGTTGGGGCCACAAAGCACAATCCTGCCATGTGTCCAGAAAGCAGAGAGCCAGAAATATTTGGTGAAGATTAAAAACTATCATATATTTTCTGCTGCCTATTCTGTGCCAGGCCCTGAGCCAGGGGCCAGGGACACAGGAATGAGTAAGTCATGGCCCTTCCTTAAAGGGCTCCCCATGACTACGATATAAAACCAATACTGTGATGGGTCCACTGAGACTCTGCTGTGTCTCAGAACAAGGAAATGTCTAGATTAGGGGTCACCAACTCGAATGCCTACAGGGGCCAGGAAGCTAATGTCAACAAGTGGAGGAAGAGAGGGGAGGTGCTGCAGGTAACTGGAAAATGCAATTTTAAAAACATACCTGCTTCTGGCTGGGCATGGTGGCTCATGCCTGTTAATTCCAGCACTTTGGGAGGCCGAGGCGGGTGGATCACCTGAGGCCAGGAGTTCAAGACCAGCCTGGCCAACATGGTGAAACTCTGTCTCTACTAAAAATACAAAAATTAGCTGGGCATGGTGGTGGATGCCTGTAATCCCAGCTACTTGAGAGGCTGAGGCAGGAGAATTGCTTGAACCCAGGGCGATAGAGTGAGACTCCGACACACACACACACACAAAACAACAACAAAACCGTACCTGCTTCCAATCATCAGGCAGATGGCCCAATGTTTCCAGATCTCTCTAATTTTCATGAGAAGCCAGAAAACCAAATTTTTACATGACAATTTCCCATTTTTTAAATGTTGGCAATTACTAAACTTAACCAGATACATACACACATACATAAAATCCTGTAAGCCTAAGAGAACACATCTGCAGGCCAGCACCATGAGGGCCAGTTTGTATCCCCCAAGTCCAGCACAGGAAGCAACAGTTTCCTGTACTCTGTGCTGGTCTGTCCACACCAAGACTGCTGTGCTCAGCTGTGAGCGCTGCACCTAATGGGACACACATGAGCCGGGGCTGGTCCACAGACAGATGGGCAGGATGGGAGGAGACTTTAAATAGTTCAATTCCCCTTAATCGATATTTTCAAATAGCGTTGTGTATGTCAAGCCCAGTGCTACATGCTGGAGATGCAGAAGGAAACAAGGCAGAAGCAGCTCTACTCTTGCGGAGCCTATTGCCTTGAGGGGAACTCAAAGGATCTGGGGATAATTTCCCTGGAGAAGGCTCATGGAGGACAGACGGTAATAATAATGATAAGATTTACTGAGCTTTTACTCTGGGCCAACATTACCCTCAATGCTTTACCTATAATTATGTCATCTAATTCTTACCACTATCCTTGTTTCATGTAATGAAACTGAGGTTCAGGAAGGTCAAGCAAATCAGCCACTACAATTGTGTACAGATTCTCTATGGTCCAGAAGAATGGAACAGGCTGTCAAATGAGAGCACGTACTTAAGAGGCTAACACAGTATGACCGTATGTGGCAATAAATGAGTGCTGAGTACATGTCTATTTCTTTTCCAGTCTCTGGAAGCATTCAAGAACAAGTTGTATGGTCATTTGTTAGGGTTGCTAGAGAGGGAGGCTGAGTATCAGATAGGTAGAAACACTGTGCACAGCCTTCCATCTATGAGAATCTAACTCCACTTTTCCTGGAATAATTATTTTCCTTTTTGGCAATAATAACAAAGTAATTATCAATGACTCCTCACTTCCACACCCCTACAACAGCAGCAGTAGCCCTGTGGATGGGAGACTAAGGCCCAGGAAGAATATGGACCAAATTACAGGTGATAAACCATCAATCAAGTAATACTGATGGAATGTCCATGACACGTAAACCATATTGTTCCAAGCTCTAAATCAGTGTGCACAGCAGGAAAAGAGCATGAGAAAGGGGCTTATACCTAAGACTCAGTACTGGCTTTGGCATTAATTTACTTTGACTTTGAGAAGGTTTTTCCTAAGCCTTGCTTTCATCTCTTTACAATGAGGGGGTAGGAATATACCTCTAAAGTCCTTTTCAGCTTGAATAATTGATATAAATTATTTGCATTAAAAAAAATCAGACCTCAGATGTAGGAGGATTCACCTTTCTTCCTAGAAGCCAGTGAGACCACAGAACCCTGGGAACTCAAAAGGACTTTAGATGTGAGAATGGTCAGTCCTCATGGGACCAATGAGCACTTTTAAAATGTAGCTAGTCCAAAATGAGGTGTGCTATAAGTGTAAAATACACACTATATTTTGAAGACTCAGCATGAGAAAAAGAATATGAAATATCTCAAGAAAACATTTATATTGCTTTATATTGATATTTTTATATATTGGGTTAATTAAAATATTAAAATTAACATCATAGACCAGGCATGGTGGCTCACACCTGTAATTCCAGCACTTTGTGAGGCTGAGGCAGAAGGATCCCTTGAGCCCAGGAGTCTGAGACCAGCTTGGGCAACATAGCAAAGCCTCATTTCTTAAAAAAAATAAAAATAAAATAAAATAAAAATAACATCACCCATTTCTTTTACCTTTTTAACATGGATCCTAGAAAATGTCAAATTACAATGTGGCTTGCATTGTATTTCTATTGAACAGCACTGGTTTAAGGAGAAACTGAAGACCAGAGAGTAAATGACTTTTCCACAGAGCCAGAACTGGAACCAGGGTCCCCTGACTTCTCATTCGAGGCTCTTTCCACTCTTAATAGGCTGTGGTGGCCATTCTTCAAGATGGCCCCTAATAATCCTCACCTTCTGTTGCCCTAGTGCAGTCCCTTCCACACTGAACAGGGCTCATCTGTTAGAAGACTACAGAAATGCCTGTGTGACTTCTGAGGCTGGGTCATAAAAAACATTGTGGCTTCCAGCTTGTCTCTCTTTGGCATGACTTGCTCTAGGGGAAGCCAGTTGCCCTGTCATGAGAACAATTAAGCAACCCTATAGGGAGGTCCACACGGTAAGGAACTGAGGCCTCTTGTCAGCAACCATAACCAACCACGCAAGTGAATGCACCATATGGAGCGCTGATCCTCCAGCCCAGCCAAGCCTTTGAATAAGTGCAGTTCCAGCTGACATCTTAACTGCAAGTTCGTGTGAGACCCTAACCTAGAAACACCCAGCTAAGCTTCCCCCAAATTCCTGACCCACAAACGAGATAATTAATGTTTACTGTTAAGTCACTAAGTTTTGATGATTTGTTACACAGCAACAGATAATACGCAGCCTTACAAATTTAGAGGTCTCATATAAGAAAAACTCACTTCTATCTTTGGCATTTGTACAGTGTGAGAAATTATTCTTATCCTTCCTCCAGTCTTTGGCCTAGCTCAGGGTAACCCAACTAAAAACTGCTAAATTATCAAACTTGGGGAATCAAACCCAGGAAGGTAAGATCCCATTTTATTCTTAGAAGGTTCTTCCCTTTTCCCTTTATTGCAGAAAGAACCCAGGTCTCTTGAGAATGAAAAAGCACTACATCACATCACCTTCACCTGGGCCATTCAGAGATTTGATTCCCACAAAATCAAAGGAACTAGAGCCCAGAATTGCTCAGTTAGACACAGTATTGAGGAAGCAACAATTGAGAAATGACAATCTATGACATCAACAATCGAGAAATAACAATCTATGACATCTGAATTTCTCTGAGACACTGCTGTCAATAGCAGTGCTAATGTTTTATATAGCATGTGTTGCTTTTCACAGTATTGTCACATCTAGTATCTCTGAGGTAGGTGGGGAAGATATAAATAAAACAGGATACATATGAAAATAGTGGCTCAGAGCTCATGGTATGTCCTTAGTTTCATGATCAGTGAATGACAGGCCAGGTCTAAAATCTGGGTTTCAGTAGGTGACTCAAGTCAGACTTCATGCTTCCCAAGGCAGGAGCATCCTGGCTGTTATGAGTACTCTTCAGTTGGGGCTGTCCTCTGAGATCAGTGTGCACTTGTAGATCTCCTTAAAGGCCACAAGGAAAGGTGGCATTACTTCTTCCACGGTGACGTGCCTCTGGAGCTCCTTACTCAAGGAAGTGACGCCTGTCCCAACCAGTCCACAGGGCACGATGTGCTCAAACCACGTGAGGTCGGTAGAGCAGTTGAGAGCCAGGCCGTGGGATGTGATGTGCCTTCCACAGCGGACTCCTGCAAGGCAAGCCAAAGGGTCTTAGAGTAGATACCCTCCACTCTCCGGGCTTTGGTGTCCCTCTCAGGGCGATGAGAAAACTGGATTAGATCACCGGTTTTCAAATTTTGTTTCTGGAGAAACAAGGGATTGTACTCAGATGGGAAAAGGAAACAAATGAAAGGAAGGGGTGCGTGGCTTCAAGCAGCTGCACTCATCATGAGGATTCCAGGAAATGTCTTTTAACAGATTCCAATACTTAAAAAAAAAAAAGCTTGGGGACAGGCGCAGTGGCTCACGCCTGTAATCCCAGCATTTTGGGAGGCCGAGGCGGGCGGATCACGAGGTCAGGAGATCGTGACCATCCTGGCTAACACGGTGAAACCCCATCTCTACTAAAAATACAAAAAATTAGCCGGGCTGGTGGTGGGCGCCTGTAGCCCCAGCTACTCTGGAGGCTGAGGCAGGAGAATGGCGTGAACCCGGGAGGCGGAGCTTGCAGTGGGCCGAGATTGCGCCACTGCACTCCAGCCTGGGTGACAAAGCGAGACTCTGTCTCAAAAAAAAAAAAAAAAAAAAGTTTGAAAATTAGCACCCTTATTTGCCATGACATTGTCATTCGCAGGACGTAACCTGGCAATTCACTTCTCTTGTCTCTCCCTTAACAGAAATGCGTGTTGGACTAGATGTGAGGAGCCTTCTGCTTCTGAATATACGATATCTGAAAAGGGGCTTAAAAACTCAAACGCAGCGGGTAGCTGTGATTCAAAACCCGCGCTAGATACGCCTCCTCCCGGCCCTCACCTCCGTTGGTCCAGCCCCGTCAGACCCCGCCCCCAGGCCTCAAGCTCCGACCTCGGCTCTCAGGTACCGCCCTGCTCCGCGGCGCTCACCGATCGCGCAGATCTTGCGATCGTCTAGCCAGACGCCAGTGTAGGGCGGGGGCCGCGCGCGGGCGTCCTGCAGGCCCTGGAGCTCGCACAGGCGCACGGCGCACGCCTCCAGCGACGCTACGTGCATGCGCAAGCGCAGGCCGAGACGCCGCAGGTCGAGTACCGGGTGGCAAAGCAGCTGGCCCGGGCCGTGGAAGGTGGCCAGGCCACCGCGGCCTGTGACGCGCACCTCGGCGCCCAAGGCCCGTAGCCGCGCAGTTTCCTCGGGCGTCAGGCCGCCGCGCAGCCCGGCCGTATACACGGGCCCCGCGGGCTCGCAGAGCAGGAGCGCGCCCGCCTCAGTCCCCGACGGGGCCTCAATGCCTGGCTCGGCCTGCAGCCGCCGCAGCCAGCGGTCCTGCAGCCCCAGTAGCTCGGCGTACGGCACCCGACCCAGGCGCACCAACCGAACGGCGGGTTGCCGCATCGTGCCCACCGTTGCGTCCGCGGGGCCCCGCCCTCTCCGTGGGCCTGGGGGCGTGGCCTGAGGGGCGGGGACTCGGGGGCACACCCCGAGCCGCAGCTCCCAGGTGCGTGTTAAAAGCTGGAGGGGGGATATGTGATCCCAGGACCAAAAGCGCGGGGCCAGACTCATCGGTTCATTCAACAACCAGTATTTAGTGCCTGCTGTGTTCTGCAGGCCCTGCCATAGGCGCTTGATACAGCGGTGCATAGCGTATGAGAAAGATCTGTCCTGGTAAGCTTACATTCTTACAGCAGACGATAAGTATTTTAAGTGTTAAGTAAATAAGGTTATTTCACGTATAAGGTGTTAAATGCTATGAAAAGAAAAATAAAACAGGGTAACGTGGTGTGTCCTGTGTTGAGCCCCTGGGGGACGCAAGAGGGAGATTAGCTTGCCTACAAGGTTATTGGTGGAGGTAGGGAGAACTTAAAGATCAGCACCTGTAAGAAAGTGAAGGAAGCAGGAATTTGTAGGCAGAGGAAGAAGTTGGCCTGCAAAACAGTTGCAGCAGAGGCCTTGACCAATCCCAAGGCATGCTTGGAGCCTAGGATGACCCTTCAGAGTAGTTCCACATTAAAGCAAGGGGGCCAGAAACTCTTATCCTTGCATTGACCAGTCATGGATACAGGCTACACCTGGGGAGGAGCTGTGATTTTTTTTTTTTTTTTTTTTTTGGCAAGACTGCTTCCCTCGGTGGAGGGCGGCCCCCAGAGAAGGACTCAGTTGTGTATCATCAGTAACCAACTCCAGAAGCTGAGGGAATGACTGTCTAGGCCCTGAGGGGGTGTCTGGACCACAACATCAGCTATGTTGCAGTTAGAGTATCATTTAAACAAGTCTGAATTCAATGAATTTTTACTGAGGACTTTTCAGACACCATAGGTGTCTGAAAAACATTTCATAAACATAGACATAAAGATCCTAAGCAAATATTAGCAAATCAAATCCAGCAATTTATAAAAGGATTAATACATCATGATGAAGTAGGGTTTATCCCGGGAATGCAAGGTTGGTTTTGCATTCTGAAATCAAACAATGTAATTTACCTTAAAAGAGAAAAGCCTTCATTGGAAGAAATAATAAAAATTTTTTTTAAAGAAAAGCTATGATTATGTTAAAAAATACAGATAAATCTATTGGCAAAAATAAACACCTCTTCTGACCAAAATACTTAGCAATCTAGGAATAGAAGAGAAATTTTCCAGTCTGATGAAGGGTTCAAATTATCAATCAGGGTTTGGACAAGAGAAATCACATATGTACTATTTTAATTAAATGTTTTATTTGAGAAAATTGGACACTCATATGCAGTTGTAAGGAATAATATGGACAGATTATATGTACCCTTTACCCAGCTTCCCCCAATGGAAACACCTTGCAAAACTGTAGTACAATATCACAACCAGGATACTGACATTGATAAAGTCAAGATGCAGAACATTTTCATCACCACAAGGATCCCTCATGTTGCTCTTTGTAGTTACACTGCTTCTTAATTCCTGGCAAACGTCTGTGTTGTATAGATGGAATCATACAGAGTGCAACCTTTTAGAATTTTTTTTTCACTCAGCATAATTATCTGGAGACTCATCCAAGTTGTTGCATGTATCAATAGCGCGTTTCTTTTTATTGATGAGTAGTAGTCCATAGTATGAATGTACCACAGTTTGTTTAGCCATTCACTCACTGAAGAACACCTGGGTTGTTTCCAGTTTTCAGATATTCTGAGTAAAGGTACTGTAAACATTTGTGTACAGGTTTTTGTGTGAACTAAGTTTTCATCTCTCCGGAATAAATGCCCAGGAGTGCAGTTGCTGGGTTGCATGGTAGTTACATGTTTCGTTTTTTAAGAAACTGCCAAAATGCTTTCCAGAGCGGCTGTACCATTTTACATACCCACCACCAGTGTATGAATGATCAAGTTTGTCTGCATCCTCATGAGCATTAGCTTTTATTTTAGCCATTCTAATAGGTGTGTGGTGGTGTCTTATTGTGATTTTAATTTGTATTTCCCTATTGACTAATGATGTAAGACATCTTTTCATGTGCTTATCTTCCATGTGTATATTCCCTTCAGTGAAATGTCTGTTCATGTCTTTTGCCCATTTTCTAATTAATTGTTTTTCGTACTGTTGAGTTTTGAGATATCTTTATATATTCTAGATATTAGCCCTTTGTCAAATATGTGCTTTGTAAACAGTTTCTCACAGTGTATGGCTTGTATTTTCATCCTCTTAACCGTATCTTTTGCAGAGCAAAAGTTTGTCATTGTGATAAGGTCCAATTTATCCACTTTTCCTTTTATTGATGCTTTTGGTTTAATAACTCTTTGCCCAGCCCTAGATCCTGAAGACATTCTACTGCCTATTTTTTTAAAGATTTTTTATTTTACATTTAAGTCTATGATACATTTTGAGTTAATTTTTTATTTATTATTATTATACTTTAAGTTTTAGGGTACATGTGCACAATGTGCAGGTTAGTTACATATGTATACATGTGCCATGCTGGTGTGCTGCACCCATTAACTCGTCATTTAGCATTAGGTATATCTCCTAATGCTATCCCTCCCCCCCCCCACAAAATTGACAAATGGGATCTAGTTAAACTAAAGAGCTTCTGCACAGCAAAAGAAACTACCATCAGAGTGAACAGGCAACCTACAAAATGGGAGTTAATTTTTAAAATAGGTGTAAAACTTTGGTTGTTGTTGCGGTTGTTCTTTTTTGTTTGTTTGCATATACATGTTACATTACGCCAACACCATTTGTTCAAAAGGCTATGTTTCCTCCATTGAATTGCTTTTATGCCTTTGTCAAAACCAGTTGGACATATTCGTGTGATCCTATTTCCAGTTTCTGTATTCTGTTCCATTGATCTATGTGTTTATTCCTCTACCAATACAGGCTGAGCATCCGTAATATAAAAATCTGAAATCTGAAATGCTCCAAAATCCTAAACTTTTTGAGTGCTGACATTATGCCACAAATGGAAAATTTCATACCTGACCTTATGTGAGTTGCAGTCAAAACACAGGTGCACAACACCCAGTTCATGCAACATCCCCAGTGGGAAAAAAGACCCCCCCAGCTCTCTTCTGCTGCAGTTTTTCTGCTCACACCTGGATTTCCCCATGCATTCCCACAAAAAGTAATTAAATGGCATGCGTGCAGGCTGGACACGCCAACAACAGGTTTCCCACAATGCCCCACATGGGGCCAAGACCTGTGTGCATTACTCACTGCATTTTTTTGCTTATTCTCTGCTGTGTGGTATAAATATATTGTTGAAAATGTCAAAAAGACCTAAAGATACCCCTGTGAATATCAGTGATAAGAAAAAGAGGAAGCATTTATGTTTATCTATAGCACAGAAAGTCAAGTTGTTGGAGAAACTGGACAGTGGTGTAAGTGTGAAACATCTTACGGAAGAGTATGGTGTTGGAATGACCACCATATATGACCTGAAGAAACAGAAGGATAAACTGTTGAAGTTTTATGCTGAAAGTGATGAGCAGATATTAATGAAAAATAGAAAAACACTTCATAAAGCTAAAAATGAAGATCTTGATCGTGTATTGAAAGAGTGGATCCGTCAGCGTCGCAGTGAACACATGCCACTTAATGGTATGCTGATCATGAAACAAGCAAAGATATATCACAATGAACTAAAAATTGAGGGGAACTGTGAATATTCAACAGGCTGGTTGCAGAAATTTAAGAAAAGACATGGCATTAAATTTTTAAAGACTTGTGGCAATAAAGCATCTGCTGGTCATGAAGCAACAGAGAAGTTTACTGGCAAGTTCAGTAATGATGATGAACAAGATGGTAACTTTGAAGGATTCAGTATGTCAAGTGAGAAAAAAATAATGTCTGACCTCCTTACATATACAAAAAATATACATCCAGAGACTGTCAGTAAGCTGGAAGAAGAGGATATCAAAGATGTTTTTAACAGTAATAATGAGGCTCCAGTTGTTCATTCATTGTCCAATGGTGAAGTAACAAAAATGGTTCTGAATCAAGATGATCATGATGATAATGATAATGAAGATGATGTTAACACTGCAGAAAAAGTGCCTATAGACGACATGGTAAAAATGTGTGATGGGCTTATTAAAGGACTAGAGCAGCATGCATTCATAACAGAGCAAGAAATCATGTCAGTTTATAAAATCAAAGAGAGACTTCTAAGACAAAAAGCATCATTAATGAGGCAGATGACTCTGAAAGAAACATTTAAAAAAGCCATCCAGAGGAATGCTTCTTCCTCTCTACAGGACCCACTTCTTGGTCCCTCAACTGCTTCTGATGCTTCTTCTCACCTAAAAATAAAATAAAATACAGTGTACAGTAACCTTTTAGTCAAAACAGCATCATACTTGGAAACTGAAAGCCTACTGTTATTTGTTATTGTTGCTTAACAGCTGATACAGGTATTCTGGTGACACTACTGTGCTGGCTTACTTAACCTGAATACACTATTTTTTTCGTTGTATTACTGGTATGTCATTTTTTTTACTGTTAAGTACTTATGTGTGAATAAGTGTAAAAAAATGATTGCTTATCGGTAACATATAAATTCAGAATCAGGAATGATGGTGATGCCAAACAATCACAGATCGTCCACATGGGTGGCGGAGATGTTAACACCTTTGCTTTCTGATGGTTCAGTGTATCCACACTTTGTTTCATGCCAAAATTATTTAAAATATTGTATGAAATTACCTTCAGGCTATGTGTATAAAGTATATATGAAACATAAATGAACTTTATGTTTAAACTGGGATCTTATCCTCAAGCTATCTCATTGTGTATGTGTAAATATTTCAAACTAAAAAAAAAAAAAATCTGAAACACTTCTGGTCCCAAGCATTTCAGACAAGGGATATTCAACCTGCCCTGCAGTCTTGATTACTATAACTGTATAATAAATCTTGAAATCAGGTAGCCTGATCCCACTTTATTTTTTTCTCAAAATGGTTTTAGTTATTCTAGTTCCTTTGCCTTTCCACACAAATTTTAGAATGATATGTATGTCTAAAAAATACTGTTGGGGCTGGGCGTGGTGGCTCATGCTTGTAATCCCAGCACTTTGGGAGGCTGAGGCAGGTGAATCACAAGGTCAGGAGATCGACACCATCCTGGCTAACACAGTGGAACCCCGTCTCTACTAAAAATACAAAAACAAAATTAGGTGGGCGCCTGTAGTCCCAGCTATTTTGGAGGCTGAGGCGGGAGAATGGCATGAACCCGGGAGGTGGAGCTTGCAGTGAGCCAAGATTGCGCCACTGCACTCCAGCCTGGGTGACAGAGCGAGACCCCATCTCAAAAAAAAAAGTACTGTTGGTAGATCTGGATTGGTGGCTACAAAAAAAATCTTGTTGGGATTTTTATAGGAATTGCATTAAACTTTTATATCAACTTGGGGAGAATTGACATATTTGCTACATTGGGTCTTCCAGTCCATGAACACAATATCTCTCACCATTTATCTAGATCTTCTTTGACTTGTTTCATCAGCACTTTGTAGCTTTCAGCACACACATCATGTGTGTGTTTTGTTAGATTTATACCTAAGTATTTCACTGTTTTTTGAGTGATTGTAAATGGTATTTAAAATTTCTGTGTCTGCTACAAGTATATAGAAATGCAGTTGATTTTTTGTGTATTTATCTTGGGTCCTACTTTTTGCTAAACTCACTCATTAGTCCTATGAGTTTTTTGTAGATTCTTTAGGATTTTCTATGGAGACCATCATGTCATCTGCAAATTGGGACAGTTCTATTTTCTTCCTTTCTGATGTGTATGCCTGTAATCCCCCCCCCTTTTTTTTTTTTGCCTTAGAGCACTGACTAAAACTTTAGTACTATGTTGAATAAGAGTGGTAATAGCAGACATCCTTGCCTTGTTTCCAGTCTTGGAGGGAAAACATTCAGTCTTTCACCATTAAATATAATGTTAGCTATAGGTTTTTGGTAGATGCTTTTTATCAAGCTGAGGAAGTTCTCCCTTTACTACCATTTTTTTCAGAGTTTTTATCATGAATGGTGTTGAAATTTGAGAAAACTTTTTTTGTACTGATTGATAGAATCATGGTTTTTCTTTAGCCCATTAATGTGTACATTACATTGACTGATTTTTGAATGATGACTAGCTTTGCATAGCTGGAATAAATCCCAGCTGTATAAATCTTTTACTACTTTGTTGCATTTGATTTGCAAATATTTTGTTAAGGATTTTTTGCATCTAAGTTTATGAGGGATATTGCCTGTAGTTTTCTTTCTTTTGTACTTCTTTGCCTGATTTGAGTAGAAGGGAAATACTAGTTTCATTAGATGAATTTTTAAATCTTCAACTTTTAAGTTCAGGGGTACGTGTGCAAGATGTGCAGGTTTGTTACATGGGTAAAATTGTGCCATGGTGGTTTGCTGCACAGATCATTCCATAACCTGGGTATTAAGCCCAGCATCCATTAGCTGTTCTTCCTGATGCTCTCCGTCTCCCCACTCCACCCCTGATAGGCCCTGGTGTGTGTTGTTCCCCCACCCCATGTGTCCATGTGTTCTCATCATTCAGCTCCCTCTTGTAAGTGAGAACATGTGGTGTATGGTTTTCTGTTTCTGCGTTAGTTTGCTGAGGATAATGGCTTCCAGCTCCATCCATGTCCCTGCAAAGGACATGATCTGGTTCCTTTTTATTGCTGCATAGTATTCCATAATGTATATGTACCGCATTTTCTTTATCCAGTCTATCATTGATGGGCATTTGGATTGATTCCACGTCTTTGCTATTGTGAATAGTGCAAATGAACATACATGTGCATGTATCTTTATAATATAATAATTCATATTCCTTTGGGTACATACCCAGTAATGGGATTGCTGGGTCAAATGGTATTTCTGCCTCTAGGTCTTTGAAGAATCACCATACTGTCTTCTACAGTGGTTGACCTAATTAACATTCCCACCAACAGTATAAAAGTGTTCCTTTTTCTCTGCAACCTCGCCAGCATCTGTTATTTTTTGACCTTTTAATAATCACCATTCTGACTGGCATGAGATGGTGTCTCATTGTGGTTTTGATTTACATTTCTCTGATGATTAGTGATGTTGAGCTTCCCCCACCCCCCATTTATTTATTTATTTAAGAGACAGGTTCTCACTATGTTGCCCAGGCTGGTCTTAAACACCTGGCCTCAAGCTATGGGCACTTTAAAAGAACGTGTATTCTGCTGTTCTTGGATGCAGTGTTCTATAAATGTTAATTAGAATCAGTGGTTAATGATGTTGGTGAGTTGCTCTATATCCTTGCTGATTTTCTGTCTCATTGTTCTACTGGTTGTTGAGAGAGGGGTGTTGAAGTCTCCAACTGTTGTGGATTTATGTATTTCACCTTTGGATTCTATAAGTTTTTGCTTCACATATGCGTCTCTGTTGTTTGATACATACACATTTATGATTGCTATGTCTTCCTGGTGAATTGACCCTTTTATTATTATATAGTGTCCTTCTCCATCTCTAATAATTTTCTTTCCCCTCAAGCTTACTTAATCTGATAATATTGTAGTCACTCTGCTTTCCCTTGGTTAGTTTTGCATGATATATCCCTTTTTACCCTCTTACTTTCAACCTGCCTTTGTTGTTATACAGTCACATACCAGATAATGATGTTTTGGTCAACAACAGACCACATGTATGATGGTGGTCCAATAAGATTATAATGGAGCTGAAAAATTTATGTTGCCTAGTGACAACCTGATGATTCTGATGCTGTGTAGGCCTAAGCTACTATGTGTATGTCTTAGTTTTAACTAAAAAATTTTAAAAATTTTTAAAAAATAAAAAATTTAAAAATAGAAAAAAGCTTATAGAATAAGGATATAAAGAAAGAAAATATTTTTATACAAGTATACAGTGTGTGCTTTAGGCCATTATAAAAGAGTCAAAAAGTTTAAATATTTAAATGTTTATAAAATAAAAATGTTACAGTAAGTTAAGGTTAACTTGTTTTTGAAGAAAGAAATATTTTAAAGGTAGTGTAACCTAAGTGTGCAATGTTCACACCTACAGTAGTGTGCAACAATGTTTTAGGCCTTCACATTCACTCACTGTTCACACACAGACTCATCCACGACAACTTCCAGCCATGTTAAGTGCCCTATATACCACATTTTTACTCTCCCTTTACTATGTTTTGATATGTTTAGATACACAGATACTTACCATTGTTTTACAGTTTTGATGGTAGTGTAAAATGTTTACATTGTTTTGATGGTAGTGTAAAATGGCACAAACACTTTCAGAAATGATCTGGCATTTCTTATAAAACTAAATATACACTGACCCTATAATTTAGTTTTAATCCTAGGAATTTACTCACAGTAAATGAAAACACTTATACCACAAAAACGTTTGTATGACAATGTTCACTGCAAATTTATTACTAATACCCTAAACTGGAAACTGCTGAAGTATCAATAAAATAATGGATATACAGTGGTATTTTCATGAAATGGAATATTACTTAGCAATTAAAATGGACAAATTATGAGTTTCATAGTGTGTGGCTCACAACAGTCTCAAGTACTATGACTAAGCTAAGCACTTCATGAATTTTATCTTACTGAATCCTTCTAGCCTTATGAGATAATCGCTATTATTATTGACAAGTGCTTTGTGTTTATTTTCTTAACTTTTACTACCTTCTGAGGTAGCATCCTCACACACACTGGTGTACAGAAATACAATTTAATTCTGATGCTGACCACCCAGTGTTGGCATTGGACTCCACAGGTTTAATGGCACAATCCCCAGTAAAACTATTTTCACTTCAGATGCCAGCTGCATTTTGGGGGGTCCCTAAGCCACCTGTGCTTTTGACCCACTGGCTGTAAATTCAAAGTTTCACATGACCCCCTAAGGTACAATAATTTTCTAGAATGACTCACAGAACTCAGGAAAGCACTAATGATACAAATCAGGACCAGCTAAATGAAGATCCACATGGGTGGAGTCTGGGAGGGTTCTGAATGGAGAGCATTCATGACCTCTCCCCATGGCATTACCCTCCTAGCACATTGATGTGTTCACCACCTGGGAAGCTCTACTGAGCTTTGGTGTTCAGAGTTTTTATTGGGGTCTCATTACATAGGCATGATTGGATCATTGGTCACATGACTGGACTCAATCTTCAGTCCTCCTCCTCTCCTAGGAGATTGACCCAACCCTCTAATTACATTGTTGGTCTTTCTGGTGACCATCCTCACCCTGTGTCATCTCATCAGTTAGCATAAACTCAGGTGTAATCTAAGGAGCTCATAAATAACAAAGACACTCCTGCTACTTAGGAAGTTCTAAGGGTTTAAAGTCTCTTTACCAGAAACCAGGGACAAAGGCCAGTCAAGTTATTTATTACACAATAGGTAGGCACTATTATTATTATTTTATTTAATAGAGACAGGGGGCTGGGCACAGTGGCTCACATCTGTAATCCCAGCACTTTGGGAGGCCAAGGTGGGTGGGGATCACTTGAGGTCAGGAGTTCGAGACCAGCCTGGCCAACATGGTAAAACCCCATCTCTACCAAAAATATAAAAAATCAGCTGGGTGTGGTGACGCACACCTGTAATCCCAGCTACTTGGGAGGCTGAGGCAAGAGAATCACTTGAACCTGGGAGGTGGAGGTTGCAGTGAACCAAAATTGTGCCACTGCACTCCATCCTGGGTGACAGAGCGACACTCCATCTCAAAAAAAAAAAAAAAAAAAAAATAGAGACAGGGTCTCGCTATATTGGCCAGGCTGGCCTCAAACTCCTGACCTCAACCAATTCTCCCACTGCAGCCTCCCTAAATGTTGGAATTACAAATGTGAGCCATCATGTCTGGCCAGTAGGTAGGTGTTATTATTGTCCTCATTTTAGAGGTAAGTAGGGACCTATATTGATTGCTCAAAGTTACACAGTAACTAACAGAATTAGGACTGGAACCTAGGTATGTCTGAATACAGTCTTGCTATTCTCTACTATATATATATTGTCTGAAAGTTATTGCCACATGCTATTTATTGAATGAATAAATTGACAGGAAAAGATCACAGGTGATTCTGAAATTTCTACCTTGTGGGAACTGAGAATGATCAAGGCCCTTTTGAGAATTTCATTGATGCTAGATACATTTATATTTGTAGATCCTATCCCATATTAAAGTCTGTCTGTATCCCACATCAAGTATTATTTTTTTTGCTGAAAAAAATATTGAAAGGATTTAAAAATTTTTTTCTTTAGAAATCATTTGGCTACATGCACTCTAGTCATTATAGGATTTGATTTCATGGCAATTGCAGTGCATGGGTGGAATGTTTCCAAAGTGAGAAACATGAACTTACAAATTATTTTCAAATGTAATAAAATGTTTATAAATACCAGTGTATTACTTCAGTACAGCCTAAGCTGCTATAACAAAGAGACTTCTTAGTACAGTGAGAGTACAGGGCTGGTACACAGGCTTCCACCTCAGCATCCACTCCAGCTCTTGCCTTAAGGTCTGCATCACAGGGACAAAGCAGCCACATTGACAATGACAAACAGCATCCTTTGCACAGACTGCAGTGCTAATGTGCCCCCTGGAGTTGTCCATAGTAGTAGCTCTCACAAGTGTGTAGGGAGAAAGATGAAGAGCTCATCCCCTACTGCACAACCAGAAGTGGCAGGTATCACTTGTACTCACTTCCCATGTTCAGAACTTAAGTCACATGACCACATCTAGCTTCAAAAGAGTCTGGAAGTATAGTCTTTTACTAAGTGACCCTTGCACCTACCTAAAACCTAGTTCTACTTATAAAGGAAGAAGGGGATATATAGTAGTCACTATCATAATTAAATTGCATAAACAAGTAATGAAATCGGTATAAATTTATGTTGGTAGACATTTAATTGAAAGTTTATTGCTTTTGACTTTATAGTTTTCTGTATTTTAGTTGTGTTTAAAAAAAAAAGTGGGAGGGTTGTTCTTAAACATTTTTTTTTTAGGCCCTTGAAAAGTCTGTCAGCTCCAAGTGCTGTGTCTAATGGATACAAAATCTCTGTGGATCATGAGGCCACTAACCAGAGAAGGAATGCAGGGCGGCTGTGATTGCTCTCTGCTTGGTCCCCTTTCTGGGTAGGAAGGCAGCCCTTATGAAGCGGGTAGGCTAGATTCAGTATGCAATTTGTGGGGCTAAGGGAGTGTGGACACTCAAACAAATATTAACTGATCCTTATGTAGCTGGGGTTATAGTCCGTGGGGCTGAGGGTGGGACAGGAAGCAGGGAGAGGAGGGGAGAAGGGAATAACAACTAGAATGAGACTCAGGGCCAAGAAATTGGTAAGGAAGACAAAATAACATGAACAAACATGCACAATGATAGGTTTCAGAGCAGATTATGAAAGTCATTGTGAGTCATCGGTGGTAGTACTGTTGTTTAAAAAGAAACAGTGTCTGCCAGGCGCAGTGGCTCATGCCTGTAATCCCAGCACTTTGGGAGGCTGAGACGGGCGGATCACGAGTTCAGGCGATCGAGACCATCCTGGCTAACACGGTGAAACCCTGTCTCTACTAAAAATACAAAAAATTAGCCAGCCTGGTGGCGGGCGCCTGTAGTCCCAGCTACTCAGAAGGCTGAGGCAGGAAAATGGCGTGAACCCGGGAGGCGGAGCTTGCAGTGAGCCGAGATCACGCCACTGCACTCCAGCCTGGGCCACAGAGCAAGACTGTCTCAAAAAAAAAAAAAAAAAAAGAAAGAAAGAAACAGTGTCTAGATAACGCTGGGCTCTGAAGGAAACAGAGGTTGGATTACACAAGGTCCTGCCTGAGGACATCTACAGTTTATAAATAAATATGTCCAAAGTGGGGAAAGTAACTCAAATGACCTGTTTCCTATAGAAAATGCTCCAGCCCGAGAACTGTCCTGACATGAAGTAGGAGCCATTAGCAGGGAGGCCGGAAATCTAGGTTTATGTTCGGCCTCTATCACTATTTGAGAATGTGAGCTCCTTTGGAGTAGGTAATGCATAGTTTCATCTTTGGATCCTCACCTAGCCTAGTGCCTGGCACTTACTAAGTTCTTAGTAAATTCTTACAGAATCAATGAACAATTTGTTAAATAACTTGCTGTGTATCCTTGAACTGAGACGTTTTACCAGGGGTCTTAAACCTAAAAGGAAACAGTGGGTCAAGGTGGCGTCCAGGTCCCTAGTGACCTCAAATTTTCAGGATATGAGGACTGATATTTGGCTACTGTCACACTAAGAAGTGCACCTCATAGCATGCAAAATCCAATCTGAACTCAACCCACACGTCTCAGCTCAAAGACTGCCTCCTCCACAATGCCTCCCCTACCCCTTCCCTCAACAAATTGTGCCTCTGCTGACACTCTTCTACCTTGGTTATTCTCAGTTGAATTCATTACCTTTCCTTACCCCCTCAGGCCTGTGACCTGAGAACACAGAGTAAAAGCTAACACTTAGGTAGAATTTACCATGTGTCAGGTGCTCTAAAGGGCTTAAAATCGTCAGTGCATTTAATATCTTGATGCACCAGAAAGTAGGTGCTTTGATTATCCTCATTTCAGACATGAGAAAACTGAGGTACAGAGTGAGTAACTTTCTTACCATTAGGCTGGTAGTGAGTGGCAGGGACAAGATTCAAATCTGGGTAATAAGTCTACAGAGTCCTTAACTAGTTCCCTGTCTTGTTCAACTTTAAATACCCCATAATAAACATCCCATGGTCAGCCCATAGTAGGTGTGCAGTAAATGTTTGCCAAATAAATGAATAAGCAAATGCAGTAAACTAGGAAGCGGGGTATCAGAAGGGCATGGAGTTTCCCTGAATACCCATGTGCCTGTTGGGCCTCTCGGGCCTCTCAAACCTTTCCCCAACATGTTGAGTTAGTTTGTTGGTCCATCCATCCACTCACTTGTCCATCCATCCATTCAATGAATAGTTACTGTCCTAACCCACCTCCCCACCATCCCACATTGGGACCAGGGATACAAAACTGAATTGGCACAGACAGAGATGGACTTATTCACAGTCAATGGCAGTCCAGCATCACATAAGCTACACAGAAGACAGAGCCACTAACTCTGCCCAGGCAGGGTCAGAGAACACTTTTTAGTCTATGGGACAGAGATTCGATCTGGGTTTTAAAAAATCTGTCTCCAGGTCCCTGGTAGGCCAGGGTCCTCCCTGACCCCAGCCCATATAGCTGGAGACAGAACAGCCTGTCCTTCCAGCTGCTGGCTGCAAACTTGCCTTGGGGAGTCCATGGCTCTGTCCATGGTCTGAATCCTGGTGCTCTTGTTGGCTGCCATGCCCCTAGATTGAGCCATATGCTTTGGACCCTGGTTCTGAGTGTTGACCCTGAGCCTTTAGTGCCAGGCTCACAGCCAAGCATAGCCCACTTGCCAGATCCTTTCAGGTCTCTCCCTTTTAGCTGGGGGTGCGAGGGGCGGGGTGAGGGTGGGAGGACGTATGGCATATCCCTAGGCATGTGCTAAGATACAGACCTGGGACCTCTCAGTTACATGATTGCCAGTTTCATTGACCCCTTCCTCAGCCTCTAAGGAAATTCAGGCCAGACTAAGAAAGGACTCAGGCTGGAGCAGGTCCCTGAGGGCTCAGCCACACTTGTGTATACTCTGCCTGTCAGAGCTGGCCTGGCCACAGATATCATCTAGGTCCCTGCCTACCCTGAAGCTCTGGAATGGGCATACATTGAAGGAGGCAGACCTGGACTTCAGGGCTCTTGATCCCAGTCTGACGTTCGTTCCACTACAAAAAGGGGGTCTGGAATTCATTTTCAGTAATGAAGGCTTTCTCCATGAAATCTTAACCATTATATAAAGCAGAACAGGTCTGCCTGAAGCGAGTTAGGGCATCTAAAAGATCACCATCTTGGCCTCTGCCTTCCTGTCTCAGCCTTTAAGTCACTTCTAATAAACCTGTCTTATTTTTTACCGTTAGATCTCAACAGGGGAAGTTGGTCCAGTGAGGTCCTAAGCCCATGCAGAAGTGGCAGCTACTTCCCTCCAGCCTGTTTCACCCACTTCCTTCACCTTCCTCACTACAGCCAGAGACCTTTAAAAAACCCAGGTGTGTCTTTGCTACCCTCCAGTTTAAAAACATCCATTTGGCAGGGCTTGGTGGCTCATTCCTTTAATCCCAGTGCTTTGAGAGGCTTAAGGTGGGAGGATTGCTTGAAGCTAGGATTTCGAGACCAGCCTGGGCAGCATAGTGAGACCCTGTCTCTACAAAATTTTTTTTTAAATTAGCCAGGTGTGGTGGTATATGCCTGTAGTTCCAGCTACTTGGGAGGCTGAGGTGAGAAGATCACTTAAGCCCAGGAATTCGAGGCTGCAGTGAGCCATCACTACATCACTGCATTCCAGCCTGAGTGACAGAGCAAGACCCTATCTCAAATAAACACCAGAAATAAACAAATTCATTTATCCAACAATATTTACACAAGGACTATTATATTCATTGTACTTCTAGCTCCTTTCATTGTGGCAGGAATTGAAGTAGGAGCTAGAAGTGCAATGATTATAACAGTCCTTGCCTGTTTGTGGTGGTAGGGGAGCCAACAAACCTGGTGACAATAAAATAAATTACTAGACAGAGTCTGGTGATAGAGCCTAAAACAGGAGCGTGGTCTGAGGAGGCTGAAGGACAAACCAGTGCCATCCAGGAGAAAACCATTCAGCCAGAGAGAAGAGCCCATGTTAAGGTTTAGGGTGGCAGCTTTAGGAAAACAGAAGGCTCAGTGATGGTGCTGTGAAATGAGGCCAGAGAGATGCACAGAGGCCAGGTCATGGAACACCCTAAAAATCACTTCCAGGTTGTTGGTCTGCATCTTAAAGAGCAAAGGGAATGCAATTGAATGGTTTTAAATAAGATAGTGACACAATGCCATTTTTGTTTTAAGATCAAGCTGGTTGTTATGTGGAGAACAGGCTTGAGGAAGGCAAGAGTAAAGGCAGAGAGGCCTATTAAGAAGACATTGTTGGCTGGGCATGGTGGCTTATGTATGTATAATCCCAGCACTTTGGGAGGTGGAGGCGAGAGGATCGCCTGAGCCCAGGAGTTCGAGACCAGCCTGGGCAACATAGTGGAACCCCATCTCTACAAAAAATAAAGGTAAAAAACCAGCCAGGTGTGATGGTGCATGCCTGTGGTCCCAACTACTTGGGAAGCTGAGGCAAGAGGATCTCTTGAGTCCAAGAGGTTGAGGCTGCAGTGAACTGTGTTCACACCACAGAACTATAGCCTGGGGCAACATAACAAGACCTTGTCTCAAAAAAAAAAAAAAAAAAAAAAAAAGATTGTTATAGTCCAAGTGAGAGATGACATTGAGAAGTTGTGCTAAGTATGGGTACTGTGTGTTCCATACACCTAACACTCCTTCTTCCAACCTTCAGGCCCCAGGGAAACACTTTCCCACATATCTTGCCCTACATCCTCAAAACAAAAAATCATGTATTTTACATAGAGTAAAATGCTCACATGTAAGTGCCTAGTTTGAGGAGCTTGCACAAGTGTATACACCTCTGTAACCACCACCCATTCAAGCATGGGTAGAGACCATTTCCATCATTTCCACCACATGACTGTGTCTAAAGTTCTGTGGGTTGTGCTGCTGTTCACACCAGAAACAGCCACTGCTCTCGAGTAAGGAAAGCAAGTGAGTGGCAGAAGCTCTTGGGTAAGAAAAGCACACATCAATTAATCCTGTGAAGTCTTTTCTCTCACATAACATGAATGCCTAATGGGGTATCATTTTCCAGAAAAGCATTGTCCATTTTCTTGCTTCTTTTTGTGTTCCGATTTGTAGTTTTGGAGGAATTCAGGAATGGCTTACTATTTGCAATAGTTGCATGTGGCAGCTCATTAATATTAAACAATATTAAACAACTCATACTACTCTAATATTGTAGTGTAGGTAGGTCTAGTTGTAGACCTACATATACATGATATTGATTCTTTATGGACTTAGCTACTGTGTTAAGGAATGATGAAAATTATTATATGAGTGGTAGTGATTTATATGATGAAATAAAAATAGAATGTATTATACGTATTTACCATTTTATAAATCTATTTTAACATATAAATATAGTTTGTATTGTGTAATTATGTGTTCCTATATTTGACCATAATATATAAAATTCATGCTACTTTTAAAATCTAATGTTACTTTAAGATTTTTATTGACAATCCCTGTTGCTACTGCCTTAGCAGAGCAAACTTTTTCCAAATTGAAATCAATGCCAAAAAAAAACCTCTAAAACTTACAGTGTCCCAATAAAGGTTATTTTGTTTTTGACCTTATTGTCCAAAACTTATGAAATATATAATTATTGATGAACCATATATTCCCTTTTACTCATATATTCCTGTCCATGAGCCATTCCTTTCCATGACATCCATTAAATTCAGTCATCTTTGATATTTTGCTTACTTTCAATAAAAAGTACCATAGAAGTTGGTGCAAGGTGGAAGACTAGAAGGTCCCACCAATTGTCCTCCCTGCAGGAACAAGAAATTCAACAACTATCTACACAAAAAACCACCTTCACTAGAACCAAAAATCAGGTGAGCACTCAAAATACCTGGTTTTACTTCATATCATGGAAAGAGACACTGAAGAGGATAGGAAAGACAGTCTTGAGTTGCTGATGCCACCCCTTCCCCATTGCCGCTGCAGAGAAATCTATGTGCTTTGGAGACAGCACAGCAATTGTGAGACTTTACATTGAATTCAGTGCTGCCCTCTCACAGCAGAAAGCAAAACCAGGCTGGGCTCAGCTGACATCTGCCTATGAAGGGAGCATTCAGACCAACCCTAGCCAGTGGGGTATCACCCATCTCAGCAATAGGAACGTGAGTTCCAGGAAGCCTCACCACCATGGGCTGAAGTTCTCTGGAGCCTAATATAAACTTGAAAGGCAGTCTAGGCCACAAGGACTACAAATCCTAGTGCTGAGCTGGGCTTGGGGGGCATGACATACTTAGACATCAGCAAGGGCAGCTAAGGGACTGTTAGTACCACCCCGCCCCACTGCCAGGCAGCATATCCCCTGGCTCCAAAAGAGACCCCTTTCTCCTGCTTGAGGAGGGAAGAGTAAAGAGGACCAGCTCAGCCACAGCAAGATAGAGCATTGGTCAGAGTTGTGAGATCCCCATTCCAGGCCCTAGCTCCTGGATGACATTTCTAGACACACCCTGGGCCAGAAGGGAACCTGCTGTCTTGAAGAGAAGGACCCAGTCCTGGCAGGATCCATCATCTGCTGACTAAAGAGCCCTTGGTCCCTGAATAACCAGCAGCAGTAACCATGTAGTACACACTGTGGGTGTTGGGTGAAACTCTGAGACTTGCTGGCTTCTGGTGAGACCCAGCACCTTCCCAGCTGTGGTGGCCATGGTGAGAGACTCCTTCTCCTTGATAAAAGAAGAGGGAGAAGTAAGGGGATTTTTGTCTTATAGTTTAGATACCACCTTGGCCACAGTGGGGTAGAACACCAAGCGGGCTCTTGGGGTCCATGATTCCAGGCCTTGGCTCTTGGACAGCATTTCTGGACCTGCTCTGGGCCAGAGGGAAGCCAACTGCCTGAAGGGTGAGTCCCAGGCCTGAAAGCATTCACCATAAGCTGATTGAAGAGCCCTTGCGCCTTAAGTGAACATTGGCAGTAGCCTGGCAGTAGTCTTTGCTGGCATGTGGTGGTGGTGGCCACAGGGTGAGACCCGTCTGCCTGTGGAAAGGGAAGAGAAGAATGGGAAGGACTTTGTCTCATGGTTTGAGTACCAGCTTAGCTACAATAGTGTAGAGCACCAGGTAGACTTCTAAGATCTTTGACTCCAGTCCCTAGCTCCCGGATGGCATCTCTGGACCTGCCTGGGGCCTGGGGGAACTCACCACCCTGAAGGGGAGGACACAAGTCTGGCTGGCTTCATCACCTGTTAATTGTAGAGCCCTAGGGCCTTAAGTGAACATAGATGGTAGCCAGGTAGTGGTTACAGTGGGCCTTGGGCAAGACTCAGTGCTGTGCTAGCTTCAGGTCTGATGCAGCCCAGTCCCAGTGGTAATGGCCACAGGAGTGCTTATGTCACCCAACCCAAGCCCCAGGCAGCTCAGCACAGGGAGGGAGACTCCATTTATTTGGGAGAAAGTAAGGGAAGAAAACAAGAGTCTCCACTTAGTAATCCAAAGAATTCTTCCTGATCATATCTAAGACCACCAAGGTGGTATATTTATGAGTCTGCAAAAACCACAGCATTACTGGCTTGGGGTGTTCCCTAATGCAGATAGGGTCTAGAACAAAACACCCAAATCCTTTTGAATACTTGAAAAGCCTTTGAATACTTGAAAAGAACAGGTACAAAAAAGCCCAGGTGGTAAAGGCTATAAGAAATACCTAACCCTTCAATTCCCAGACACTGATGAACATTAACAAGAATCAAGACCATCCAGGAAAACATGACCTCACCAAACAAACTAAGGCACCAGGGACCAATCCTGGAAAAACAGAGATAAGTGACCTTTCAGGCAGAGAATTCAAAATAGCTGTTTGGAAGAAACTCAAAGAAATTCAAGATAACATGGAGAAGGAATTCAGAATTCTATCAGATAAATTTAACAGAGAGATTGAAATAATTAAAAAGCAGAAATTCTGGAGTTGAAAATGCAATTGGCATACTGAAGAATGTGTCAGAATCTCTTAATAGCAGAATTGATCAAGCAAAAGAAAGAATTAGTGAGCTTGAAGATAGGCTATTCAAGAGTACACAGTCAGAAGAGATGAAGGAAAAAGGAATAAAAAAATGAATCATGCCTACAAGATTTAGAAAATAGCTTCAAAAAGGCAAATCTAAGAATTATTGGTCATAAAGAGAAGGTAGAGAAAGAGATGGGGTAGAAAGTTTATTCAAAGGGATAATAACAGAGAACTTCCCGAACCTAGAGAAATATATCAATATCCAAGTACAAGAAGGTTATAGAACACCAAGCAGATTTGACCCAAAGGAGACTACTTCAAGGCATTTAATAGTCAAACTCCTGAAGGTCAGTGATAAAGAAAGGATCCAAAAAGCAGCAAGAGAAAAATAAATAATATACAATAGAGCCACAATACAACTGGCAGCAGACTTTTCAGTGGAAACCTTACAGGCCAGGAGAGAATGGCATGACATATCTAAAGTGCTGAAGAAAAAAAAGAACTTTTACCCTAGAATAGTATATCTGGTGAAAATATCCTAAAAGCATGAAGGAGAAATAAAGAGTTTGCCAGACAAGCAAAAACTGAGGGAATTCATCAACACCAGACTTATCCTACAAGAAATGCTAAAGGAAGTACATCAATCAGAAAGAAAAGGATGTTAATGAGCAATAAGAAATCATCTGAAGGTACAAAACTCACTGGTAGTAGTAAGCACACAGAAAAACACAGAATATCAGGCCGGGCGCGGTGGCTCATGCCTGTAATCCCAGCACTTTGGGAGGCCGAGGTGGGCAGATCACGAGGTCAGGAGATCAAGACCATCCTGGCTAACATGGTGAAACCCCATCTCTACTAAAAATACAAAAAAATGAGCCAAGCATGGTGGCGGGCGCCTGTAGTCCCAGCTACTTGGGAGGCTGAGGCAGGAGAATGGCATGAACCCGGGCGGCGGAGCTTGCAGTGAGCCGAGATCACACCACTGCACTCCAGCCTGGGCAACAGAGCAAGACTCCGTCTCAAAAAAAAAAAAAAAGAAAACAGAATATCATAACACTGTAATTGTATGTGAACTGCTCTTATCCTAAGCAGAAAGACTAAAAGATGAACCAATCAAAAATAATAACTACAACAAGACATAGACAATACAATAAGACATAAAGAAAAACAACAAAAAAGTTTAAAAGTGGGGAGATGAAGTTAAAGTGTAGAGTTTTTGTTAGTGTTCTTTTTGCCTGTTTGTTTATGCAATCAGTGTTAAGTTGTCATCAGTTTAAAATAATGGGTTATAAGTTAGTATTTGAAAGCCTCATGGTAACCTCAAATCAAAGAACATACAGTGGATACATAAAAAATAAAATGCAAGAAATTAAATCATACCACCAGAGAAAATCACCTTCACTAAAAGGAAGACAGGAAAGAAGGAAAGAAGGAAGATAAAACTACAAACAATCAGAAACAAATAACAAAATGGCAGGAGCAAGTCCTCACTTATCAATAATAACATTGAATGTAAATGGACTAAGCTCTCCAACAAAAGACACAGAGTGGCTAAGTGGTTAAAAAAAAAGAAAAAAAATCATCTGTTGCTTACAGGGAACACACTTCACCTATAAAAATATACATAGACCAGGGGTGTCCAATCTTTTGGCTTCCCTGGGCCACATTGGAAGAAGAAGAATTGTCTTGGGCCACACATAAAATACGCTAATGCTAATGATAGTTGATGAGCTAAAAAAAATTACAAAAAAACCTCATAATGTTTTAAGAAAGTTTATGAATTTGTGTTAGGCCATATTCAAAGCCATTCTGGGCCACATGTGGCCCTCGGGCCGTGGGTTGGACAAGCTTGATATAGACTGAAACTAAAGGGATGGAAAAAGATAACTTATGCAAATGGAAACCAACAAAGGGCAAGAGTAGCTACATTTATATCAGACAAAATAGATTTCAAGACAAAAACTGTAAGAAGAGACAAGGAAGCTCTCTGTACAACAATAAAGGGGTCAATTCAGCAAGAGGATATAACAATTGTAATTATACATGCACCCAACACTGGAGCACTCAGATATATAAAGCAAATATTAGTAGAGCTAAAGAGAGAGATAGACCCCAATACAATAATAGCTGGAGACTTCAACACCATACTTGCAGCATTGGACAGATTTTCTAGACAGAAAATCAACAAAGAAACATCAGATTTAACCTGCACTATAGACCAAATGGACCCAATGAATATTTATAGACCATTTCATCCAATGGCTAAAAAATACATATTCTCCTCCTCAGCACATGGATCATTCTCAAGAATAGACCATATGTTAGGTCACAAAACAAGTCTTAAAACATTTAAAAAAATAAAATTAAGCATATTCTCTGACCACAATGGAATAAAACTAGAAATCAATAATGAGGAATTTTGGAAACTATACAAACACATGGAAATTAACTTGTATGCTCCTGAATGATCAATGGGTCAATGAAGAAATTAAGAAGAAAATTGAAAATTTGATGAAACAAATGGTAATGTAAACATGACATACCAAAACCTATGGGATACAGTAAAAGCAACACTAAGAGGGAAGTTTATAGCTATAAGGACTTACATCAAAAAAGAACTAAAGATCAGAGCTGAAGTAATTGAAATTGAAATTGAAATGAAGAAAACAATACAAAAGATCAATAAAACAAAAGGTGGATTTTTTGAAAAGATAAACAAAATTGACGAACCTTTAACCAGACTAAGAGAAAAAGAGAGAAGACCCAAATAAATAAAATTAGAGATAAAAAAGGGGACATTACAACTGATGCTGCAGAAATTCAAAGGATCATTAGTAGATACCATGAGAAACCATATGCCAATAAATTGGAAAATCTAGAAGAAATGAATAAATTTCTGGACACCTACAACCTACCAAGATTGAACCATAGAAATTCAAAACCTGAACATACCAATAACAAGTACCGAGACTGAAGCCATAATAAATCTCCCAGCAAAGAAAAACCCACAACTCATTAGCTTCACTGCTGAATTCTACCAAACATTTAAAGAACTAATATCAATCCTACTCTGTTCTGACAAATAGAGGAGGGAATACTTCCAAATTCATTCTATGAGGCCAGTATTACCCTGATACCAAAACCAGACAAAGACACATCAAAAATAAAAATAAATAAAGCTACAGGCCAATATCACTGATGAATATTGATGCAGAAATCCTCAGCAAAACACTAGCAAATCAAATTCAATGACACATCAAAAAGATCATTTATCATGACCAAGTGGGATTTACCCTAGGGATGCAAGGATGGTCCAATATATGCAAATAAATCAGTGTGGTACATCATATCAACAGAATGAAGGACAAAAACCACATGATCATTTCAATTGATGCTGAAAAAGCATTTCATAAAAATAAAAAAACTCTCAAAAAACTGGATATAGAAGAAAGATACCTCAACATAATAAAAGCCATATACAACAGACTTGCTGCTCATATCAAACTGAATGGGGAAAAACTGAAAGTCTTTCCTCTAAGATCTGGAACATGACAAGGATGCCCACTTTCACCACTGTTATTCAACATAGTACTGGACATCTTGGTTAGAGCAATCAGACATGAGAAAGAAATAAAGAGCATGCAAATTGGAAAGGAAGAAGTCAAATTACCCTTATTTGCAGATGATATGATCTTTTACTTGGAAAAACATAAAGACTCCACCAAAAAACTATTAGAACTGATAAACAAATACAGTAAAGTTGCAGGATACAAAATCAACATACAAAAATGGATAGCATTTCTATATGTCAACAGTGAACAATCTGAAAAAGAAATCAAGAAAGTAATCCCATTTACAATAGCTACAAATAAAATTAAATTTTATTTGTGCCCTTTGAAACTAACCAAAGAACAAAAGGAATTAACCAAAGAAGTGAAATACGGTTGCAATGAACACTATATAACATTGATGCAAGAAATGGGAGAAAACACCAAAAAATGGAAAGATATTCCATGTTCATGGATTGGAAGAATCAGTATTGTTAAAATGTCCATACTACCCAAAGCAATTTACAGATGCAATGCAATCCCGATCAAAATACCAATGCCATTCTTAACAGAAATAGAAAAAAACAATTCTAAAATGATTATGGAGCCACAAAAGACCCAGAATAGCCAATGCTATCCTAAGCAAAAAGAACAAAACTTGGAGGAATCACATTACCTGACTTCAAATTATACTACAGAGCTATAGTAACCAAAGTGGGATGATACTGGAATGAAACAGATACATAGACCAGTGGAACAGAATAGAGAACCCAGAAATAAATCCATACATCTACAGTAAACTCATTTTTGACAAAGGTGCAAAGAACATACATCGGGGAAAGGACACTTTGTTCAATAAATGGTGCTGGGAAAACTGTATATCCGTTTGCAGAAGAATGAAACTAGACCCCTATCTCTCATGACATAAAAAATCAAATCACTAAGACCTCAAACTATGAAACTATTAAAAGAAAATATTGGGGAAACTCTCCAGAACATTGAAGTGGGCAAAGATTTCTTGAGTAATACCCCACAAGCACAGGCAACCAAAGCAAAAATGAACAAATGGGATCACATCAAGTTAAAAAGCTTCTCCACAACAAAGGAAACAATCAACAAAGAGACAATCCCATTGAATGAACCCCATTCTGTGGGTTGTCTCTTTGCAAACTATCTGTCTGACAAAGGACTAATAACTAGAATATATAAGAAGCTCAAATAACTCTATAGGAAAAAGTCTAATAATCTGATTTAAAATGGGCAAAAGATCTGGATAGATATTTATAAAGGAAAGACATATAAATGGCAAACAGGTTTATGAAGAGGTGCTCAACATAATTGATCATCAGATAAATGCAGATCAAAACTACAATGAGATATTATCTCACCCCAGTTAAAGTGGATTTTATCCAAAAGACAGGCAATAACAAATGCTTTTGAGGATGTGAAGAAAAGGGAACCCTTGTACACTGTTGGTAGGAATGTAAATTAGTACAACTACTATGGAGAACAGTTTGGCGTTTCCTCAGAAAACTAAAAATAGAGCTATTATACAATCCAGCAATCACGCTCCTAAGTATGTTATCTAAAAGAAAGGAAATATATAATGAAGCGATATCTGCACTCTCATGTTTATCGAAGCACTACCCACTATAGCCAAGATTTGGAAGCAACCCAGGTGTCCGTCAACACATAAATGGATAAAGAAAACGTGGTACATATACACAATGGAGTACTATTCAGCCATAAAAAAGAATGAGATCCTGTCATTTGCAACAACATGGATGGAACTTAAGGTCATTATGTTAGGTGAAATAAGCCAGGCACAGAAAGACAAATATCACATGTTCTCACTTATATGTGGAATCTAAAAATTCAAACAATTGAACTTACGGAGATAGCAAATAGAAGGGTGGTTACTAGAGGCTAGGAAGGGTAGTTGGGGGTAGAGGGGAGGGAACTGGGGATGGTTAATGGGTATAAAAAACAGAAAGAATGAGTAAGGCCTAGTATTTGCTAGCACAACAGGTGACAATAGTAAAAAATAATGTAATTGTACATTTTAAAATAGCTAAAAGAATATAATTGGATTGTTTGTAACAAAAAGGATAATGCTTGAGGTGATGGATACCCCATTTACCCTGATGTAATTATTACACATTGCATGTCTGTATCAAAATATCTCATATACCCAATAAATATATATACTTACATGTATTTCATATATACTTATATATATTCATAAATATATGCTTATATTTATATACATATAAATATACATATAAGTATATATAAATACAAATATATAAAAATGTATAATATATAAAATAAGTATATATAAATATATATATCTACTATGTACCCACAAAATTTAAAAATTAAAATTAAATTTAAAAAATCTGTAGGTATCTTTCTTTTCTGAGACAGGGTCTCACTTTGTCACCCAGTCTGGAGTGTAATGGCACCGTCTTGGCCCACTGCAGCCTTGAACTCCCAGGCTCAAATGATCCTCCTGCCTCAGGCTCCCAAGTAGTGAGGACTACAGGCACGTCACACCACACCCAGCTAATAAAAAATCTATAGTTGTTGGTGAAAGAAGTCAGACACAAGAGTACATACTGTATAATTCTATTGATATGAACTTTTAGAACATTGATATGAATAGGCAAAACTAACCTATAGTGACAGAAATTAGATGGGTGGTTGCCTGGGGTGAAAGGGAGGGGAAATTGATTGCAAGTAGGCATGAGGAAACTTTCTAGGGTAATGGAAATATTCTGTATCAATAACTGATTGGGGCAGTGATTACACAGATATATACATTTGTTAAAACTCCTCAAAGTATGTACTTAAAGTATGTGCATTTTGCGGTATGCAAATACACCTCAGTACCTCAGTAAAGTTAATTAAGAAGACTTTATCTTTTTGTGTGTGTTTTTAAATGTTTTTTTCTTTTTCTTTTCTTTTTGGGAAGACTTTATCTTTTTTTTTTTTTTTTTTTTTGAGACGGAGTCTCGCTCTGTTGCCAGGCTGGAGTGCAGTGGCAATAACCTCGGCTCACTGCAACCTCTGCCTCCTGGGTTCAGGCGATTCTCCTGCCTCAGCCACCCAAGTAGCTGGGACTACAGGCGCATGCCACCACGCCCAGCTGATTTTTGTGTTTTTAGTAGTGACAGGGTTTCACCATGTTGGCCAGTATGATCTCAGTCTCGACCTCATGATCCACCTGCCTCAGCCTCCCAAAGTGCTGGGATTACAGGCGTGAGCCACCATGCCAGGCTGACTTTATCTTTTAATAAATAATTTATTTAACTTGATGCGTAACTTTTAAATATTTAGACTTATCACATGTGGGCCCTACTGTATTTCCACCCTGGGCCCCAAGGATAATGCCTTGGTTTCTTGCAGGAGTAGGTAAATGACAGATGCTGGTGCCATTTACAGAGATGAGGAAAGCCCAGGAGGATTAGGCTTCGTCGGGGCAAGGCTGGTATTCAGCTGGTGCATTCCAGGAGTGCAATACTGATTAAAAAAAAAATACCTCTGCTGCTCTGAGCCTTCTTGCCACCAAGCTACCTGGCCCTCACCCTGGGATCCTCAGATCCTCCCACTCTCCAGCAACTAAATGGTTAATACCTGGCACATCACTGGCACAGTAATGGGTCTTCAGGATGCTGATCCAAATCCAGGGGAACTTGCTAGTGCCTGTAACCCTCAATATTTTAAATGTCACCTCTGATAGAATTGGGGAAGGAAGCATGTGAGTCAAAGGTTTATGGCTAGAAGTTGAAAGGGGAGGTCTGAGCTGGAGATGGAGCTTGTTGACTCTTGTTGCCTGCGGAATCAAGTCCAAACTCCCTTAGGTTGGCCCTGCAGTTCCCTTAGGTTATCATTCAGCTTCCACGTGACTCCCTCCAGCTCCCTGCCAGGATCCCTGATCACTCTGTGTTCCAGGACCCACTATTCCCTCTACCTGGAATGCCCTTTCATGTCTTCTCCACTGGCCACCCTCCTTTTTGTCCTTCAGGGCCATCTCGCATATCTCTGCCTCCTGAGGCCTCCCACCCTGTTTTCCATGGCTCCTCCAAACAGAGGACAGCACGCTGCCTTGTGCATCTCTGTTTAGATCCCTGCTTTCTGCACTAGGCTGTGAACTCCTCCCGGTCAGGGACAGGGGCTGGTGGCTCTCTGGGCCAAGCAAGGCCCTGGCATGGAGCAGTTCTAGTAAATCTTAAAGGACTAGATGGTGAGGCAGCATCCTGACTGGATTTACCACAGCCCCACCCTCACTCCATGACTTCTGTGCATGTGGAAGTCACAAATTTAGACAGACTAAACTTGGTCTTCTTGAAAGAATAGGCTCTTTAACAGCAAAGACCACTCTTTCCACATCACTTCTTGCTCTTTCACAGCCTGAGAAAAAGCACACAAATGCAAAGCAAGGGTGACCCTGGTCAGGCAGAATGGAATTTCAGCCTGGAGTCTTGTGAGCTGAGTGACCTCAGAGAAGTTGCTTCACTTTTCTGAGCCTCAGATTTCTCAGGTGAGAGAATGGAGATAACAGTACCTGCTTCACGAGGTGGATGTGAGGACTGAATGAAATAATGTGTATAAAAGTGTGTCAGGGAGAGGGGAGAGGGAGAATGAGGGTTATTGTTTAATAGGTACAGAGGTTCTGTTATATTTTATATGATAAAAATATTCTAGAGATGAATAGTAGTGACAGTTCGTAGCAATGTGGATATACTTAATCCCACTGAACTGTACACTTAAAAAGGTTACAATGATACATTTTATGTTGTGTATATTTTACCACAATAAAAATAAATTAATACGCTGAATGAAAGATCTTCCCTCATTGTCCCCTGCCCAAAAAGGGTTCAGCATGGTTCCAGGTACACAGCAGATGATCCATATGTCTGAGCTTCCTTCCTCCTCCCTTCTGGATTTCTCTCCACCTGGGTTCCAGGGCCATGGCCAAGAGGCAGGATGAGGGAGAGCAGGACGGGTGTCAGGAGCGGAAGTGATTAAATGTTGAACGAGGATATGGTGTTTGTGGGGTCAAAGCCAGGACTGCCCTCTGGAAAGCCCAGGCATGAGGAGGCGAGCTGCCTCCCCGCCTGAAAGGAAGAAGGATGTCCGGGGGTCAGGGATGACACTGGTGTTTTTGGCCATGAGAGAGAAGTAAGATATCTAAATTAAGGAGGAAAGGCAGGCGGGAGTTGCAGGATGTCTATGTTGGCCTACGTTGCAAAAATAAATGCATCTAGAAATAAATACATACGTAAATAAATAAGTACAGATTTTTTTAAAGACCTCAACTCCACCTTCTTGCTCTATTTCACCAAGGACAAGGGCAGTATAATAAGCTGAGAAGGGAAACAAGAGATTGTAGATTCCGGCTGCTATGGGGAAATTACAAATGAGGTCTGACGCTATCTTTGTTTCTTTTTCATTATGAAAAATACCTTGCCTGACATGGGCACCCTGCCACCATTGGGAAAACCGTGAGAATCCAGTTTGTTCCCAAAACACTGCCATGGGGAGCTGAGGTCACAAGGGAACATTGCTTTTCCCCAAGGCAACTGTGACCAAAAATAAATAAATAAATGAATAAATGATAAATAAACAATGTCCTGGAAGAAACACTGAAGTGGATATCAGGGCACCTGGCTTCTGGCCTGGTGTGTTCACATCCTAGCTGGGTGACCTGGGACACGTCACCTTCCCTCTCTGCACTTCAGCTGTTTCATCTGCAGAATGAGGGGAGCCACCAGATGACCTCTGAGGGTGCTTCCATCTCAGATAATATCTCTAATACTCATGATTCTAGGATATACTCTTTTCAAGCCCTTGAAAGAACAATGGGAGTTGGTGAGGAAAGAAAATGCTGAGCTGGATGGTGGAACTGACTGTCTCAGAGTTGGAAGAGAATCTGAGAGATCACCCAGCCCGCCCATCCATCCATCCATCCATCCATCCATCCATCCATCCATCCATCCATCCATCTGTTTATCCATCTACCCACTCAGTATTCCTACTTGAGCCTGGCTCTGTGTAGGGAAGTGAGGACCAAAAATGGATCAGACTCATTCCTTACCTTCCTGGAGCTCTCAATCTAGGGAACCTGGGGGTGAGGGAGGAAGGTAACTGAGTGATTATGTTACCAAGGGCTATGAACTGGGGTCTGAACATGCAGGGTATGGTAGGGGTGCAGCGTGGGTAAGACCTGCTCAGCTTGAGGAGGCCAGGAGAGGCTTCCAGATGAAGAATCTACTCAATAAGTAGAAGCTCTTCAGGTAGAGAAAAGGGGAAACAGCAGAACAGCACATGCACAAGTGCTGCTGTATGATGAAGTCATTCCAATCCCAGGGCACCAACGTCCTGCCTTACAGCAATTCAGGTAAACACATCCCAGGGTTTTGGAAATGATTAGATTAGAGTTTCTCAGACCTGGGACTATAAACCCCTCAAGGTTAATAAATAAATATATTGTGAGGAGCCTGAAATGTGTCTGTGAAAACTTCTAAATGTTATGTTTCATTTTGATGGTAATCCAAACAAAATCAGCATGTTCTGAATTGTCTGGAAGGCTACCACCTGCCATGGCATTTGGACACTGACTTTGTGTTTCTGATCACTTTGAAGCCAGATAGTGCTTTACGTTCATTGTTATAGCCCAACCAAGGAAAATAGAGGTGGGCTTAATGTAAATGATACTTCTATGCCAAGTAAAAGTCAAATGGGGACTTGGTGCACGGTCAAAATGAAGACTTTCCAGGAGTTTGACCAGAGAAGCACAGTGGGAGCTGCCTGCAGTCTACAGTGCTCTGGGTGTGCTGTACTAAAAAAGCCTGTGCCATAGCAGTCTGCCCCATACTCAGGCTTCAAATGGCAATTTAACTTCAGTAAAACATCTTCTGGCATACTAAGTTAGAATGTTTGTTTGAATTTTATAGGGTTAGTAATTGTGTTTATTTTCCATTTGTCTTGGTTTAGAGTTACAGAACAGCTACTAGCATAAGGAATTTATACTGAGTTTTGTGCTTGTAAGTATACAAGTGATATTAAAATAATTTAAGTCGGCTGGGTGTGATGGTTCACGTCTGTAATCCCAGCACTTTGGGAGGCCAAGCTGGGCGGATCACCTGAGGTCGGGAGTTCGAGACTAGCCTGACCAACATGGAGAAACCCCGTCTCTATTAAAAATACAAAAATTAGCTGGGTGTGGTGGCGCATGTCTGTAATCCCAGCTACTCGGAATGCTGAGGCAGGAGAATTGCTTGAACCCAGGAGGTGGAGGCTGCAGTCAGCCGAGATCGCGCCATTGCACTCTAGCCTGGGCAACAAGAGTGAAACTCCATCTCAAAAAAAGAAAAAAAAATTTAAGTCAACTTTGGGGTGAATCTGTAAGAATTTTGAACAGGGGCACCTCCATTACTTGAGTTTGAGAAACATGCTGTTAGTTGCTTGGTTAGCAATCCTCATTGTTTATAGAGTCTCTTCCTTTAGTTTAATGGGAGTCCTTCTTGCTGCCACCTTAGGTCAAAATTACCTCCAAAAAGAAGAACCATAACCTATTATCATATAGCTAAAAAAAAAAAAAAAAGTGCACAGGGCCTCTAGGAGGTAACTGCATCTTCCAGGGTTAGGCACAGCTGACGTGTACTTTACCACTTTCCACTGCCCCCCAACATACACCCTCTGCTGCAGCCATGTGGTTGATACCTTAGCAGGGTTCACTAAACAACTTGGGTAAAGTTCTTAATCTCTCCAAGCTCCAGTTTACTAATCTGTAAAACAGTCATGCTAATAATACTTTACTTCTCAGGGTTGTTGTGAATATCAAATGGGTAAATGCTGGGATACAACAATAATAATTCCAGGCCAGGTGAGGTGGTTCCTGCCTGTAATCCCAGCACTTTGGGAGGCCAGTGCAGGAGGCTCACTTGAGCACAGGAGTTCAAGACAAGCCTGGGCAACATAATGAGACCCTGTCTCTACAAAAAAAAAAAAAAAAAATTTTTTTTTAATTAGCTAAGCATTTTGTCACATGTTTGTTGTCCTAGCCACTCAGGAGGCCAAGGAGGAAGAATTGCTTGAACCCAGGAATTCGAGGCTTCAGTGAACTATGATCATCCTACTGCACTCAGCCTGGGTGACACAGCAAGACCATCTCTTAAAAAAAAAATTAGAATAGTCACCATTAACACTAGACACATTTCCTACTTTCTTTCATTTAATCCTCCCAGTAAGTCTACACAGAGATAGTTTATCCCAATTTTGTAGCTCAAGAAACAAGTTTAGAGAGGTGAAGGGAGTTTGTCAGATAACTGAACTGAGATTCAAACCTAACTCTCAAACACGCAAACTGCCTTTGCTGTGACCATTGCACACACGTTACTCATGCCCTGCCAGCTTCACCTGTGAAAATATTGCCTGCCTTTTAAGACCCTTACCGGAATTAAGCTCTCCTCCTGCGTGTTCATTCATACCTTTTGCTTGGCCTCGTGGATTGCAGGAATTTAATCTAGCTTTGCCTGATACAGGGTCAATTTACCCAGGACACACCCTTTTCAGGGGGTGAAGGATGAAGGCAAATTATCAGAGGTCTGGGAACAATCAAATGAGTCCCCACCCAGTGAAGTCACCCACATCCAGAGCCTCTTCCCTGAAAACCCCCACCACTCCTTTTCCTTAGCCAGATCCCCAGGGGCTCACTTGGGTGTTTATTAAATTGAATGAAATGAATGGAGCCAAGAGATCTGGCTTCCAACCCCTGTCCTGCAAATACGGTGTCTGATTTGAACAAGTCATTTTGCCTCACTGAGTCCTACGCTCTGGAAAATGCAGTAGGGGGATGTGTGGATTGGGTGCTTGGTGAAGTCCTACCAATCTTTAACATTCTATGTCTCGAAAGCTGTAGCAAAACATCAGCATGAGACTTGTGGCCAGATTAAGTTTCTTGGAACAGGGTACTTCCTGAGATTATTTTAGTATATGTTCATACATTGTAGCAAGAAGGGGGAAAATGGACATTGAAATCAAAATTTACCATAGTTATGTTTGTCTTCCAGGGAATGTCATATTCGTCAGTAAAGACAAGATTTTTTTTTTTCTAAAAAACACCACAGTCAGCTTTTTTGTATGTGGAAAGTGAGCCTGAGAATCCTCACTCTTCTTTCGGTGTAATTAAATTTTTTTATGATTCCATTTTATCTCCTTTGTTAGCTTATCAGCTAGAATGCATTGTTTTGTTTTGTTTTGTTTTGTTTTGTTTTTTAATGCCCTGGACTAGAAGTCTTTATTTTATTTTCTTTTTTTGTATCATTGAAAGTTTCAATTTGTTATAAAATCATAAAAATAATCCAGATCCATTAAACATCAGAATAATATGTCAACATGTAACATACATTAAGTATAAGTATAGGTTAATTAACTTTAGGCTGATTGGTACATACATCCAAAGCTTTGAGTTGTCTTCCTCAGAGTCATATGATTAAACACAGTGGCTCTAGAAGCCACTGAAGTCAAGACAAGGAGACCTAAATGGGCTGTGATCTGAAGCCCCACACCACTGCATTTCTTATTTCTATGTGTTTGCTTTTTTAAAGAACAACAACAAAAATTCCAAAGAGCATAATGCACTAACATTCAATAATGTCAATTTTACAGATGAAAAAATTGAAATTTAGAAAAGGCAAAGACTCACCTCCTTGCCTAGGTCATGACCAGCTAGTGGTACCTACATGTGTAGCCATGTATGTTTGCTTTCCCCTTTAACCTTTTTGCCTAGCCCAAATGAATTACCCTAGATTCACATTCATTTTATTATTGACAAGTAGTCACGTTCTGTAAGAGATCCTGATGGTTGTCCTCTATAACTTTTCCTTGAAATATAGTCATGTACTGCGTAATGTTTCTGTTACTGACAGACCACATATGTGATGATACTCCTAAAATATTATAAAACCTACCATATTTTAATTGTACCTTTTCTATGTGTAGATGTGCTTAGATAAATAAATTCTTACATTGTGGTAAAATTACCTGCAGTATTCAGTACAGTAACATGCTGTACAGGTTTGCACCCTAGGAACAATAGGCTATTCCATCTAGCATAAGGGTATAGTAGGCCATACCATGTAGGTTTGTGTAAGTGTACTTTATTATATTTGTGTGCCTAATTCTCTCTTTTATTTTATTTTATTTTATTATTATCATACTTTAAGTTTTAGGGTACATGTGCACAATGTGCAGGTTAGTTACATATGTATACATGTGCCATGCTGGTGTGCTGCACCCATTAACTCGTCATTTAGCATTAGGTATATCTCCTAAAGCTATCCCTCCCCCCTCCCCCCACCCCACAACAGTCCCCAGAGTGTGATGTTCCCCTTCCTGTGTCCATGTGTTCTCATTGTTCAATTCCCACCTATGAGTGAGAATATGCGGTGTTTGGTTTTTTGTTCTTGCGATAGTTTACTGAGAATGATGATTTCCAATTTCATCCATGTCCCTACAAAGGACATGAACTCATCATTTTTTATGCCTGCATAGTATTCCATGGTGTATATGTGCCACATTTTCTTAATCCAGTCTATCATTGTTGGACATTTGGCTTGGTTCCAACTCTTTGCTATTGTGAATAGTGCCACAATAAACATACGTGTGCATGTGTCTTTATAGCAGCATGATTTATAGTCCTTTGGGTATATACCCAGTAATGGGATGGCTGGGTCAAATGGTATTTCTACTTCTAGATCCCTGAGGTATCGCCACATTGACTTCCACAAGGGTTGAACTAGTTTGCAGTCCCACCAACAGTGTAAAAGTGTTCCTATTTCTCCACATCCTCTCTAGCACCGGTTGTTTCCTGACTTTTTAATGATTGCCATTCTAACTGGTGTGAGATGGTATCTCATTGTGGTTTTGATTTGCATTTCTCTGATGGCCAGTGATGGTGAGCATTTTTTCATGTGTTTTTTGGCTGCATAAATGTCTTCTTTTGAGAAGTGTCTGTTCATGTCCTTCACCCACTTTTTGATGGGGTTGTTTGTTTTTTTCTTGTAAATTTGTTTGAGTTCATTGTAGATTCTGGATATTAGCCCTTTGTCAGATGAGTAGGTTGCGAAAATTTTCTCCCATGTTGTAGGTTGCCTGTTCACTCTGATGGTAGTTTCTTTTGCTGTGCAGAAGCTCTTTAGTTTTATTAGATCCCATTTTTGAATTTTGACGTTTGTTGCCATTGCTTTTGGTGTTTTAGACATGGAATCCTTGCCCATGCCTATGTCCTGAATGGTATTGCTTAGGTTTTCTTCTAGGGTTGTTATGGTTTTAGGTCTAACATTTAAGTCTTTAATCCATCTTGAATTAATTTTTGTATAAGGTGTAAGGAAGGGATCCAGTTTCAGCTTTCTACATATGGCTAGCCAGTTTTCCCGGCACCATTTATTAAACAGGGAATCCTTTCCCCATTTCTTGTTTTTGTCAGGTTTGTCAAAGATCAGATAGTTGTAGATATGCGGCATTATTTCTGAGGGCTCTGTTCTGCTCCATTGATCTATATCTCTGTTTTGGTACCAGTACCATGCTGTTTTGGTTACTGTAGCCTTGTAGTACAGTTTGAAGTCAGGTAGCGTGATGCCTCCAGCTTTGTTCTTTTGGCTTAGGATTGACTTGGCGATGCGGGCTCTTTTTTGGTTCCATATGAACTTTAAAGTAGTTTTTTCCAATTCTGTGAAGAAAGTCATTGGTAGCTTGATGGGGATGGCATTGAATCTATAAATTACCTTGGGCAGTATGGCCATTTTCATGATATTGATTCTTCCTACCCATGAGCATGGAATGTTCTTCCATTTGTTTGTATCCTCTTTTATTTCATTGAGCAGTGGTTTGTAGTTCTCCTTGAAGAGGTCCTTCACATCCCTTGTAAGTTGGATTCCTAGGTATTTTATTCTCTTTGAAGCAATTGTGAATGGGAGTTCACTCATGATTTGGCTCTCTGTTTGTCTGTTATTGGTGTATAAGAATGCTTGTGATTTTTCCACATTGATTTTGTATCCTGAGACTTTGCTGAAGTTGCTTATCAGCTTAAGGAGATTTTGGGCTGAGACAATGGGGTTTTCTAGATATACAATCATGTCACCTGCAAAGAGGGACAATTTGACTTCCTCTTTTCCTAATTGAATACCCTTTATTTCCTTCTCCTGCCTGATTGCCCTGGCCAGAACTTCCAACACTATGTTGAATAGGAGTGGTGAGAGAGGGCATCCCTGTCTTGTGCCAGTTTTCAAAGGGAGTGCTTCCAGTTTTTGCCCATTCAGTATGATATTGGCTGTGGGTTTGTCATAGATAGATCTTATTATTTTGAGATATGTCCCATCAATACCTAATTTATTGAGAGTTTTTAGCATGAAGAGCTGTTGAATTTTGTCAAAGGCCTTTTCTGCATCTATTGAGATAATCATATGGTTTTTGTCATTGGTTCTTTTTATATGTTGGATTACATTTATTGATTTGCATATATTGAACCAGCCTTGCATCCCAGGGATGAAGCCCACTTGATCATGGTGGATAAGCTTTTTGATGTGCTGCTGGATTCGGTTTGCCAGTATTTTATTGAGGATTTTTGCATCAGTGTTCATCAAGGATATTGATCTAAAATTCTCTTTTTTTGTTGTGTCTCTGCCAGGCTTTGGTATCAGGATGATGCTGGCCTCATCAAATGAGTTAGGGAGGATTCCCTCTTTTTCTATTGATTGGAATAGCTTCAGAAGGAATGGTACCAGCTCCTTCCTTGTACCTCTGGTAGAATTCGGCTGTGAATCCATCTGGTCCTGGACTCTTTTTGGTTGGTAAGCTATTGATTATTGCCACAATTTCAGAGCCTGTTATTGGTCTATTCAGAGATTCAACTTCTTCCTGGTTTAGTCTTGGGAGGGTGTATGTGTTGAGGAATTTATCCATTCCTTCTAGATTTTCTAGTTTATTTGCATAGAGGTGTTTGTAGTATTCTCTGATGGTAGTTTGTATTTCTGTGGGATCGGTGGTGATATCCCCTTTATCATTTTTTATTGCGTCTATTTGATTCTTCTCTCTTTTCTTCTTTATTAGTCTTGCTAGTGGTCTATCAATTTTGTTGATCCTTTCAAAAAGCCAGCTCCTGGATTCATTAATTTTTTGAAGGGTTTTTTGTGTCTCTATTTCCTTCAGTTCTGCTCTGATTTTAGTTATTTCTTGCCTTCTGCTAGCTTTTGAATGTGTTTGCTCTTGCTTTTCTAATTCTTTTAATTGTGATGTTAGGGTGTCAATTTTGGATCTTTCCTGCTTTCTCTTGTGGGCATTTAGTGCTATAAATTTCCCTCTACACACTGCTTGTTTTGTTATTTTAGTGATTACTTTAGGGTTTAGAGTATACATGTTTAACTTTCACAGTCTAGGTGACATTATGCCATTTCACATACAATATAAGAATTGTAAAACAGGATACTTCCATTTCTCTTCTCCAGCCCTTTGTGTTTATGCTTTCACACATTTTATTTTTGTTAAATAGTTAATTTTCTGTTATGGAAAAGTAAATAATAAGAATTCTATTATATTTACCCAGATAGATAGCATTTCTGGTGATTTTTTTTTTTTGACAGGTTCTCACTCTGTTGTCCAGACTAAAGTACAGGCTGGAGTGCAGTGGGGCAATCACAGCTCACTGCAGCCTTGAACTCCTAGGCTCAAGCAATCCTCCCACCTCAGCCTCCAGAGTGTATAGGACTACAGGGATGTGCCACCATGCCCAGCTAGTTTTTTAAATTTTTTTGTAGAGACAGAGTCTTGCTATGTTGCTCAGGCTTGTTTCAAACTCCTGGGCTCAAGTAATCCTCCTGCCTCGGCCTCCAAAAGTGCTGAGATTACAGGTGTGGGCCACAGCACCTGGCCTCTGGTGTTCTTCGTTCCTCTGTATAGATTCATATTTCTGTCTGGTATCATTTTACTTCTTGCAGAAGAACTCCCTTTAGCATTTCTTACAAAGTTTGTCTCCTGATGATGAATACTTTAGTTTTTATATGTCTGAAAACAACTTTGTTTTGATTTCTTCAAATGATATTTCCATAGAAACATCATTTTGGGTATAGAATTCTAGGCTCACAAGTGTTTTTTTCGTTGTTGTTGTCCAATATCCTTAAGATGTTGCTGCACTGTCTTCTCACTTGCATTGTTTCCAACAAAAAAACAATCAGTTGTCATCATTTATTCCTTTGTATGTAATGCCTTTCTTCTCTGGCTGCCGTCAAGATGGTCATTTGCTGCATAACACACTGCATATACAATGGTGATTCCATAAGATTATAATGGAGCTGAAAAATTTCTGTCACCTTGTGAAAACTTTCTATCACTTTATCCTATCAATGATATGATGTCATGGCCATCATAATGTTGTAGCACAATTACTTTTAAAAAAATGAATTTAGAGTAACCTAAGTGTACAGCGTTTATAAAGCCTACAGTAGTATACAGTAATGTCCTAGGCCTTCCTATTTAATCACCACTCATTTACTGACTCACCTAGAGCAACTTTCATTTCTGCAAGCTCCATTCATGGTAAGTGACCTATACAGGTATACCATTTTTAAATCTTTTTTTTGAGACAGGATCTTGCTATGTTGCCCAGGTGGTCTTGAACTCTTGAGCTCAAACAATCCTCCTGCCTGAGCTTCCTGAGTAGCTGGGATTATAGGCATGCACCACTGTACCTGGCTCCATTTTTTAATCTTTTACATATTTTATGCGGTATTTTTACTATACCTTTTCTATGTTTAGATATATTTAGATACACAAATATTTACCTTTCTATTACAGTTGGCTACAGTATTCAGTACAGTAACATACTGTGCAGCTCTATAGCCTAGGAGCAATAGATATACTAAGGGAGGAGACCACCCCTCATATTGTCTTATGCCCAATTTCTGCCTCCAAAGAAAGAAAAAATAAAAACTAAAAGGCAGAAATGAAATCCACAAGCAGACAGCCCAGCGCCACACCCTGGGCCTGGTAGTTAAAGATCCACCCCTGATCTAATTGGTTATGTTATCTACAAATTCCAGACATTGTATAGAAAAGCACTGTGAAAATCCCTATCCTATTTTGTTCCGATCTAATTACTGGTACATGCAGCCCCCAGTCACGTACCCCCTGCTTGCTCAATCGATCGTGACCCTCTCACGCGCACCCCCTTGGAGTTGTGAGCCCTTAAAAGGGACAGGAATTGCTCACTTGGGGAGCTCGGCTCTTGAGACAGGAGTCTTGCCAATGCCCCTGGCCGAATAAACCCCTTCCTTCTTTAACTCGGTGTCTGAGGAGTTTTGTCTGCGGCTCGTCCTGCTTCAATACCACGTAGTAGAGGTGTATAGTAGGCTATACCATCTGGGTTTGTGTAAGTATGCTCTATATTTATGCAACAAGGAAATCACCTGATAACACATTTCTTAGACTGTATCCCCAGATTTAAGTAACGCATGATTGTATTTTCTCTTTATCACTGATTTTAATAATTTGGCTGTGATGTGACCGGTACAGTTTTCTTCATGTTCCTTGTACTTGGTGTTTGTTGAGATTTTTGTTCCATGGGTTTATAATTTTAATCACATTTGAAAAAATTTCAGCTATTATTTCTTCAAATATCTCTTCTGTTGCCCTCTTTGGGGGCCTCTTCTTTGGGGACTCCAATTACATGTATATTAGACTGATTGTAGTTGTCTTTTCTTTTTTTGTTTTTTTTTGAGACAGAGTCTTACCCTGTTGCCAAGGCTGGAGCACAGTGGCATGATTTCGGCTCACTGCAACCTCTGCCTCCTGGGTTCAAGTGATTCTCCTGTCTCAGCCTCCAGACGTAGCTAGGATTACAGGCCTGTGCCACCATGCCCGGCTAATTTTTGTAATTTTGGTAGAGACGGGGTTGTGACATGTTGGCCAGGCTGGTCTTGAACTCCTGGCCTCAAGCAATCTACCCATCCCGGCCTCCCAAAGTGCTGGGATTACAGACATGAGCCACTGCACCCAGCCCATTAATAATATTCTTAATTCATTTTTATTTCTGTATTTCTTTTTTGTATGGCTTATATTGCTAAAATTTTAAATTAATGAATCTTTTCTTCTGCTGGGCTTAATCTGCTATTAATCCCACCAATGTGCCGGCATAGACATTGAGGTTTTCATTTGTAAAAGTTTGATTTGTATCTCTTTTATGTTTTCCATGTTTCTATTTAACTTTTGAACATACGGAATAAAGTTATAATAACTATTTTCAGATCCTTCTCTGATAATTCTAACATCTGTGTCAATTCTGGGTCAATTTCAATTGGCAGATTATTCTCACTTTGAGTCATGGTTTCCTGCCTCTTTGCATGTCTCCTAACCTTTAATTAGATGTCAGACACTGTGATTTCTGCCTTCTTGAGTGCTGGATATTTTTTAATTTCTATAAATAATCTTCAGCTTTGTTTTGGGATACAGTTTGATCCTCTTGGGTCTTGCCTTTATGATTTTTAAGGTGGGTCTAGAGTTGTGCTCATTCTAGGGATAATTATGTGCACTACTGAGCCAATACCTTCCTGATTCTCCATCCAGTGAATCATGCCCTGTGAAACATGTTTTTCCAGTCTGGCTGGTGGGAAGAGACACTATTCCTGGATAGCGCTGAGCATCGTCACCTCTAGTCCTTCAGGATGGTTCTTTCCCTGGCCTTGGTAGTTTCCTCACACATGCACACTGATCATTAATCAACTGAAAGACTCAAGTAAGACCTTCTGAAGATCTCTGGAGTTCTGTTTGGGTGAAGTTCTCTCTCCTCTCTGTATGGTGCCCTGTGAATTATTGTTGCATGTTACTACTGATGAATAAGGAAGAGTATTTATTAACATGTATTGAGCAGTTACAATTTCTGAATGAGGAAACTAAGCTAAGAGAAGTTAATTAATTTGTCAAAGGTCATTACGAGAGAGGCGGTCTGTCTCTAAACACCCACATCTTTAATCATTAAACTGTACTGCCTTATCATGTATTTAATGTGGCATTATTTCCTTATCTTTAGGAAAAGCTGATATTAAATCTATGGTCTGGTTTATAATCAACGGCAGGTTAGAATAGAGAAAATTTAATGATTTAAAAAACTGAGCACAGAGAATAAGAGAATATGAGATCAAATGTGTCACTTAACGATAAGTGTCACTAACATTTATCAAGCACTTATTCAGACCAGGTGTTTTTTTGAATGCTCTGCATTGCACCACATATTTGTATTAGCCTGTTCTTGCTGTAAAGGAATACCTGAGACTGGGTAATTTATAAAGAAAATTGGTTTATGTAGGGTCTTGGCTCTGCAGGCAGTACAGAAAGACGGTGTTAGCATCTGCTCCTTGTAAGGGCCTCAGGAAGCCTTCAATCATGGCAGAGGGTGAAGGAGGAGTAGGCATATCACATGGCGAGAGCAGGAGCAACAGAAAGGGGATGTCCTAGACTCTTTTAAACAACCAGATCTCGCATGAACTAACTGAGGGAGAACACACTTATCACCAAGGGGATGGTGCTAAACCATTCATGAAGGATCGGTCCCCGTGATCCAATCACCTCCCACTAGGCCCCACCTCCAACATTGGGAGTCACATTTCAACATGCAATTTGGAAGAGACAGACATCGAAACCACATCACTACTGTAATCCCAGAACTTTGGGAGGCCGAGGCAGGCGGATCACCTGAGGTCAGGGCGGATCACCTGAGGTCAGGAGTTCGAGACCAGCCTGGCCAACATGGAGAAACCCCGTCTCTACTAATAATACAAAAATTTGCCAGGCACAGTGGCTCACGCCTGTAATCCCAGCACTTTCGGAGGCCAAAGTGGGTGGATCACAAGGTCAAGAGATCGAGACCATCCTGGCCTACATGATGAAACCCCGTCTCTACTAAAAAATACAAAAATTAGCCGGGCTTGGTGGCGTGCGCCTGTAATCCCAGCTACTCGGGAGGCTGAGGCAGGAGAATTGCTTGAACCCCGGAGGCAGAGGTTGCAGTGAGCAGAGATCACGCCACTGCTTTCCAGCCTGGCGACAAAGCGAGACTTTGTCTCAAAAGAAAAAAAAAAATTAGCTGGGCATGGTGGCACATGCCTGTAATCCCAGCTACTTGAGAGGCTGAGGCAGGAGAATCACTTGAACCCAGAAGGTGGAGGTTGCAGTGAGCCAAGATCACACCACTGCACTCCAGCCTGAGCAACAAGAGTGAAAGTCTGTCTCAAAAAAAAAAAAAAAATGCAGCTGTGATAAGTGCTGTGACACAAGAAACAGCAGGAGATGGTAGGAATGCAGAGGGAGGCACCTAATCCAATTGGAATAGTCAAGACGTGGCAAAATGCTCCAAAGGAAGAGATTCCTGAACTGAATGTTAAAAGACATGGGAAGTTAGGCACTGGGAGAAGGCTAGAGGCAAAAGAGATCATGGAGCTCAAAGTGCAAAGTAGCGAGAAAGTCTGGAGTGGTATAAACTAAGAAAAGAAAAATAATGTGATCACACACATGTGCTGCAGTGTTGAAATACTTTATGGTGCAGCCAGCAATGAATTGGCTGTCATAGCCAATTGTGTTTATGTCAATAGTTTGAAATCAGCCATGGTAGGAGTATTTACACCATGGAAATCAGCAAAGCTACAAATGAGGGACTTTTTCCCTCAGAGATTTACCAGGGTAGCAGGACGAGCTGCAGACAAAACTCCTGACACCGAGTTAAAGAAGGAAGTGGTTTATTCGGCCAGGAACATTGGGAAAGACTCCTGTCTCAAGAGCCGAGCTCCCCAAGTGAGCAATTCCTGTCCCTTTTAAGGGCTCACAACTCTAAGGGGATCCGCGTGAGAGGGTCGTGATCGATTGAGCGAGCAGGGGGTACATGACAGGGGCTGCATGCACCAGTGGTCAGAGTGAAACAGAACAGACCAGGAAGTTTCACAATGTCTTTTCTATACAATATCTGGAATCTATAGATAACATAACCGGTTAGGTCAGGTGTCGATCTTTAACTACCAGGCTTAGGTCAGGCAGGCCCAGGCCTGGTTTCGGGTCTGGTTCCTAGGCGCCGGGCTACCTGCCTTTTGTTTCGCTTTTCTTTTCTTTTCTGAGTATAAAACAATATAAAACAATATGAGAGGGTCTGTGCCTCTTCTTTCACCAGCACCGCTGGTCCCAGGCTATAAACACCTGAAGATGACTTTTTTTTGTTTTGTTTTGTTTTGAGCCCGAGTCTTGCTCTGTTGCCCAGGCTGGAGTGCAGTGGGGTGATCTTGGCTCACTGCAACCTCCACCTCCCGGGTTCAGGCAATTCTCCTGCCTCAGCCTCATGAGTAGCTGGGACTACAGGCGCACGCCTCCACGGCCGGCTAATTTTTTGTATTTTATTTTTTAGTAGAGACGGGGTTTCACTGTGTTGCCCAGGCTGGTGTGTAGCTTCTGAGCTCAGGCGATCTGCCTGCCTCTGCCTCCCAAAATGCTGGTATTACGGGTATGAGCCACGGCACCCAGCCCAAGATGACGTTTATATCTTCTCCTGATGTTGTCTCACAGAGGCTAAAATATCTTTATTTTAAAATTTCTCTTGCAGATTGTTTCTGGCCTTGAATTATTTTTCCTTGAAATTTCATTCACTCCACAAACCTATCTACATGGTGCCATGTTTGTGGTGGGTGCTGCAGATATGACCCCACCAGGAAGTCATGGCACCTCCTGTCATATACTCCCAGGAACCCGGGGCCAGCTTTCTTGTTCTCCATCTGAACTTTGTAGGGCATTTCACCAGGAACTTTAAAGTAGCCAGATGGCTATCAGGAAAGAAACGTTCCTTAGCCTGTGGCATTGTGTTTTTTTTTTAAATTGAATAATGCATTAACATTGATGGAGTCACAGCTGGCTCCAGGGTGCCTCCCGTCCGGCTCCCACAGGAGGTTACAATAGGAGTTGGCAAACTTTCCAAAGTACTCCATCAAGTCCATGTGTAACTATTCTCCCATTCAAATTTTCTTCTCCCTGCAGTGGTAGGTTCAGACCATCTTCAAACATCAACAATTGTTTTCAAGTAGCCACTAAGCTAAGCTAAGCTGACTAAGAAGACATACTTGTCCGTGAGGGAAGCCAGGACCCATTCATAAATAAAAATAAAAACAAAAATAAATAAGAATAGTACTTAGAAAATCATAAAAGTGGGAGGAACTATTTAATGCCTCCATTCTGTGTGTTGTATTTTCACTTTCTTGATGGTGTCCTTTGAGGCACGTAAGTTTTTAATTTTGATAATGTCCAGTTTATTTTTTCTTTTGTTTTAACTTTTTGTGTCATATCTATGAAATACATATATATATAGCTTTATACAATTGCTTTTTCAATCATTTAATGAGGGAGAAGAAATATACTATCTTTTATAATTACATAATTACCTTTATTGGTACTCTTTGCTTTTTCATTTGAATTTTAATTACCATATAGGGTCAGTTGCTTTCAGTTTGAAGAACTTTCTTTAGCATGTCTTATAAGGCAGGTCTACTAGCAAAAGATTATCTCATCTTTTGTTCATCTAGGAATGTCTTTATTCCACCTTCATTTCTGAAAGACAGTTTTGCTGGATATAACTTCCTGGTTGACATATTTTTTTAATTTTAGCACTTTGAATATATCATCCACTGTTTTCTAACTTTTTTTTTTTTTTTTTTTTTTTTTGAGACAGGGTCTCACTCTGTGACCCAGACTGGAGTGCAGTGGTATGATCACAGCTCACTGCAGCCTCAACATCCCAAGCTCAAGCAATCCTCTCACCTCAGGCTCTGGAATAGCTGGGACCACAGGTTGCACCATCACACCTGGCTAATTTTTTAAAATTTTCATAAAGACAAGGTCTCACTACGTTTCCCAGGGTGATCTTGAACTCCTGGGCTCAAGTGACCCTCCTGCCAAAGCCTCCCAAAATGCTGGGATTACAGGTGTGAGCCACCATGCCTGGCCTGTTATTTCTTGTAAGGAGTCATCTGCTCATCTTACTGAGGTTCTCTTATATGTGATAAGTCATTTGTTCTTGCTGCTCTCAAAATTAATCTGTGTCTTTCAGCATTTTTGCTATGATATATAAGTGTGCACCTCTTTGTTTTTATCCTACCTGGAATTCACTGAGCTATGTGAATATGAAAATCAATATTTTTCATTTAATTTGGGAAGTTTTCAGCTATTATTTCTTCAAACCTTTTTTCTGTTCCTCTCTTCTCTGTTTTTGTTTTTTTTTGTTGTTGTTGCTTGTTTGTTTGTTTGTTTGTTTTGAGTTGGAGTCTTGCTCTGTTACCCAGGCAGGAGTGCAGTGGCACGATCTCAGCTCACTGCAACCTCTGCCTCCTGGGTTCAAGCAATTCTCCTGCCTCAGCCTCCTGAGTAGCTGGGACTACAGGCATGCGCCACCATGCCTGGCTAATTTTTGCATTTTTAGTAGAGACAGGGTTTCACCATGTTGGCCAGGCTGGCCTTGAACTCCTGATCTCAAGTGATCCGCCCACCTCAGCCTCCCAAAGTGCTGGGATTACAGGTGTGAGCCACCGCACCTGGCCATCTTCTGCTTTTGAAACTACCATCACTTAATGCACTTAATGACAACCCACATTCTCTGAGGCTGTTCATTTTTTTTAATTCTTCTTTCTCTCTGTTCTTCAGATTGCATAATCTCTATTGATCTATCTTCAAGTTTGCTGATTCTCTCTTCTGCCAGTTTAGACCTACTGTTGAGCTACTCTAGTGAATTTTTCATTTTAGTTATTATATTTTTCACTTCCAGAACTTCCATTTTGTTATTTTTTTCTATCTCCTTATTGACATTTTTCATTGGATGCAACATTATCATTGTCACGCGCATCCGTGTGAAGAGACCACCAAACAGGATTTGTGTGAGTAACAGGGCTGTTTATTTCACCTGGGTGCAGGTGGCTTGAGTCCAAAAACAGTCAGCGAAGGGAGATAGGGGTGGGGCCGTTTTATAGGATTTGGGTGGGTAGTGGAAAATTACAGTCAAAGGGGGTTGCTCTCTTGTGGGCAAGGGTGGGGGTCACAAGGTGCTCAGTGGGGGAGCTTCTGAGCCAGGAGAAGGAATTTCACAAGGTTAATCGCTCAGTTAAGGTGGGGCAGAAACAAATCACAATGGTGGAATGTCATCAGTTTAGGCAGGAACTAGCCATTTTCACTTCTTTTGTGATTCTTCACTTGCTTCAGGCCATCTGGATGTATACATGCAGGTCACAGGGGATATGATGGCTTAGCTTGGGCTCAGAGGCCTGACAATCATCATATCTTTCTTTACTACTTTAAGCATGTTTATTTTTCTTTGAGATCTTTGAACACTGAATGCATGAACATAATGGTTGCTTTGAAGTCTTTATTAAATCTGACATCAGAGCCCTCTCACAGGCAGCTCCTGTTGCCTAAATTTTCCCTGTGGGCTGATCACACTTTTCTGTTTCTCTGCATGTCTCATAATTTTTTGGTGAAAACTAGATGCTTTCAGTTACATACTGCTGTAGGCACTGATACCCTTCTCCCTCTGTGGGGCTTGTTTTTGTTGTTTGCTTAGTGATTTGGCTGGAATATTTTAGTGAAGTCTAATTCCCCCACAGTGTGAAGCCTCTAGTGCCACTCCTCAAAGAATACAGACTTAGGTCTGTGCCCAGTTACCCTTGAATAACAGGGGTTTTAGCAAGACTCTGTCTCTTTCCCTGACCTGTTAAACTGTCTGCCTCATTTGGTATCACACCCAGCTTTTAGGCTCTACCAGTTGCTGGCTGATTGCTCACTTATGCCCTGAAGCATAAATGGTGCTACAGTCTGATTTAATGAAATCCAGATCTCTGCAGGAGTAGATTTTGAAGCTAGTCTTTGAGGTTTGTTCAAACCCCAGGAAGTCTCTTTTTGCTGTTTCCCTGTTTCTCTCAAATAAAATAGCAGGCCTATGGCTTAGCTTGTTGCTATCAAGAATTACCAGCCTCCTCTTAATTGCTTCCCCCCCAAATTTTTGTTGTTGTCAAGAGCACGCTAGACTTGAACTTCTCACACTTTGTTTCAAGTAAAGCCAGTCCCTTTGGAAAGAGCTTCAGAGATTTCTGTTCTTATAGACTGCCTCTTCTCCTGGGCAAAATCTCTAAGCCATGGCTTCAGACTCTTGGTGGAGGTGATAGCCTCTCATCTTCTAGGCTTGCTGCTTCCTGAATGGAACCTCCTCTCTATCAGCAAGGTGGAGTGAGAGTGATCAGGGTCCCAGTATTCTCAGTCTGCTGCATCTGTGGAGGGGCATCTTTTTATGAATGAGAACTGAGTGGAAGAAGAAAGCCCCTGACCTCTTAGCTGCACTTGCCAGGAATTTAGCTTCTGCAACTCAGAGCTGGAAATGATGAAAAATGCTGGTGACCTGTTCCTCATGGTAATATACTGTATTCCTTTACTTGGAGCAGAGGGAAGTGGAAGCCCCATCTTCCTGGCCACACCTTCTGGATGGAGCTTCTGTCACTCTGAGTTGAAGGCAGGGCAAGGAGCAATGAGAAATGGAGGGGGTCATGGCTCAAGTGCCACAAATTCTTATTATTATTACTGAGATTTAGTAGATTTTCTTGAATAAGCATTTCTTCGTTTGTTGTGTGTCTTGGGACAATTCACAGAGACTTTATTTTCTTTTCCTTTTCTTTTTCATTGTTTTAAATTTAAAATTATAGTGAAAATAGAGACAGAGTCTCACTATGTTGCCCAGGCTGGTCTCAAACTCCTGGGCTCAAGTGATCCTCCCACCTCAGCTTCCCAAAGTTCTGGGATTACAGGCATGAGCCACCATGCCTGGCCAATTTGCGGAGACTTTAAATGATTGCTTAATAATTTTTACCAGTTAAGGTTGTTTCATTGGGGAATGGGTCTGTGGGGGCTCCTTACTCCACTATTCCAGAAGCAGGACCTCTTTCATTTAACATGTAAAATGTACTTTCCACCCTTTTCTACTCTCTTCTTTTTCCTAGGAAGCTAAAATGTATGGGCTACATCAATAAGGCTCCATGCCTTCAGGCTTCCAGTTGCCAATAAATGCCCCAGTAGGAGACCGGAGGGAGGAAGGAGGATGAGATCAGAGTGTTTATTCCCTTGGCTCCCTTCAGTTGTGCAGCCTTCTTTGCATGACTGTCTCCTTCTCATTTCCAGTTGCTATTCCCTTCCCTGTCTCTTCTGGCTAGAAGTAGTTACTTCACTATCCCTTGCGACTCCCCTACACATTGCTTATACCTTTATGTAAGGGGAATGGCTGCGCTTTAGTCAGGAATAGGCCAAGGCAGCCTTTTGGCACAGCATGACTCAAACAGGTTTGGAGCGCAGGCACACAACTCTGCACGTTATGTAGCCACACCACATGAGGCGCTTTAGGTAACCACTCACGTGTGCTCGTGCTTGACTGAGCCACTATTGTTTGTAAAAGGTATAACTACCCAGCTGACACTGTACATATGGCTTTTGCCCCTGGCTTGTGCCCACAGCTCACACCGAGGTTGGTGCCCAAGCTCGCTTGCATCCAGAGAGACAGAGAAAATGCTATGTGAAAACTTGCTATGATTCCTTGAGTGTTCTTTCAGCTGGCCACCACTTGTCCACTGACTCCCCTCAGACCTCAGTTAGAACATGACAATTGGCATCACGAACACAATCCCAGAGTGAGTGAGTCTTTGGTCCCCACTGAGTCCAGGTTGGCCATGTGACCGCAACATGGATGGTGGTACCCAGTGGCAGCTGTGCTGCTCAAATGGGCTCTAGTGGAAACCTGGGCAGTGGTAGATAGGCCCCCTGCGAGCATGGAGAAGGCGCTGAAGCATCTGGAAGCACAGAGCACTGAGAAGGGGTGAGCCTTTCCGACAGAGTCGAATGGGTGTTTTTGACTGCACTATGAGAGGTACACACCCAGTCCCTGAGGGATGCAGCAGAGGTAAGGGCCTCCCAGGTGCCAGAAGGCCTGGTTACGCAGCTCAGAAGTGTTAGAAGCTGCCATGAATAGGGACCTCCAGGCATAGGCGGAGTGCCTGGAGGCCTGGCCACAGAGCTTGGAAAAGGAATTAGAAGCTGCTGTGAATGCTATCCTGGGTCCGTCATCTTGGCCAGAGAGACTCCCACTTGGTCTGGGTTTGCACCATAAAGAAGGAGAAGATGCCCCACTCGCAGGGGGCCCCCCCATGGGAGGAAAGGGGGTCCCACTGAGTGACACGCTTACAGATGTGGGTAGATTTGATTTTGGCTGGGGTTGACTGAGAGAAAATTAATAAGCAGCCCAATGAAGTACTATTAACTTTGTGGAGACAGTTGTCTCCAGAGCAGCAATTCCAGAAAATGTCCAAGGGGAAGAAGGACACTGCTGCGTGACCTGGTCCCACCTGGGTGCTTCAGCTCAAAGACTATGTGCTGCAGCCAGACAGGGGTGTAAAGCCTTTTGTGTTTGATGAGGGAGCTGGCCGAGGTGCCCGGCTTGGGGGAACACCGGATGACAGGAGGCCACATGTGAAATTAGCAATTCACTGGTCCCCCACCAACGTACAGCAAGTGCTGGTGCTGGTAGACACCAGTGCAGATGTATTCTGCGGGTGGATGTTTTACACAGCTTGGCAGCTATGCCATCAATCGTGGATTTGATGGACTGTTTGATGATAGAACTGGAACCGTACCACTGTGTGGTGGACTTGGCTAATGCATTCTTTTCCAAAAAGCCAGGAACAGCTTACCTTCACGGGAAGGCGACTGTGGGCTTTCACAGTGCTGCCGGAGGGCTATATGCAGAGCCTCACCATATGTCATGGTCTTGTTAATGATATTATGCTAACCTCTGATTCTCTTGCAGATTTAGAAGTGGCAATGCTCCCCTTGCCTAGAATTAAGATGATGAGGCTGAGACAGCCTTTCTGGCAGCCAAGCAGGCTATTCAGCAGGCACAGGCCCTACTGGTAATTAACCAGGGGCACCTATTTAAACTTGATGTGCATGTGACCACAGATAGTTTTGTCTGGGCCTATAGCAGCACATGGAGAGCTTGAGAACGCCAGTAGGCTTTTCATCCCAACTATGGAAAGGAGTTGAGCTCCAGTATTCATTGATAGAGAAGTAGTCAGTAACTGCATATGCTGCCCGTCAGGTTTATGAGAGCATGGTAGGACAGGCTACAGTCATTGTGCAGACAACTTACCCAATAGCGGAATGAGTGTGTTCATGGATAACAACCCCCTGGATGGGGAAAGCAGTTAGTAACTGCATATGCTGCCCTTCGGGCTCATGAGAGCATGGCAGGATGGGGACGGGCTACAGTCGTTGTGTGGACAACTTACCCGAGAGCGGGATGGATGAGTTCATGGATAACAGCCTCCCAAACGGGGCGGTGCAGACATCCACTTTGGCAAAGTGGGGTGCCTACTTGGAGCAGTGGCGTACGCTGAGCACAAGTCCCTTAGCAGTAGAGTTGCAAGAGATCTTGGGACCTGTAGTCCTAATGCAAGACAAGGCCATGGGGCCTGAGGCACCTTTAGACCCTGAACCTTCACCATTTAAGGAAGGGCGTCCCCCTATTCCCAATGGGGTATGATACACAGATGGGTATGATACACAGATGGGTCCCCCCATACCCAGTGGGGTATGATACTGCTGCCTGGACCACTCTTGCGGTCCAACCTAGTACTGACACCATGTGATTTGAAACTGGATGTGGACAGAGTAGTCCATGGGCTGAACTTAGAGCAGTATGGATGGTGATCACCAAGGAGGTGACACCTGTGATAATCTTTACCAATAGCTGGGAGGTCTATCGAGGCTTAACCTTGTGGTTAACTACCTGGAAAATACAGAAGTGGCTAGTTGGCCAGTGAACCATATGGGGCTAAGCAATGTGGCAAGACCTCTGGGAAATGGGTCATCAGAAAGAGGTAACTATCATCTGTCAGGCCATATGCCTTTGGCCACCCCTGGCAATGATGAGACAGATGCTTTGGCCAAGGTCTGATGGTTAGAGACAGCACCTACTTGAGATGTGGCCTTGTGGCTACACTGGAAACTGGGGTTAAACTAATGCAACAGGTCAATAAGTGTTGGGGTCTGTCCCTGCCCATGCAAGATATTTGGGAGGCTTGTCAGAAATGCCCAGCATGTGCTCAGGCATACCCTAAATGGAGACCGCTACCCAGTGTTACACAGCAAGTAGTGATACAGCGAGTGCCCTTAACCAGGTAGCAAGTAGACAAGATCAGGCCCCGATGGATTTTGTGCCCCCTGGGAGTTTATGGGTCTGTGGTGACACAGGGTGTCCTTACCTACCAGTGGACTGGACTGAATATTGTACCTAGGGGTGGCCTTATGTACCTGCCACTGTTCTCCCCAGATGCCCATCCCAATAATGGGGAGGCACTACATTCTCAGTTTTTGCCAGTGCAACAAGCCCCCTGGTGGTTCTACCCCTTGGCAATGACTGTTCTTGGAGCGGGTGTCATAACTGTAGAAGCACAAGTTACTGCTCTTGCAGAGCACACCGCTTGGGCTCTGAATCACACCCAAGTGGCTCTCCTCCTGTTAACAGATGAGGTTGATCAGATCAGAAAGGTGGTGTTGCAAAACTGAATGGCCTTAGACTTAATGACTGCTGTCCAAGGAGGCACCTGTGCTCTTTTAGGAACACAGTGTGGTACCTTTATCCCTGACAATTGGCAGAACATAACAGCAGCCCTGCAAGGAGTCTCACGGGAGATTAAGGTAGTCAGGAGCCTTACTGACAACCCCCTGCAGGGTGGGCATCCCTGGGCTCTAGCCTATGCTGGGCCCTAATAGTCAAAAGTAGCATAGCTGGGATCCTAGTAGTGAGCTATTGCTCTCCGTGTGGTTGTTGTGGGTTATGGATTCAGGGCTCCAGTCTCTGGGCATGTGTCCCTGCCTGGAGGATGGCCTTGGCCTAGGGGGTGGAGTATAAGGGTCCAGTCTCTGGGCACTTGTCCCTTCCTGGAGGATGGCCTTGGCCTGGGGGTGGAGTATAAGGGTAATGGTTCTGCTTTAGTCAGGAATAGGCTGAAGTGGCCTTCCAGCACAGCATGACTCAGCAGGTTTGGAGCACAGGTGCACAACTCTGCACGTTATGTAACCATGCCATGTGAGGCACATTAGGTAACCAGGTGTGCTCTTGCTTGGCTCAGAGCCATTATTGTCTGTAAAAGGTGTAACTATCCAGCTGATGCTATACATACAGCTTGCGCCCACCACTTGTACCCATGGCTTGTGCCCAAGCTCACTTGTGCCCAGAGAGAAAAAGCCATGTCGAAAATCCCTATATGATTCCTTGAGTGTTCTTTCAGCTGCCCGCCACTGGTCCACCAACTCCCCTCAGACCTCAGTTAGAACATGACACTTTAAAATCATCCCTGGCCAGGTGTGGTGGCTCACGCCTGTGATCCCAACACTTTGGGAGGCTGAGGCAGGCAGATCACGAGGTCAAGAGGTGGATCACAAGGTCAAGAGATTGAGACCATCCTGGCCAACATGGTGAAACCGTGTCTCTACTAAAAATACAAAAATTAGCTGAGCATGGTGGCGCACACCTGTAGTCCCAGCTACTCGGGAGGATGAGGCAGGAAAATCGCTGAAACCCAGGAGGCAGAGGTTGCAGTGAGCTGAGATCGTGCCACTGCACTCCAGCCTAGTGACAGAGCTAGACTCCATCTCAAAGAAAAAAAAATCATCCCTTTGTGAAAAACAAAGCAAAACCCGAAAAAACGCATCCTTGAATTATCCTAATTGTGCTATTTTCTGTTGTGAGCCTGATCGGTACATTACCCTTTTCTTCTTCAAGCACTCTATTAGATATTCTTCAGAAATCTACATTAATGTATGAAATAAGATGGACATAGGTTCTAATACCTGTTCTGGAAGCTAATTATTGGGGAAAGTTCTTTAGCTTCTTTGAGCTTCAATTTCCTTATCTGTACTATGGATGTCTGATAGTTGTTGTAAGGATTAAATGAGATGATGTGTATAAAATGACTGGCATGTTATCTGCGGTAGACCCGAATATGCTGCACTATATCCCTCTTCAAGGAGGACTAGTTGCCCTAATTGATGAGGGTGTTGCCAGCAGACAAATTCTAGCTGTCATCTCCTTTAGGATTTGCCCTAGTTGCTTAGCGAGCTGCTTTACCCAAGGCCTTGCCGTTCTTGGAGCAGCTCATGTGAGGTGACTGAGCAAGGCATGGGTATAAAAGTTTGGCCATTTTGGCCCACCATGGGAAACACTGATGGGTTATGTATGTTCCAGAGGTCCCCATGGATTGGCTGAAGCTTTGTCAGACCTATATAGCTTTCAGGCTTTCCCTCTGTTCAGTGTTTCTTCCTTCTAAGGAATTGGTGCCAGGAATGACCCAAAAATGCAGGTGGTAAGATGGGATTTTAAACCTGGATCACTCACCACCTTGTTGGCCATAAGGAACTCATCACTGGTGATAGAAGGAGCAGAGACAACACCTGGCACAAGGTTGTTAAAACTCTTACCAGTGGCTGGGTGCGGTGGTTCACACTTGTAATCCCAGCACTTTGGGAGGCCTAGGCAGGTGGTTCACCTGAGGTCACAAGTTTGAGACCAGCCTGGCCAACATGGTGAAATCCTTTCTCTACTAAAAATACAAAAACTAACTGGGCGTGCTGGTGGTGCATGCCTGTAATCCCAGCTACTCAGGGGGCTGAGGCAGGAGAATCGCTTGAACCCAGGAGGCAGAAGTTGCAGTGAGCTGAGATCACGCGACTGCACTCCAGCCTGGGCAGCAGAGTGACGCTCCGTCTCAAAAGAAAAAAAACCAAAAACCTCTTACCCGTGATGAATTAGGGTTTTTTTAGACATGGAGGGGAATTCACTAGCTGGTTCAATGTATTCAGCATTTGGGAGGTATAGGAGAAACTAACTGTTTCTATTATGGAAATCGAGTGACTATAATGGAATTGAGTGACTATTGCTAAATTCATGGATATGTTAGAAAAAGACAATAAAAAGCTGCAGGCATTTAACAGGCAATGAAAGCCAAATGTGAAAGCTTACAAAGAGGCTTTCAATTCCTACAGCAAGAAGGCAGAAAAAGCTGAAGACCTGAGCTGGGAATTAATACAGCCATCAAGCTCCAGAGAAAATTAAATGACCACGATAGGTCCAATACGCTAAGGTTAGTAGAACTCTGGCACTTAGGATGGGGACATGTGGGTATATTTTGAACTCCCAGACTCCTCTAAATCCTCTGAGCATTCAGAAGTTGTGCCCTTCTCCTCTTAAGAGCTAGCACCCCCACCTCCCTCGCTTGTTTGAAGGCAATGCAGAGAACTCAGACCCTCAAGATAAAATGTGCCTCCCTCATGTTGTGCCAAACCCCTATCAACTCCAGTGGGGATGGCACCAGGTTCAAGAGGCCAAAAAAGAGACCCAGAGCCAGCAAATGAGACATGGGGTTTTACTGGGGGCTTACATACAGGGGAGAGTCCAGCAGCGGCGGGCTGGACAAGAGAACAGGTCCAGTGGTGGTGAACAGGTCCAGTGGTGGTAGGCTGGGCGGGAGAATTGCAGCCGCTTGCAAAAGGCCTGCAGTTTCTATAGCATGTTCACTTAGTACCCTCCCCCTAACAACCTCCACCTGACAACCTTCATTTAACCCTAAACCCAATGCTTTGATCCCCTGTACAGCCCGTGTTCCACGGGATGCGCCAGAGGCTCAAATGTTCCTCATTGACAAGAAACGAGTCTGTGGTTTGGCCACTTCCCAATTCCCTAGCTCAGAACACACATTCAGGTGTGTTTGCCATACAGGGTCATTCTCAGGGTAAGCTTAAGTTATTGCTGTCAGGTGTTCTTACCATACACCTCTGGATCTGCCCCACCTCTGTTGCTAACCACAAGGACTACAACTAGAGTTAAGTCATGGGCCGGGCCACAGTGGCTCATGCCCATAATCCCAGAGCTTTGGGAGGCAGAGGCAGGAGAATTGCTTGAGGCCAGGGGTTTGAGACCAGCCTGCACAACATAATGAGACCTTCATCTCTGCAAAAAAAATAATAAATAAATAAAATAAAATAAAATTACCTGAGCATGGTGATGCACCTCTGTAGCCCTAACTACTTGAGAGGCTGAGGTGGAAGGATCCCTTGAGCCGTGGAGTTTGAGGCTGCAGTGAGCTATTATTGCACCACTGCACTCCAGCCTGTGTGACAGAGAAAGACCTGATCTCTTTAAAAACAAACAAACAAAAAACCCAGAAATTTATTCTCACACGGTTCTGTTGGTCAGAAATCTGAAATCATTTTCACTCAGCCAAAATTAAGGTGTCAGGCCAAGGTCATATGTAATGCGTGTGATTACATTTAGGGCCCACCCAGGATAATCTCCTCACTGCAAGATCCTTAACTTAATTACACCTGCAAAGACACTGTTTCCATATAAAATAACATTTACAGGTTTCAAGGATTGGGATCTAACATCTTTAGCGGCTACTAGTCAACCTACTACAGGGGCAAATCTGGGTTTTCTCTCTTGTCTCAACAAGGAAGTGTGGTCTTTGGAAAGGAGTAAGGAGACAGAGACTTTGTTTGCACAGTGACACAATGAAGAAGTTGTGTTTTGGGTGGTAGGTATTTACTTATTTATTTATTTAGAAATAGAGTTTCACAGCCTGGCGCGGTGGTTCACGCCTGTAATCCCAGCACTTTGGGAGGCCAACGTGGGTGGATCAGGAGGTCAGGAAATTGAGACCATCCTGGTTAACACGGTGAAACCCTATCTCTACTAAAAATGCAAAAAATTAGCCGGGTGTGGTGGCGGGTGCCTGTAGTCCCAGCTACTCGGAAGGCTGAGGCAGGAGAATGGTGTGAACCTGGGAGGCGGCGCTTGCAGTGAGCCGAGATGGTGCCACTGCACTCCAGCCTGGGTGACAGAGCGAGACTCCGTCTCAAAACAAAACAAAAAAACGAAATGGAGTTTCACTCTTTCACCCAGGCTGGAGTGAAGTCATGCCATCTCAGCTCACTGCAACTTCTGCCTCCTGGGTTCAAGTGATTCTTATGCCTCAGCCTCCCAAGTAGCTGGGATTACAAGTATGCACCACCATGCCTGGCTAATTTTTGTATTTTTAGTAGGGACGGGGTTTCTCTATGTTGGCCAGGCTGGTCTTGAACTTCTGACCTCAGGTGATCTGCCCGCCTCAGCCTCCCAAAGTGCTGGGATTACAGGCGTGAGCCACCACACCCGACCAGTAGTTAATATTTTAAAAGAAGATTTGGTTTGTCATGTGATGTTTCATTCTGCAGGAGCTGAAGGACGCAAGAGTCTCCAAATGATGTGTAGCTTTTCAAAGATCTCGTGCTTCCTCTTCCATGATGAGGGAGTTCTACAAGGAGGTAGAAGTTTAAAGAGACCAAGAAAATGGTTAGGGAGAAGAGGGAGGGAGACCAAAGAGAGGCAGAGAGAGAGAAAATGCAATTGGTCAAATGTTTCCTGGGACTGATCTGCATTCACACACCCTCCCAGTTGATCTAGGCATTGTGTTTATTCTTCCCAGGTGATGGAGAGGTGTTCCTGCGGGTGACTGTAATTACAGGCTATAGGAGGTGGGGTACAGATAGTCAGAGATTGTTAAAATCAGCTCTGTCCATTCAGCAGAGAGGATAGTTCACACATGCTAATATTTCATGCACCAGAGACTTCACTAGATGCTGGTGCTTAAGCTAGGCTGTGTAGGCTGAGAAGTATTCAGACAAGTTATGAGAAGAGTGTTCAGGCAGGGCCAGTGGCAGAGGTAAGGAAAATCAGCCAGGCGCGGTGGCTCACACCTGTAATCACAACACTTTGGGAGGCCTGAGGTCAGGAGTTCGAGACCAGCCTGGCCAACATGGCAAAACCGTCTTTACTAAAAATACAAAAATTAGCCAGGCACCGTGGGGGGGCGCCTGTAATCCCAGCTACTTGGGAGGCTGAGGCAGGGGAATTGCTTGAGCCCTGGAGGCAGAGGTTGCAGTGAGCTGAGAACACACCACTGCACTCCAGCCTGGGCTACAGAGTGAGACTCCGTTTCAAAAAAGAAGTAAGGAATCTCAGAGGTACTAGGACTCTTGGAGAAAGACATTTCTAGAGCATAGCACTAGTGGGGGGCAGTGGATTAATCTACCCTTTCAGCCTGATAATCTAGCCCCAAGCACTATTAGACACATTACTTAAGGAAGCAGTTAATAACTTCACACAGCATTTCAACTTGGTGGGTCAGTCCTAAGTGTGAATTTTGTTTTTCTTCACTGACTCTAACACAGTTATTGTCTTTTTGGTCCAATATTATCAAATTTCATTACCTTGTTAATCGCCAGATTTTTTTTTTCATTTTTAAATAAGTGAAGCATATGTGGAATTCTAAAGAACTCAGCTCATTTATTTCCTTTGAAAAATCTTATTCCTGCACCAATAAACATCATTATAATGCACCCAGCCAATTTCATTTCAGAACAAGTTGGTACATTACTCAAGTATTGATCACTTGCTTTGTCATCTTATCAGTTAATTATTGTTATGGTTACAAGTTCCTCAGACTTGAGGCTTGGTGATATTTTCTCTTTCTTCTGGATCAGCACATGGAGTACAGCACACAGCCCATAATAGGCCATTAATAAGTGTTAATTGATATTTCATACCTGAGTTGGGCCAAAGCATCAAATTCTTTATGTCAAGGTACAGTTTTAACCTAAATGTAATAATAATAGTATAATAAGCCTTAACTTTAGCCTCAAAGTCATTAAAAATCTAACTTTTTGGAACACTCATTTTTAGCTTATTATCTTTTTTTGTAACAAATGCCATTGTCAGAGGAGTGTGAACCAGAGCAACTCCATCTTAAATAGGGGCTGGGTAAAATAAAGCTGAAGCCTACTGGGCTGCATTCCCAGACTGTTAGGCATTCTAAGTCACAGAATGAGATAGGAGGTCGGCACAAAATACAGGTCATAAAGACCTTGCTAATAAAACGGGTTGCCAGTAAAGAAGCCAGCCAAAACCCATGAAAACCAAGATGGCGACAAGAGTAACCTCTGGTCGTCCTCACTGCTACACTCCCAACAGCGCTGTCACAGTTTATAAATGCCATTGGCAACGTCAAGAAGTTACCCTATATGGTCTAAAAAGGGAAGGTATGAATAATCCACTCCTTGTTTAGCATATAAGCAAAAAATAACCATAAAAATGGACAACCAGCAGCCCTTGGGGCTTCTCTGTCTATAAAGTAGCCATTCGTTATTCCTTTACTTTCCTAGTAAACTTGCTTTTACTTTATAAACTCACCCTGAATTATTTCTTGCTTGAGATCCAAGAACCCTCTCTTGGGGTCTGGATTGGGACCCCTTCCCTGTAACACAATGACTCATTTTGTTTATAATATAGGCAAAATTATAGAATGCTGGAATTGTGAGGAATTTTAGGGATAATCTAGCCTAAAGCTCTCATTTTATACCACGGGAAACTGAGGACCAAAGACATAAAGTAAAAGTTGGGTGTGGTGGGTCAGATCTATAATCTGGGCTTGAGGCCACGAGACCAGCCTAGGCAAGAGAACCTGTCTCTTGAAGAATTTTTTTTTTAATTTTAATTAGCCAGACCTGGTAGCATGACTGCAGTGCCAGCTACTTGGGAGGCTGAGGTAGGGGGATCACTTGAGATCAGTAGATCGAGGCTGCAGTGAGCTGCGATCATGCCACTGCACTCCAGCCTGGGCGACAGAGGAGACTCTGACTCAAAAAAAAAGAAGTGACGTGCCCAGGGTCATACAATGGGGATCTGAGCTGGAGGAAGGGGCAGGTCAGCTGAGCAGCTGACCAAGACCCCAGTTTATAACAGATGCCAAAACATCCCTGGGTACCAAAGTATTGCTAGAAATTTAACAAGGTGGGCAAAATTGTGTATATCAGAACTCTTCTGGGACAGAGTACTCTAGTTGTTGTAAGGAATACTGTGATGAATAATGAAAGATGAGAATGAACAACAATGAATGTTCACTCAGCAGTTTCCTAAGGAGATGGGGTTGGACAAACAAACGGCTTTTGTTTTGCAGAATGGAGTATGCAAGTTTGAGTCCAGGCTGAATTGCCCTGGAAAATAAAGGTGAGGGTTAGTACTGCTACCTCTGGTGCTCCTTCCAGCCCTTCCCCTTCATGGCACTCAGCTGTCCTCTAACTCATGGTTGAACAACAGTTAAAGAAAGCTGATTTGATGTAAGTGTGCTAGTGTCTCTTAGCTACACCTTTTATAGCTGAGCCTAAACTCTGAGAAGCTGGGGCTAGGACTTGTAAACCACACTTTGCCTTTGCCAGCCTTGCCCCGTTAGACTCTGCTGTAAAGGGCCCTAGAGAAAGCTGGAACACTGGCGGAGGGAGAGGGAATCTGTTGCTTCTGTTTGCCTCCTGTCGTGTCAGCAACCCCCAGCAAAGGCCATTCACCTTGACAACAGCAGTTGGTGCCAGTTTCCAGATTTAGGAAGGCTCTCTGAGAACATGCCCAGATGCAAAGCTTCTAGGTTTTGACAACCCTATCCTCTTCCCTTTATTCCCCCACCCCTGGGGGGAGGTAGCTGCTTATAGTAATTCTCTCTGTTATCTCCTTACTCTCTTTTTTCAGTCCTCTAGTGCCTATTTAACTAATTCCCTATATTACATTCTCTCTGTTAAAGTGTCTGGTGTGAATTCTGTTTCTGAAGGGACTCAACTGCTGAAAGGTGCCATTAACTTGCTCAGGGTTCCTCCAAGTCAATCCAATCCTAAATGGGAATAATAATAGCTATCATTTATTTGAGGACCTACTATGTGCTCAGCACTTAAATAAATTCTGTCATTTAATCCTCAAAACAACTCTGGGGTGTATTACACCTATTTTAACAGATGACAAACAGGCTCAGAGAGGTTTAAATAGGTTATTTATAGTTACCAAGCTTGTTAGTGATAGAGTGGGAATTCAAACTTGCATTTTTCTGACTGCCAAACCTATGCTATTTTTTAGTTTAATTTTTAAATATACTTTCTGATATGGTTTGGCTGTGTCCCCCTCCAAATCTCACCTTGACTTGTAATAGTCTCCACATATCAAAGGTGGGGCCAGGTGGAGATAATTTAATCATGGGGGCGGTTTCTCCCATACTGTTCTTGTGGTAGTAAGTGTCCCAAGATCTGGTGGTTTCATAAATGGGAGTTCCCCTGCACAAGCCCTCTTGCCTGCCGCCATGTTAGACGGGTCTTTGCTCCTCCTTTGCCATCCGCTGTGATTATGAGGCCTCCCCAGCCATGTGAAACTGAGTCCGTTAAACCTCTTTTTCTTTATAAATTACCCAGTCTCCAGTATGTCTTTATTAGCAACATGAGAACAGACCAATACACTTTTTTTATTAGAAGAGTATTTTATATTCTTTATAATAAGTTGAACAATAAAAAGTTAACATATAAAATACATGTTAATTTCTCCCTTCTTCCCTGTAATACCTTCACCACTCCCGTATCACCATTCCCCAGCCCACGCCCCAGTTAACCAGTATTAACACCATATTGTGTAACTTGTCACACTTTTTTTCACTAATACAAAAATATAAGCATACAAAGGCCTTATTTTTCCTTAATTTAATTTAATTTATTTTATTTCTTTTAGAGACCAGGTCTTGCTATGTTCCCAGGCTGGCTTCAAACTCCCAGGCTCAAGGGATCCTTCTACCTTAGCCTTCCCAACAGCAGAAACTACAGGCATGCAACACCACACCTGGCTGTTTTCTCTTTCGTAAAACAAAAACAAGGGCGTGCAATATACATTACTGTGCAACCTGCTTTTTCACGTAAAGAGTATTTCATTGTCATTCCTCCTGGTTGGTACTGTAACTGGAACCACGTTCGGCTGCTTGCTGCTCAAAAGCCAAACAGGAGAGACGAGGGTTGGTGGGAGGAAAAGCAGGTTTAACTGGAGAGCCAACAAACTGAGATACGAAAGTGCTAGTTTATAAATTTTTATAATTTACCATAGGGTTTTTAAAGAGAAGTTTGGTGTGGGAGACATAGAGGAGTGCAGCAGAGTGCAGCTCTGGGCCTTTGTTCTGATGGCTATCTTGGGTCATTGTCTCTCTGGAGGTCTGCTTGGCATTATCCTGACTTTGGCCTGATGGTGGTGACCTAATTGTTCTGACTCCCCCTAAGTGGGAGGATTCCTTACGGAGGATTCCACAGGGGCTTCCTGCATGGTTTCTTTCCAGATTAGCCTCTGGAATTTTTTTTTTTTGAGACAGAGTCTCACTGTGTCACCCAGGCTGGAGTGCAACGGCATGGTCTCTGCTCACTGCAACCTCCGCCTCCTGAATTCAAGCAATTCTCCTGCCTCAGAAGCCTACAGGCGCCCGCCACCACACTCGGCTAATTTTTGTATTTTTAGTAGAGACAGGGTTTCGCTATGTTGGCCAGGCTGGTCTTGAACGCCTGCCCTTGTGATCCGCCCGCCTCGGCCTCTCAAAGTGCTGGGATTACAGGCGTGAGCCACCGCGCCCAGCCAGCTTCTGGAATTTCTTAAGCAACAGCATAATTAGATAAGCATACATTGCCAGAGAGAAGTGTCTACACAGGAAATGAATGACTAGGTAAGAGGGGAGGGAAGGAAGAAAAAGAAAATGTGTGATTTTTAAAACTGAGGTCCTTGGTTACAGTACATATAGATTTAACTGGTTTCATAAATAGCTAGATCATATTCCATAATAGAATATAAATATATACAAATATATTCAATCATTTATCTGCTCTTGGACCTTCAGGTTATTTCCTTTTTTTTTTTTTTGCCACTGTAAGCAGTGTTCCCATAAACATAAACTTTCTTTTTTTTTTTTTTTTTTTTTTTGCGGCAGGGTCTCTGTCACCCAAGCTGTAGTGCAGTGGAGCGATCTAGGTATCTAGGTTCACTACAGCCTCCGCCTCCTGGACTCAAGAGATCCTCCTACCTCAACCTCCTGTGTAGCTGGTACTACCGGTACACACCACCACACTTGGCTAATTTTTTAAAATTTTTATTTTTTGTAGAGATGAGATCTCACTGTGCTGCCCAGGCTGGTCTCGAACTCCTGGACTCAGAGTGATCCCCTGGACTCGGCCTCCCAAAGTGCTGGGATTATAGGCATGAGCCACCTTGCCTGGCCTCATAAACATTTTTGTACATATATTTTTAGGTAATGATACTTTTGTTCCAACAAAATAGTCTAAAAGAGCGATGCATGGGCCAAAAAGTATATACATTTAAAAATTTTCTTCCAGAATACTTTCCAAACAGATTATGGTGCAGTGTAATACCTTCACCAGCAATGTGTAATGATGTCCATTTCCTTACTTTGTAATGATGGAGCTCAGGACATGCTACCCAAAAACATCAGAAGCAGGAAAATCACTCACACCTTCCTCCTGCCCTATTTTCCTGAAGCAAGTCCTGAAACCTCGGAGGGCTATTCTGACCTTCCCCTGCAGCAGGTCATAAGACCCTCATTCGAGAAGTGCCCTCCCTGCACCCAGAGGAAAGGAGCCTCCTTATCTCTGAAGACAAAGGGTCATGGAGGAGAATCTGAACAAGCAGACCTTGCTAAGTTCCCCTCAATTTATTACCATTAGATCATACTTTTTTATATAACCAAACTTCTCCACAGCTATCCACTTCTTCATCAAAACTAGCATTAAAAACACATAGGTTTACTAACTTCTTTGATGGGTACATGGGTTTACCCATTTCTTCAGATTTTTCTGAATGCTCCTATGTCACATAAAATTTATATTCAATGAATGTATATGCTTTTCTCTTATTAATCTGTCTACTGTTTTAGAGACCTCGGCCATGAACCTAAGATGGGAAGGAAAAACACTTCTTTTCCCTTACATTGACAAGAGCTGGATGTTCTCAATATTTCAATTTGTGTCAGACATATTATTGAAAAACTGTATCCTATTTTTTAAAAATTTTCATTTCTCTGATAACTAGTGAATTTGAGTTGCTTTTCATATGTTCATTGTCCATCTGCATTTCCTCTTCTGTGCATTGCCCGTTCAAACCATTTACCTTTTTCTCTGTGGGTTGTTTGTGTTGTGTAGATTCCACATTGCAACTTAAGTGGTCGATGAAAGAATGAGAACTACAACTCAGTCTTCCAACTCCCAGTCCAGGAATTTCTCTACTCTGGCCTCTTCCTGAACTATAATGTGTTTTTGTTGTTGTGCTATATGTTTTATTGTATCTATGCCTACTATGCTATAATGTAAATATAACTAGTTTGTTGAACAAGCTAGAGTCATACTGTTGCAGGCAGGAAACCTTAATTTTTTCCCACCAGTTTCTCTAAAATTCAATTTGCCAAATAGGTCTTCCCTTGCCACTTGATGAAATCTTGGGAAGATCTCATAGGGGTGTTTTTGTTGTTGGTGTTTTTCTTTTGGTCCTCAGAGAATGAAAGTTCTCTAGTCTCTTGTAAGATGTTTCCTTCCCATTTTAGGTTTATGATTGAGGCCTCTAAAACAGAAGACAGATTAACAAGAAAAAAGCATAACACATTTAGGTTGGGCACAGTGGTTCATGCCTGTAATCCCAACACTCTGGGAGGCCGAGGTGGGCAGATCTCTTGAGGTCAGGAGTTCGAGACCAGCCTGGCCAACATGGTGAAACCCTGTCTCTACTAAAAATACAAAAATTAGCTGGGCGTGATAGCATGCACCTGTAATCCCAGCTACTTGGGAGGCTGAGGCAGGAGAATTGCTTGAGCCTGGCAGAGGCAGAGGTTGTAGTGAGCCGAGAACACGCCAGTGCACTCCAGCCTGGGTGACAGAGCAAGACTCTGTCAGGAAAGGAAAGGAGAGGAGAGGAGAGGGGAGGGGAGGGGGCATACAGACATTTATTGAATATAAATTTTATGTGACACAGGAGCCTTCATAAGGAACTGAAGACCCAAAGAAATTGGTAAACCGTGTATTTTTTTATGCTGGTTTTGACAAAGAAGTGGATAGCTGTGGAGAAGTGTTATTATATTAAAAAGTATGATCTAATGGTAATCAACTGAGGGAAACTTAGTTTGCCAGGTGAAGTGGCTCATGCCTATAATCCTAGCACTTGGGAGGACAAGGTGGAAAGATTGCTTTAGCCCAAGAATTTAAGACCAGCCTGGGTAACACAGGGAGACCTGGTCCCTAAAAAAATTTTAAAAATTAGCCATGTGTGGTGGCTCATGACTGTGTTCCAGCTGCTCAGGAAGCTGAAGTGGGAGGATTGCTTGAGCCCAGAAAGAAAGAAAAAAAAAAAAAAAAAAAAAGCAGGCTGGCCATGGTGGCTCACGCCTGTAATCGCAGCACTTTGGTAGGCTGAGGCAGGTGAATCCCCTGAGGTCAGGAGTTCGAGACCAGCCTGGCCAACATTATGAAACCCTGTCTCTACTAAAATAGTACAAAAAAAAATAGTTGGGTGTGATGGCGGGTGCCTGTAATCCCAGCTACTTGGGAGACTGAGGCAGGAGAATCACTTGAACCCGGGAGGCAGAGGTTGCATTGAGCTGAGATTGCACTATTGCACTCCAGCCTGGGCAACAGGAGCGAAACTCCACCTCAGATTAAAAAAAAAATAGCAGAGTATAATCTGTGTGATCACCTAGCCCTGATCTAGCCCTGTGTGATATCAGATCTCCAAGCACATGGAAGTTGATTTGTCCCCTCCCGAAACTGAAAGGAAGCCTGCAGCGGTAGAGCAGGTGTACAAGGCTTATTTCTTGCTCCTTCACCTCCTCCCTATTCCATAGCAGCTGTTTCTGACACCCTCCAGACAGGGTGGATTCAGGTTTTGTGGGGGCTGAAGCTTCCACAATTTGGGCAGCCTCCTTTATATTGGGCAGAATTCTAAGATTATTCCCCGCTCCCTCAATGACCTTTGCACTTGTATAATCTCCCCTTTGAGTGTAGGTGGAACCTGTGAATCTGGTGACATCACTGTTGTCATTCTGTTAAGTGGCAAGAGAGATTATCTTGGGTGGGCCTGACCTAATCAGGGAAGCCCTTTAAAAGAAGATAATTTTCAGCTGGGTGCGGTGGCTCATGCCTGTAATCCCAGCAGTTTGGGAGGCTGAGGTGGGCAGATCATGAGGTCAGGAGATGGAGACCATCCTGGCAAACACGTGAAACCCCGTCTCTACTAAAAATACAAAAAAAAAAAAAAAATTTAGCCGGGCGTGGTGGCAGGTGCCTGTAGTCCCAGCTACTCGGGAGGCTGAGGCAGCAGAATGGCATGAACCTGGGAGGCGGAGCTTGCAGTGAGCCGAGATCGCGCCACTGCACTCCAGCCTGGGCAACAGAGCAAGACTCTGTCTCAAAAAAACAAAACAAACAAACAAAAAAGAAGATAATTTTCTCCATCTGGCTGCAAAAGAGGAAGCCAGAGAGATGCACTGTGGCTGGTCTGGAAGAAAGCAACATCTGTGCTGTGAACTGCATATGGGGGCATGTAAGTCTGCTAGGGCGCCATAACTAAATACCATGGACTGAGTGGCTTAAGACAACAGCAATTTATTTTCTCACAGATCTGGAGGCAGGAAGTCCAAGATCAGGGTGCCAGCATGGTCAGTTTCTGGGGAAGGCTCACTTCTTGGCTTGTAGTTGGTCACCTTCTTGCTGTGTCCTCACTTGGTCTTTCCTCAGTGTGTGTATGCAGAGAGAGAGAGTGAGCTCTGGTGTCTCTTCTTATAAGAACACTAAACCTATTGGGTCAGGATCTCGCCCTTGTGACATCGTTTAACCTTAATTACCTTCCAAAGGCCCCATCTCCAAACTGTCAGATTGAGGTTAGGGCTTCAACATGTGAATTTTAGGGGAACACAATCATTCAGTCCATAACAGAGGGCCATGCGACAAAGTATTTTGAGTGGCCTATAGGAGCTGAGAGTGGTCCCCGGCTGATAACCAGCAGGACAATGGTGACCTCAGTCCTACAACCATAAGGAACTGCATTCTGCCAATAACCAGTGAGCCTGAAGGAGAACCCTGAGCCCTATACATGACCAGCACTTTCAGTCCAGCCTGCTGAGATCCTGAGCAGAGAATTGAGTCATGCCCTACGTCGACTTCTGGTATACAGAAGCAGAAATAATAAATTTGTAATAAGTGGCTAAGTTTGTGATAATTGTTTATGCATCAGTATAAAATTGTTTATTATCAATACAAAAATAATATAAATTTTATAATATATATTTTTAAGGAAAAAATACAAAATTACAAATACAAAATCTGTGAGACTAAAGAGGTCTGTAAGTGAGGAACCCTGAAATTTAAGCTTCATTAGTTTCAAGGTAAGTCTGTCTCTGCCTCCAAGAAGGAGAGAAGATGAAGGAAAAAGAGTGTCAACTACAATACGATGTTGCTGTTTTGGGCAGGACAAATGCCCAAAACCAATTCTATCTCTTTGAAAGGCTTTAGGGGAACCTTTAAGGGATCCTCCCTTGGAGCCCCCAACTATACTTCCCTTGAGAAGCAAAGCTTCTCCTCTGGCTTGGCTCCTGAACTTTAGCAGTCCATCTTCTCTGTTGGGGTCCCAGTGCCCTCAGTGCAATTCTTTTGAGGACAGACCTGTTTTAGGAAGATCCTAGGTCAGATCCCTTCTTCCAGGTCTACCTCAGTTCCTAGGAAAAACCTGCTTTTGCCCCATGGCCAGTGGGAGAAGGGTTTGCTCTCAGCCCAACCATCTCTCTCTAGTCCTACAAATTCCATTCAGTCTCTAATATTTAAATTCCTCAAGAATATGTCAAACTCCATATCTTATGATTCCCAAACTTCAGTGCAACATGTCAAGCTCTCTGAGTGGTTTTCTTGAAGTCCCCAGTTTCCTTTGGCTTAAGGAAGGAGGAGAATATGGCTCCCCTCCCCTGTGTACCGATTGTCACCCAGTTATTAACAGAAAGAATAGGGATTCAGGAACCCTGAGCTCTAGTCTGGGTTCTGATACTAACTCACTGTGTGTCCTTGGGAAATGTCCTTTTCCATTTCGGGCCTTGCTTTCCTGACAGCTCACTTAAATGAAAATGTAGGACTAGATCCACTCATTTATTCAGTAAATGTTTATAGAGTCCCTATTACGTGTCAGGAACTGTCTGGGTATGAGGAATCATCAGAAAACAAACTAGCTGACTTCTCAGGCCCTACCAGCCCTCACATTCTCTGATGCTTCTCCCCCACCTAGTTCCCACTCACCCCTCAACAATGAGTGGTCAAGTTCTGGCTGCGATCATGACTGCTTTTCCACCTCAGCAGTGTATAGCCTCTTCTTGCAGGGATATTTATTTATTTATTTATTTATTTCTGACAGGGTCCTGCTCTGTTGGGTGCAGTAATGCGATCAGGGCTCACTACAACCTGGACCTCCTGGGCTCAAGTGATCCTCCTGCTTCAGCCTCCCAAAGTGCTGAGATTATAGGTGTGAGCCGCCATGCCCAGCCCACAGGGACCTTTGATGGGACTAGGGGTAAGCTTCCTTTGAAGGCAGCATTGCTGTTTTGGTTACTGCCCATCAACCTGGGCTGTCTGGCCTGGAAGTACTGCCTGGCCAACGACAATGGAAAGGTTTATTTGCAGAGGCCAGGAAGTCCCCATGACCCCTCTCCATTCACCTCTGAGACAGGAAGCCCCAGGAGGAAAAAACAAAAGATGAAATGCTGGCTGACTTCCCAGCTTCCAAGTGCTCAGCCGCACTCTGGACTGGAGGATCCCTTCTGCCCAGTGGACAGGGACCTCTTTCAGCAGCTCCTTCCTTGTCATTGATCCCCAGGGCTTCAGTTCCTGTCCTGAGGATCCAGAAGGACTTAGGTGACGTAAAAGAGGTATGAAATGAAGATTGAGTCTCTGGGAAAGGATGCATGATGTCTTATCCTAAGCTAAGCCTCCATGTCTGGGAAGTGGGGGGAGGCTGAATGCACAGAGTGGGAAAAATATTCTCAGTGGTTAAGGAAGCAAGTGACTCACCTGCTCTGACCTTCATCCATCCACTCCCATGGCCAGAGTGACTTCAGGGAGGAGGTGGGGTGGAAGAGATTTCCAAGTCTCGTTTTTTTTTTCTTGAGTTTTTTAAGACCTCTTACTTATGATGCCCCTTCCATCCATCACACTTCTCCCAACAGCTTAGCTAACCTGCCTGGAAAAAACAGTCATCAAAAAGCACACAGCATGCTAAGTAGAAAATGAAAAAGCAGGAGGTGCCTCCACTCTTCCAGCAGCTTTTCCACTGGGTTCTGTGCCTAAGGAGTTGCTCCCTCCAGTCCGCAGAGTAGCTGGAATGCATTTTCAAAATTCAACTTTAAAAACTGAAGTGGTCGGGCGCGGTGGCTCACACCTGTAATCCCAGCACTTTGGGAGCTGAGGTGGGTGGATCATCTGAGGAGCTCAAGACCAGCCTGGCCAACATGGTGAAACCCCGTCTCTACAAAAAATACAAAAATTAGCCGGGCGTGGTGGCAAGCACCTATAATCCTAGCTACTCGGGAGGCTGAAGCAGGAGAATCGCTTGAACCCGGGAGGCGGAGTTTGCAGTGAGCTGAGATTGCGCGACTGCACTCCACCCTGGGCAACAAGAGCGAAATTCCATCTCAAAACAAAAAACAAAATCAAAAACAAAACTGAAGTATAACATTCATAGAAAAGTACATAAATCATACGTGTACAGTTCAATAAATTTTGAGAAAGTGCACCTCCATGTAACCAACACTCAGGAGGAGAAATAGAACATGACCAGCAGCTCAGAAGCTCCTTTGTGCCTCCTTCCAGCCACTTCACCCTGCAAAGCTAAATGCTGTCCTGAATTCTAACGTCAAAAATTAGATTTGCCTGTTTTTGAACTGTTAAGTAGAATCACATAGTATGTGTTCTTTTGTGTCCAACTTCTTTTTTTTTTTTTTTTTTTTTTTTGAGACGGAGTCTTGCTCTGTCACCCAGGCTGGAGTGCAGTGGCGCTATCTCGGCTCACTGCAAGCTCTGCCTCCCGGGTTCACGCCATTCTCCTGCCTCAGCCTCCCAAGTAGCTGGGACTACAGGTGCCCACCACCACGCCCGGCTAATTTTTTGTACTTTTAGTAGAGACGGGGTTTCACCGTGTTAGCCAGGATGGTCTCGATCTCCTGACCTCGTGATCCGCCCACCTCGGCCTCCCAAAGTGCTGGGATTACAGGCCTGAGCCATCGCGTGTCCAACTTCTTTCACTCATAATAGGTTTGTGATATTCACCTTAGTTGTTGCAGGTAGCATTCTCACTGCTGTATAGTATTCCAATGATTGGTTATATCCAATGTCTTTATTCTATTTGGTGTGTTTCCAGTTTGGGGCTATTGCAAGTGGTGCTGCTATAAACATTTTTATACATGCTTGTTGATGTAAATAGGGGGGAAATTGCTGGGTCATCAGGCATGTACGTGTTCAGTTTTATAAAATACTACCAAACTGCCAAACTAAAGTGGTTATGTCAGTTTACACTCCCATCAGTGATGCATGAGAGTTCCAGTTGCTCCATATTCTTGTTAACACTTGATGTTGTTTGTGTTTTTCATTTTGGTTCTTTCAGCAGATAAGTGCTGGTATCTTGTTGAAGTTTCAGAGCAGTATTTTTTTATGAGAAAGGCCCTCCCTTTGATAGAGCGGTATTTTTAACATTCAGATATAGCCAGATCACTTCTCTGGATCCCCACAGTCTACAGGATTAAGCCTGAACTCCATAGCTGTACATTCAAGGCCCCTTATGATCTAGCAACTATTGACCTATTTACTCGCTGGGGCAAGGCCCCTTATGATCTAGCAACTATGGAGCAACTATTGACCTATTCAGTTGTTGATGAGGTGGATGGCTCTTGCTTCATCCCACTTTCCCCCAAGTTCTGTTCAAGTGGGAGGGCCTGCTATTACCCCAACCATTCTCTTTCACGCTTCTGTGCTGTCCCTCTTTCTTGGGACAGATTTGTTTCTCTTCTTTGCCTTGAAAATTCTTATTTTCCTATTCTGTCACCATTCCCTTGGGCACCCACAGACTCTGTGCTTTCCTCAGTCATAATCCTGACCCCAAGTATGGTGATAATTTGTTTCCATGTTTATCTTCTCCACCAGACTGTGAGCCCTTGAGGGCAGAGCCTGGGTCTGCTTCATCTTTGGGTCCCTAGTACCCAGTGCAGGACCTGACAGAGTTGGCATCAGTAAGTGGTTTCTGATTGACCACCTGAGTATCCCAGATCCTGCCCAGAAGAAGAGGCTGTGGAGCAAATAGAAATCACAAAAGGTGTCCTGAATCCTGACTTCCATCTCCCTGAACATCAACTGTCCCGGGATTCTATTATCTTAGTGGGAAAGGACCTAAGAAATCATCCTCCCGCTGAGGGGAATTTCATCACAAGCTGCCCTTGCTTGTGGACCTCTGGGAATAGAGAACTTAATTCTTTCTTTTTTTTTTTTTTTCAAAGCTAAAGCAAGTTTATTAAGAAAGTAAAGGAATAAAGAATGGCTACTCCATAGACAGAGTAGCCCTGAGGTCTGCTTGTTGTCCATTTTTATGGTCATTTATTGATTATACACTAAACAAGAGGTGGATTATTCATGAGATTTTTCAGAACTCAAGGTTCCTCCCCTTTTTAGACCACACAGGGTAACTTACTGACGTTGCCATGGCATCTGTAAACTGCCTTGGCACTGATGGAGACATTATTTGTTTCCAGACAAGTCTTTCCTTGAGACTCCACAGCCAGTGACAGCTCTACTTTTGGGGCCACCAGACAGTCCTTCTGAGAAGGGAAGCAGGAAGTGTGCTTTTCTTTAGGCTGTATGGCCCCATGTCTGCACTTTGTCTGTTAGCCCAAAAAAAGTAGTGGCTCCTAGGCCTACTAGGAGCTTGATTTGAGGGCACTCCTGGAAAGCGTCACCCATCACAGTCTAGCATAGCCTCTCACCACTGAGCAGTCATTTCTTTGGATCTTGAAGCTTCTCTGTTCTCTAAGAATCCCTTGTTAAAATAGAAACAAATCAACAAACCAGTCCTTGGAAGGGAAGGAGGTTAACATCGAGAACACGTCACCTGTGTAGATGTCCAGGGCTCTGTACTTGGAAGGACCTCCTGCTTAGTTTAATGTTCTACTGTTGCCATCTTTGAATGCTTGGTAATTTCTAAACAAGAGACCCCCACATTTTCATTTTGCATGGGGCCTTGCAAATTATGTAGCTGGTCCTGACTGAGAATGTCCCATGTGTTAGGTTCTATGTCAAGTATTTTACATACTAGCCTCACAACTGTGCTGAGCTAGGAACTGTTCACTCCAAGAGGAAATTTAGGCTTAGGTAAATGACTTGCTGGAGGTCACATACAAAGTAAGGGGCAGAACCAGGATACAAACCCCAAGTCTAACTTCAAAGTTAGTGCTTATTCCTGTCCTCAATGCTGTCTCACCAAGAAAAATGCCTTTACTTCCCACCTTCTGGGAAAGCTGAGTCTGGAAGAGCAATTCAGGAGAGTCGGGCAGGGGTGGGGATGAATGAGCTTCCACCAGAGCTGAAATTTTAAGCAAGCCTTGGGAATATCTTTTTTTTTTTTTTTTTTTTTGAGACGGAGTTTCACTCTTGTTGCCCAGATTGGAGTGCAATCAATGGCGTGATCTCAGCTCACCGCCACTTCCACCTCCTGGGTTCAAGTGATTTGCCTGCCTCAGCCTCCCAAGTAGCTGAGATAACAGGCATGCACCACCACGCCTGGCTAATTTTGTATTTTTAGTAGAGACAGGGTTTCTCCATGTTGGTCAGGCTGGTCTCGAACTCCTGACCTCAAGTGATCCACCCTCCTTGGCCTCCCAAAGTGCTGGGATTACAGGCGTGAGCCACCGCACCCGGCCAGGAATATCTTTTTTAATATTGACCTACATGCACATTCATACACAACCACACACACGCACTGTCTCTCACTCAAATGCTCATGCATACACACTCACACCCATCCACATCCACTCACACATACCACCTAGCCTGAAACCTGCCTTTAGAAGCAGTTCAATTATGTGTGCCGTATGGTGTCCTAGAGTGACAACTCCACAAGGGCCCCTTGGGAAGCATCTAATTTAAAAGCATCTAATTTAAAAGCATCTAATTTAATCGTCTGATTCCCTTATCTGACAGATGAGAAAACTGAAGTTCAGAGAGGGAAGAGGCTTGTCTAGGTCACACACTACCAGTGGGCAGAGCTAGGGGCCACAGGCTAGCCTCCTGAATCTGGATTCAACAGCACAGCACGAAGGTGCACTGATGGGAGGGAAGGTGAGATTTGAGCAGAAAGGAAGCTCGATCTTGAGGTCAATCAGGCTTTTTTTTTTTTTTCTTTCCTAGGCACCTTTCATTTGCATCCCACACAAAACTTACCCATCAGTCTCTGAGAAATGCTTTGCTTCTGATGCTGGCTGGGCACAGAATCCCCCTACCTCCATCTAAGTGTTTGTAATAATGCTATTGCTCAAGACCAGAAACACCTGCTTTAAGGGGTCAAGTAGTTTGGATTCAGAAGGCTAAATTGTTCTTTCACTCATAAGCAAAACAAAACACAAAAGCAAAATATAAACAGGATGAGGCATGAGAGGCTTAATTACCCTGTAGAAACAGCAGAGTTTCTATGTAAAAACACAAAAGAAAACAAAACACCACAATCTGCCAGGGACTGCCCAGGATGAGCAGGTGATAGGGGCTGGGCCCAGCTTTTGGCTTTCTCTGAGCAATCTCCCACCACCAGCACTGAGACCAAGCTGGGCTTGAGACAGAGTCACGTGGCTAAAGAGCAGGGTTTGTTACTCTTCAGCCATCATTCTAAAGCTTCTCCGCACATATTTCCTCCTTGACAGATCTGGGTTCAGATTTTGACTCTGTCCCTTACTAAGTGATTCGGGGCATGTTGCATAATCTCTCTAAGCCTCTTTTTCCTCATTTGCAAAAGGTATGACACTCAAACCTATGTCCATGTCCAGGGGATTCCCAGGATGTGAGACTTTCAGTGCTAAACTCTGGGCTGGTTACCTTAGGGTATAAGGAGGATAATGTTGAGAAAGCATTTATCGCAACACCCAGCACACTGCAATTGCTTTATAAGTAATTGTTATTATCCTTTCCTCTTGCCTCAGATATTTTTGTTTTTGTTTGTTTGCGTTGCCCAGGCTGAAGTCCAGTGGCACCATCTCAGCTCACTGCAGCCTTGACCTCCTGGGCTCAAGTGTTCCTCCCACCTCAGCCTCCCGAGTAGCAGAAACTACAGGTGTGCGCCACCACACCTAGCTAATTTTTGTATTTTTTTGTAGAGACAGGGTTTCACCATGTTGCCCAGGCTTTTACCTCAGATATTAAAGAGCACCTTTGGTCTGCCATACTTTGTGTTAAGCACTAAGATAAATTACAAATATTTATTGAGTTCACTTTATAGAGTATTTTCATGTCCATGATCTAATATGATCCTTACAAGAGCCCTTTGAGGGAGGCAAAACTCTTAATATTCCTGTTTTATAGTTGAGATAACTAGAGCTCAGTAAGATGACTGACTTTTTCAAGGTTACTCAGTCAATAGTTTGCTATGGACCAAATGTTTGTGCCCCCCAAAATCCATGTGTTAAAGCTCTAACCTTAAATTAATGGTATTTGGAGGTGGGGCCCTTGCAAGGTAATTAGGTTTAGGTGACATCATGAGGGTAGATCTCCCATGATGAGATTGGTGCCCTTATAAGAAAAGAAGAGACCAGAGCTCACTCTCTCTCTGCCATGCGAGGATACTATAAGAAAGTGGACGGCCGGGGCACAGTGCCTCACGCCTGTAATCCCAGCACTTTGGGAGGCCAAGGTGGGAGGATCACCTGAGGTCAGGAGTTCAAGACCAGCCTGGCTAACATGGTGAAACCCCATCTATACTCAAATACAAAACTTAGCCAGGTGTGGTGGTGCGCACCTGTAATCCCAGCTACTCGGGAGGCTGAGGCATGAGAATTGCTTGAACCCAAGAGGCGGAGGTTGCAGTGAGCTGAGGTTGCACCACTGCACTCCAGCCTGGGCAACAAAAGCGAGACTCCATCTCAAAGAAAAAAAAAAAAAAAGAATCCTTTCTTAATCTTTGACCTTTGGGAGCTTAATTATTAAATGCCCTGATGTAGTCTCCATCCTAGGCCACCTAGGCTACTGATAGCTCCTGCTCCTTTTCCTCATTATCAGGCAGGATGCCTTCCTGCAAGCAACAGAAACATATTCCAGCCGACTGAAGCAGAAAAGGAGTTATTGAAAGGCTATTAGGTAGCTCACAGAATCTCCTGGAGGGCCAGAGAACAAGGCTGGGATCTTTCACTGCAAGAGCAGCTCCTAAATTCACCACATAGAACTGGCTCCGTGAATACATGCCAGCTGCTGCTCTGGGGAAGTCTTACCACTGCAGGCACTGTCCAGATGGCAAAGGCCAGGCCCTGGACTCTGCTGCTGGTCATGGCTCACACTGATTCTGCATGGCCTGCTCCTCTGCCTCACCAGCTTCCAATTCAAAGTCTATCTAAGGCAGGTGGTCTGATTTGTAGCACTTAGGCCATATGCCATGTCTTGGTTGCAGGGGATTGTGGAGAATTGAGTCTGGCATTTTCAGTTCCTGTGATAGGAAACTGGCTTGGTTTTTAATCAACTAGCTTGGTTATTAATCAACTATGTGCTAGTTGATTAATAACCAAGCTAGTTGATTAAAAACCATGTATTAGTGCTAGTTGATTAATAACCAAGCTAGTTGATTAAAATGTATTAGTATTAGTGCTAATGTATTAGCGCTAGTTGATTAATACTGACATAGTAGTTAAAGTATGTCTGAGAAGAATTCAGGGAGTAGTTTAATTAGAATTTCAGCTTTGGGTGTTGACGGTGAAGTGGGAATACTTCTTCCCTGAGTTGTCCTGGGGAGGGATTCTCCATTTCTGGTTTACAAGACCAGAGTATTAAATTATACTACAACCATCTCATCCTGTGATGAGAAACTCTGGTGGGCTTGCACCTGTAGTCAGCTACTCGGGAGGCTGAGGCAAGAGAATCACTTGAGCCTAGGAGGTCAAGGCTGTAGTGAGCTGTAATCATGCCACTGCACCCCAGTCTGGGAGACAGAGTAAAACTCCATCTCTAAAAATAAAAAAAATTGTAAATTTTTTTGAAAGATGAGGAATTCACCAAACATGAAAAAGAGGTCTATAGCTCCTCAGCCCAAAATGTCAACAACAACGTGTTATCTCATCTTTTCTCCACTCTCTCTGTACCTCCAGGCCATCCACCTCTGAATTTCAATTTTTTTTGTTAGTTTGTTTATTTAAAACCAGGACAATACTGCTTTCATTTACTTTGTTTTAAAAATCTACAACCTAGTGACTGTATTGGTCATAAGCATGATTGCTGTTGCAATGTGCTACTTATAATGAATGACAGCAAACAAGCTAGGGATTCTGTCTGCCACTTCCAGCCTTTCCTCTTTTTACTTCAATAGGCATCGATGATAAATCAATCTTATGTACAATTTCTTATAACTTTTGTATTTTTTGTAGAGGTGGGGTTTCTCCATGTTGCCCAGGCTAGTCTGAAACTGCTGAGCTCAAATGATCCACCCATCTTGGCCTCCCCCCATGGGATTACAGGCATGAACCAGTGCTCCTAGCCTTTGCATTTTAACTGGGTAATGTATATAAGTATAGATGCCAGGTTTTTAAATTTTTTGTCTGTTGCTTGGTTGGCTGGTTTTCTTGTTTTAGTTGCCCAACATCTGAATCCTACCCCTTCCTTATATTCAGAGAACTCTCGACCATCTGAGCCTTGGAGAGAGGCAGATTTTGTCTCCTATTATGGAAGTGAAAAAGTACAGATATTTGCTTTCCAGCACGCCCTTAACAGCTAGGGCATGTGCATATTATATAGGTTCAATCAATTTGGTATGTCCTCTTGGAACTTTGATTAAGAAACTTGTGCCACAAAGAAGCAGGGACAGTGGAGAGTTCATTTTGGCAGAGGTGGAGGCAGTGACAGTAACATCTAGGTATAGGGCAGCAATGCCAGCAGAGCAATGGGTGGCCTCTGGGTCCAGGGTTCAGGGTAGGGATAGAGGTGGCAGTGGTGTCTTTACTGAATTGGCTCCATAGCAGGATTTGGGCTAAGGTAATACCTGTCTTGGCTCCTTTAGTCTCTGCCATTTTTTAAACAGCTTTATTGAAATATTAGGTTGGTGCAAAAATAATTGCAGTTTTTGCTATTACATGTATTACAATTTGCCCTTTTAAAGTGTCAAATTCCATGACTTTTAGTGTATTTACAAATATGGGAGACTATCACCATAGCCAATTTTTATTACCTCAAAAAAAATCCATATGCTTTAACTATCATTTCCTACCCCCACCCACACCCCCACCCCTCCCCAGCCCTGAGCAACTACTGATGTACAAATTTCCCTATTCTGGACTTTCACATGAATGGAATCATATAGCATGTAGCCATTTGCAACTGTCTTATTTTATTTAGCATGATGTTTTCAAGGTCCATCTATGTTGTGGCATGTATCAGTACTTCATTCCTTTTTATGGCTGAATCATATTCTATTGTATACCATGTTTTGTTTATCCATTCATTTGTTGACAGACATTTGGGTTATTTCCATGTCTTGGCTATTACGAACAATGCTGCTATAAACATTCATACACAAGCTTCTGTGTGGGCATATGTTTTCATTTTCTGCCCATTTGTTGACTCTAATTCTTCAGGCTTTCTGGTGACTCCATGAGTTACAGAAAATTATCTTAAATTTTTTTCTTATTCAAATAAGACAATATTGATTTCTGTTAGCTGGATTCACTTGCAGCTAATTTTTGTAATTTTTTGTACAGACATGGTCTTGCTGTGTTGCCCAGGCTGGTCTCAAACTCCTGGCCTCAAGTGATCCACCCCCATCAGCCTCCCAAAGTGCTGGGATTACAGGCATGAGCCACCACGCCCAGAATTTTCTTACTTTTGTTAAAAGACATGAGGACTTAACTATTTTCTCTGGGGCCCAGTTCTTAGTCCCAGAACAAAAGGGCTATAATTGGCTAATGTGACACACTTCCCAGTTAACCTTCAGTGCTGAATTTAATCTTCCTTATACATTGATGTAGAGAATGAGATCCAGAGAAGGAAAGTGACTTGCTTAAGGTCACACAGCCAGTCAGTGGTACAGTTAAGACTAGAATCTAGAACTCCTTATGCCAACTTAATGTTCTTCCCCCTACACTAGGCCTCCTGTCATCAATTCAACAACTGTTTGTTAAGCTCTGTGGTCATAGGATATATGGAAGAAGCAGGGGAGACAGAGTCCAAAGACATGATTTCTGCTCCTGGCTTTGCCACTTCCTACCTTTGTGACCTTGGACAATTTATTCTGTGTCTCTGGGTCTCAGCTATCTCATACAAAAAAGCAGGAGTTGGAGATTGGAGGCTAGGCAGGGAGAGCGGTTGGATTAGAGGGGACAAGCTCAAATGCCTACAACCTCCGTTTCATTTATTCAATTACATTTTATTCACTTATAATTTATCACCTCCTTTTTTTTTTGAGATGGGGTCTCACTCTATTGCCCAGGCCAGAGTGTAGTGGTGCTATCTTGGCTCACTGCAGCCTCAACCTCCTGGGCTCAAGCAACCCTTCTACCTCCTTCTCCTGTGTAGCTGGACCTATAGGCATGTGCCACCACTTCCAGCTAATTTTTGTAATTTTTTGTACAGACAGGGTCTTGCTATGTTGCCCAGGCTGGTCTCAAACTCCTGGCCTCAAGTGATCCACCCCCATCAGCCTCCCAAAGTGCTGGGATTACAGGCATGAGCCACCATGCCCAGAATTTTCTTACTTTTGTTAAAGACATGATCAATAAATATTTCACACATTAAAAAAAATGTTTAGGCCAGGTGCAGTTGTTCACGCCGATAATCTCAGCACTTTGGGAGGCCGAGGCAGGTGGATCACTTGAGCCCAGGAGTTGAAGACCAGCCTGGGCAACATAGGGAGACCCCTGCCTCTACAAAAAATATGAACCTTAGCTGGTATGGTGGCACGTGCCTGTAGTCCCAGCTACTCAGGAGGCTGAGGTGGGAAGATAGCGTGAACCCAAGAGATGGAGGTTGCAGTAAGCTGTGATTGTGTCACTGCACGCCAGCCTGGGTGGCAGAGTGAGACCCTGTCTCAAAAAAAAAAAAAAGTTTTAAGAAAAATAATAGTACAACCACCTTGATCAATGGCAAAAATAACTTGGCCTCAGTGTTGGGAGAACACAGGGAATGATAAGGACCAAGGCTCACCATGGTAGAGCACAAGATATTTGGATTTTTTAAAAGCCTGAAATATGATTTTACTAGGACATCCCTTATTCTTTAAATTTGGGCAATTAATTCAATTAAACTTTTTCATACAGAGCGTTTTCTAATTGTGTATTGAGGTCCTATCTTTATTGTTATTCTTCATGGAGGAAGGAGCGGCAATAACTCCTAATGGGAGATAGCAAAAGGAGAGGTGACTCTGCCATCTGCTGCTCACTGATGGTATGTACCTACAGGCCTTCAGTAGGATTTAGGTGCCACCCTTATAAAGGGTCAGCTCTGAAAGTCTTTGCTGGGGACATCTCCAATATCCTAATTTGATGGTTGGGGTGTCAGGCACATGGAGGCCTTATATCCCAATACCTGGAAACCATGAAGCCGGCTCCAAGGTAAAGCCCACAAGCTGAATCTGACCTCTGGTAGGCATCAGGCATGTGTTGCCACAGAGCTAAAAGTGTGGCTGGAGAAGGACGAGAGGAGAGGAAAGAGGATTGCGGTGGGAGTCGCCAAGAAAGCTGGAAGCCATTGCACAGCTCCAGGAACAGGGGCAAGGGCTGAGGTAAAAAAAAAAAAAAAAGAGAGAGAAATGAGTGGATTTGAGAAACAGTACAAGAAAATCCGACTTGATAAGACATTGGATTCAGAGAATGAAGGGCTGGAACTGCCAGTGCCTGCCAGTGAGTTGTACTTTGTGCTACCAACTAATCTTCGTAGAACTTCAGTTTGATTATTCATTACCTCCAGCCTATTTTGGCTTCCTACTGAAATCAGGACACAAGGAAATTTGTCACCAGGTAGACAATAAATGTCCCTCCCCACCCCCTGCCAGTCACCCCACTAGTCTTATTAGGAATCCTACACTTGGTAGGAATTAAGAAGTCTTGACTGTGAGTCCCAAGTTCAGTCATTTTCTGGCTGACTGACCTTGGGGAAAGTGACCAAACACCTGGGAGTTTAGTTTTCTCATCTTCAGTTTACTCATCTGAACAATGGAGCAATGGCAACAACAGCTCCCTTTAGGCTGAGCCAAGCTTCATACAAGCTAATGTCAGACATCTATCATCTTATTGAATTCTTGCAACCCCAGGAAATGGGCACTACCATTACCCCCATTATTCAAATGAGGACACTGAAGCTCTGAGAAATTGAGTGGCTTGCCCAAGGCCATATAGCTAGAAAGTGGGAGAAGCTGTCTTTCCAACTCAGACTGCTTAGCTCCAAAGCTTTACTGCTCTGGATCTCTGTCTCAGTGAGCTTTTGCTATAAAATGACCCACCCTGAAACACAGTGGCTTAAAACAACAATCATTTTGTTTAGTTCACAGTTCTAAGGTACAGTATATTTATACAGGTCACAGTTTTGATCTTGGCCAATTTAGCTGATCTATGCTGGATTCCCACATGCATGGGTCTGTGGATAGCTGGTAAGTTGGCTCAATCACATATTTGGTGACTGGCAGTTGGCTGGAGCACCCTGATGCTCCTCCATATAGCCTCTCATCTTCCAGCAGGCTAGCTTAGGCTCATTGACTTGGCGGGCTAAAGATTCCAAGTTTAACAAGAGAAGACAGGCCAGATGCAGTGGCTCACACCTGTAATCCCAGCACTTTGGGAGGCTGAGGTGGGAGGATCATGAGATCAGGAGTTCAAGACCAGCCTGGCCAATATGATGAAACCCCGTCTCTACTAAAAATACAAAAATTAGCTGGGTGTGGTGGTGCATGCCTGTAATCCCAGCTACTCAGGAGACTGAGACAGAAGAATCGCATGAACCCGGGAGGCAGAGGTTGCAGTGAGCTGAGATCACGCCACTGCACTCCAGCCTAGGTGACAAAGCGAGACTCCATCTCAAAAAAAAAAAAGAGAGAGCAGACAAGCCTCCGTGCTCAAGCATGTTTCAAGTCATCGCAAAGCCAAACCAGACTCAGAGTGCAAAAGCACTTTCAAAAGGTGTGGGTAGAGGGAAGGGGATAATCTGTGGTCATTTTTACAATCTGCCATAAATGCTATGCTATAATCCCTGTTTCACAGGGTTGATCACATGAGATAAAGAATGTGAATCAGCTTTGACGTGAATCAGCTTTGTGAACTTCTATAAAATATTGTCCAGAGGAGTGGCATTGTTTAATGATTAGTACTGTATGCCAATAGTACCTCGAACTCAACACATCTGGTAATTATCTCCATTTTCCAGATGAGGAAACTGAAGCCTAGAGAGCTTAGGGGGCTTGCACATGATCATACAGCCAGAATCTGAACAGAGATCTGTGTGTGCAGTGCTCTTCAGCAACTTGATTCTTTATTGCATTGTTCTATAATCCGTTTTCCTGAGCAGGTCTTGTTTTCCCAACTAAAATTCCTTAAGGACTTTTTTTTTTTTTTTTTTTTGAGATGGACTCTCACTCTGTTGCCTAGGCTGGAGTGCAGTGGCGCGATCTTGGCTCACTGCAACCTCCATCTCCCGGGTTCAAGCAATTTTTCTACCTCAGCCGCCCGAGTAGCTGGGACTATAGGCACGTGCCACCAACGCCTGGCTAATTTTTGTGTTTTTAGTAGAGACAGGGTTTTGCCATATTGGCCAGGCTAGTCTTAAACTCCTGACCTCATGATCCGCCTGCCTTGGCCTCCCAAAGTGCTGGGATTACAGGTGTGAGCCACTGCACCCGGCCCTTAAGGACGTATTATAGGTCTTTTATTTCTTTTGTGGCCACGGTGGTGGCTAGCATTATACTAAACACATGGTAGGCACTCACTAAAGACTTTTCAAATGACTGAATCACTCATTCATTTATTTATTCCCTTTTTAAGCAAACATTTATTGAACACCAATTATTACATAGGTCCTGGACACTGAGAATACAGAAATAAATAACACAATATTCCTTTTCTTAAGAAACTCGCCTAGTTAAAAAAAAAAAATTCAACCTGACACTGTAATCTAGCATGATAGAACCTCAAAGGGTTATGACAGCAAAGGAAAGGAGCCCTAAACTAGCCTGGCAGAGAAGATACCTGCCTTCTTTATGGCTGAGGACACTGAGGAGGATACTTCTGAAGAGAGCACAGCAGATGCAAAGACTTGTGGGAAATAACACGGTATGTACCTGGACTTATCAGCAGTCTGTGTTGCTGGAGCATAGGTAAGAAGCAGCTAGGGGTGAGAGGTGAAGTTGAGGTGGTAAGAAGCTCAAACTTGATCTCTTTTTTTGGGACAGGGTCTTGCTCTGTCACCTAGGCTGGAGTACAGTGGCGTGGTCACAGCTTACTGAAGCCTCAAATTCCTGGGTTTAAGTGAACCTCCCACCTCAGCCTCCCCTGTAGCTGGGACCACAGGCACACGCTACTATGCCTGACTCATTTCTTTATTTTTTGTAGAGATGGGGTATGACTATGTTGCCCAGGCTGGTCTAAAATTCCTGGGCTCAAGTGATCCTGCCACTTCAGTCTCTCAAAGTGTTGGTATTACAGGTATTAGCCACAGCACCCGGCCTCAAACTTGATCTTAAAAGCACTGAGAGGGTCAGGCGCGGTGGCTCACGCCTGTAATTCCAACACTTTGGGAGGCTGAGGCGGGAGGATCACAAGATCAGGAGTTTGAGACCAGCCTGGCCAATATGGTGAAAACCGGTCTCTAATAAAAACATACAAAAAAAAAATTAGCCAGGGGTGGTGGCGGGCACCTGTAGTCCCAGCTACCCAGGTGGCTGAGGTAGAAGAATCGCTTGAACCCAGGAAGCAGAGGTTGAATGAGCCGAGATTGCACCACTCCACTCCAGCCTGAGTGACAGAGTGAGACTCCGTCTCAAAACAAACAAACAAACAAACAAAAAAAAGGCCGGGCACTGTGGCTCACGCCTGTAATCCCAGCACTTTGGGAGGCCGAGGCAGGTGGATCACGAGGTCAAGAGATTGAGACCATCCTGGCCAAACAACATGGTGAAACCCCATCTCTACTAAAAATACAAAAATTAGCTGGGTGTAGTGGTGCACACCTGTAGTCCCAGCTACTCGGGAGGCTGAGTCAGGAGAATCGCTTGAACCTGGGAGGCAGAGGTTGCAGTGAGCCGAGATTGCTCCACTGACTCCAGCCCAAGCGACAGAGTGAGACTCCATCTCAAACAATAAAATGAAATAAAATAAAGCACTGAGATGCACCACTAGGTAATAAAAACACATTCAGACCAAGACTCGTATGCAAATTTTTTAGTACCAAAACTGGAACTTATCCAACACCCATCATCTGGTCAGTAAATGAATAAAATATGGTACACTCATACAATAAAATACTACTCAGCAATAAAAAGTAATCAACTACTGATATTTGCACTAACATGAAAGACGATACATTTGTTTGCTTGGACTGCCATAACAAAGTACCACAGACTAGGTGACTTAATACAAATTTTGGCCAGGTGTGGTGGCTCACGTCTGTAATCCCAGCACTTTTGGAGGCTGAGGCGGGCAGATCACTTGAGGTCAGGAGTTTGAGAGCAGGCTGGCCAACATTAGCGAAACCCTGTCTCTACTAAAATACAAAAATTCGCCAGGTATAATGGTGGGCGCCTATAGTCCCAGCTACTGGGGAGGCTGAGGCAGGAGAATTGCTTGAACTGGGGAGGCGGAGGTTGCAGTGAGCTGAGTTTGTGCCACTGCACTCCAGCACTCCAGCCTGGGCAACAGAGTGAGACTCCATCTCAAAAAACAAACAAACAAACAAACAAACAAATTTATTTTCTCACAGTTCTGAAGGCTAGAAATCAAGGTGTTGTCAGAGTTGATTTCTTCTGAAGCCTCTCTTTTTGGCTTGCAGAAGGCCATCTTCTCCCTATGTCTTCACATGGTTTTCCCTCTGTACATGTACAAGTCCTCATCTGTTCTTATAAGGACACCTGTCATTAGATTAAGACCCACTCTAATGCCCTAATTTTAACTTAAGTACCATTTTAAAGACTGTCTCCAAATACAGTTACATTCTGAGGTCCTGGAGGTTAGGACTTTGAAATATGAATTTGGGAGGGACAAAATTCAGCCCAAAACAGAAGTCATACACAAAAACTACACGTTATATGGTTCCATCTGCATTGTTTCCGTTTTTACTTTTTAAATTTTGTTGTTGTTGTTGTTGTTACAGGATCTTGCTCTGTTGCCCAGGATTGAATGCATTGGCACAGTCACGGCTCACTGCAGCCTCGACCTCCCAGGCTCAAGTGATCCGCCCACCTCAGTCTCCTGTGTATATCAGACTACAGGCATGCACCACCATGCCCAGCTAATTTTTTTTTGTAGAGATGGGGTCTTGCCACACTGTCCAGGCTGGTCTCGAACTCCTGAGCTCAGGCTATCCTCCTGCCTCAGCCTCCCAGAAGTGCTGGGATTACAGGCATGAGCCATCATGCCCGGCTTAATTTTTTAAATTTAATTTTTAAATTTTTTATAAAGAGAGGGTCTCACTATGTTACGCAAGCTGGTCTTGAACTCCAGGAGCTATCCTCCCACTTTGGCCTCCCAAAGCACTGGGATTACAGGTATGAGCCACCATGCCCAGCACGCTGCATGAAATTTTTAGAACAGACAAAATTATAGAGACAGCAGGTCAGTGGTTGCTTAGGGCTAAGGGGTGAGGTAGGGATTGACTGTATAAGTGGAGAATATAAGGCACAAGGAAACTTTGGGGATGATGGAAGTGTTCTAAGATTGGATTTGGGTGATGGTTACGCAACTATAAATTTACTAAAATTCACCTGACTGTATACTTAAAATGGGTAAATTTTATGGTATGTAAATTATTTATCAATCAAGTTATTAAAATAAAGCAGTAGCGGGGCCATGGAAGGAATTTTACCTGAGGTTGGGGGGTGGTGGTCAAGGTCAGTTTAGCATTTAGAACCATCTTTTTTTTTGAGATGGAGTCTCGCTGTGTCGCCCAGGCTGGAGTGTAGTGACGTGATCTCGGCTCACCGCAATGTTCGTCTCCCAGGCTCAAGCCATTCTCCTGCCTCAGCCTCCCAAGTAGCTGGAATTACAGGCATGTGCCACCATGCCTAGCTAATTTTTGTATTTTTAGTAGAGATGGAGTTTCGCCATGTTGGTGAGGCTGGTCTTGAACTCTTGACCTCAAGTGATCCGCCCACCTTGGCCTCCCAAAGTGCTAGAATTACAGGCGTGAGCCACCGCGCCTGGCCCAGAACCATATTTCTAGTGGTGAGTATGGAGAACAGACTGGAAGAGGTGGAAATGGAGACAGAAAGACCAGTGGGGAGGCTGAAAGATGGCCGGGCCTGTGCTCAGCGAGGGGCAGTAAGGATGGGAGTAGACTTGGCACCTGCTGTTGGACAGGTGATCTGTGAGAAATGTGGTTCCCGGGGATGGTCACAGAGGGAGACCAGCTTCCTGGAGGAGGAAATACCTCGTGAAAGTGCCCAGCAGACCGGACGCGGTGGCTCATACCTGTAATCCTAGCATTTTGGGAGGCCGAGGCAGGTGGATCACCTGAGGTCAGGAGTTCGAGACCAGCCTGGCCAACATGGCAAAACCCTGTCTCTACTAAAAATACAAAAAATTAGCTGGGCGTGGTGGTGGTGCACACTTATAATCCCAACTACTCGGGGGCCTGAGGCAGGAGAATTGCTTGAACCCAGGCGGCGGAGGTTGCAGTGAGCTGAGATCACGCCGCTTCACTCCAGCCTGGGCTAAAGAGCGAGACTCTGTATCAAAAAAAAAAAAAAAAAGAAAGAAAGTGCCCAGCAGATGGACGTTCCCTTTGTCTGGCCTAATGGGGTTCTCAAAGGCCAAGATGTATCGACAGAGGCAGAGGATATATTTCTGGGTATGAATCAGCTCTGAGAACAATGGGGGGTGGGGGCAGCTCATCAGAAACCCAACTCTCCAGGATGAAAAATGAAGGCATTCCTTACTGACCTGCTATCCCATACTTCCCAGCCTCTTCTAGCCACACCACAGTCCGGTGGCTCATTTATGTCCTGGCCATGTCTGTGCCAGGCTCCAGCTGGAACAGGGACCAGTGATGAATTAGACATGGGCCTGGCCTTCAGGAGCTCACAGCAAACTCAGTGAGAGAGATGTGTAAGGTATGGATGCCTCTTTAATTTTTTTAGCAACAGGTGCCAAAGTATCCTGAGAAGAAATTAGGATAATCTATGAAAAACTACCCTATAGCCTCTTGGAACTTGGGTAGAGAAAGGGTGGGATTGTGTTGCATGAGACAAGGGAGGTTTACACACACATATACACACACACACACGCACGCACACATACACATGCATGCACACACATTCACACACACATGCATGCACACACGCAACACATGCATGCACACACACACGCATGCACACACATGCATGCATGCACACACACACACACACACACATATATGCATGCACACATGTGTTCCTAACAAGGAGAAGGGGGAAGACTAAAATACCCTGGGCTGGGAAGCTGGCTGAAACAAGGGAATTTTGGAGAGGAGAGACCTCAGGTGGGAAATCTTAGGTGTAAATTGTGGGAACTGTGCAGTGTACCCCTTCCCCCACACTCCTCACATCCTTAGTACACTGCCCAAATCCCCAAATGCCTGATGGGATTGCATATTTCATGGAAATCAGGAGCTGAAACAGAATCTTGCCCAGCCAGATGAGAAGCAGCAGCACCATCTGGACTGTGTTTAATCAGCAGGAGGCCATGAGACAAATGCCAGGAAGGAGGCTCTCAAGCTTCCAGACATAAAGGAATGGAGCAGAGTCAAGGGCAGTATTTCAGGCTGCAGCAGAAGCAGGAAGCGAAGACATGTGGCTGTGATAGCAGGTGTGTGCTGTTGGATGATGCTGGCGCTACTGCAGTTTGACATTGCTGAAGAGGAAGGTGGAAGAAGGACCAGACCCTGAAGAGCCTTGAACGCTCCCGTCTTCTCTACTAAGAAACTGAGACTTGCCGGACACGGTGGCTCACACCTGTAATCCCAGCACTTTGGGAGGCTGAAGTGGGCAGATCATTTGAGGTCAGGAGTTTGAGACCAGCCTGACCCACACGATGAAACCCTATCTCTACTAAAAATACAAAAAAAATTAGCCAGGCATGGTGTCATGCACCTATAGTCCCAGCTACTCAGAAGGCTGAGGGAGGAGACTCCCTTGAACCTGGGAGGTGGAGGTTGCAGTGAGTTGAGATCGTGCCACTGCAGTCCAGCCTGGGTGACAGAGTGAGACTCCATTAAGGAAGGAAGGAGGGAAGGAGGGAGGGAGGCAGGGAGGGAGGGAGGGAGGGAGGGAAGGAATGAAGGAAGGAATGAATGAAGGAAGGAAGGAAGGAAGGAAGGAGAGAGAGAGAGAGAGACTTTATTCTAAAATCAACAGAGAACCACCAAAGGGTTTTAAGCAGGGAGTAACATCATCAGATCTGTGTTTCAGAAACATCATCCTGGCCAGGTGCAGTGGCTCACACCTGTAATCCCAGCACTTTGGGAGGCCGAGGCAGGTGGATCATGAGGTCAAGAGATCGAAACCATCTTGGCCCACATGGTGAAACTCCGTCTCTATTAAAAATATAAAAATTAGCTGGGTGTGGTTGTGGGCACCTGTAGCCCCAGCTAATCGGGAGGCTTAGGCAGGAGAATCGCTTGAACCCAGGAGGCAGAGGTTGCAGTGAGCCGAGATCGCACCACTGCACTCCAGCCTGGCGACAGAGCGAGAATCTGTCTCAAAAAAAAAAAAAAAAAAAGAAAAGAAAAGAAACATCATCCTAGAACTTGTGTTAAAGATGAACCAGGGCCAGGGAGGGCGGATTGGAGGAGAGATGAAGCTAGAAAAGATGAGGACGAGCAGGCATTTCCTTTATTAGTAGAAAAACAACTTAAAAAGAAAAGACTGATGATAGGAGGGCCTGAAATAGGGCAGGTACAGGGACAGCAGAGGGGTGGTGGAGGCATCATAGAGCAAGGGAAAATGAGGGAAGTTAGTTGGGGAAGTCCACTATCTGATTTTGCCTTAAGAAGAAAATATTGAAAGGTAAGATACTTTAAATTGGTCAACCCCAAACATATGGAATGTTTACTAAAGTACTGTGTGTCAAGGTTGTACGTAGGAACACGTGAAGCCTCCCTGTGGGGTCTAGCAGCAGGGCTCTTTGCAGCCCTCAAGCCTGTTTAGGACCTGGGCTCGTTGCCTCTCTGTCCTCATTTCTGATCATTGGGTCTTTGAAGGAAGCTGGATTTCCCCATTAGCTTATCTATAATGCTCACTTGATAACAGACAATAGTCATTGCAGTGGTGCAAGGAAAAGTAGACAACACCTTCCACAAACAATATTCTGTAACTCAACAAAAAGGACTATAGAGCAGAACAATATTTAATTCAATTTCATCCACCCATCCATCTATTCACCAGGCATTCAGTTTCCAGCCAATAAATATTTGCTAAGGGCCTGTCCATTCCAGTTTTAGCCAAGCAGGGTGCTGGGAACCAGGGATGAAAAGGCCTTTGAAGAATTCCATGTCCCCTCCTGCAGATTCCAGCCTTCAGTTCCTCCAGTCAGGCCTCCCTGACTGACAACACTCTAGACGGAGCAGACCCCACAATGCCTGGCATGCCTTTTCCTAACACAAACGTCCACCACCACCTCCTAGCCCTGTGGCTTAGACAGACATGCTATGAAGCTCACGACCATCCTCAACTCCTTCCACCTCTCCATTTCCATGTATTTAATTGGCCAGAGTTGTCCTCACCTTCTATCTTCAGTTCTTCTCACTCTTCATTCCTTAAATTACTGAACTCTGGCTTTTGTGCCTGTCACTCTTCTAGCTGACGGAGACCAAATTCAATGCATTCCTTTTTTTTTTTTTTCCTGCGATGGAGTCTCGCTCTTTAGCCCAGGCTGGAGTGAAGTGGCATGATCTCGGCTCACTGTAACCTCCGCCTCCTGGGTTCAAGCAATTCTCCTGCCTCAGCCTCCCGAGTAGTTGGGATTATAGGTGCCCACCGCCACACTCAGCTAATATTTGTTTTTTTGTTTGTTTGTTTGTTTGTTTTTGAGACGGAGTCTTGCCCTGTTGCCCAGGATGTAGTGCAATGGCGCAATCTCGGTTCACTGCAACCTCCGCCTCCCGGTTCAAGCAATTCTCCTGCCTCAGCCTCCCGAATAGCTGGGATTACAGGCGCCCGCCACCACACCCAGCTAATTTTTGTATTTTTACTAGAGACGCGTTTTCACCATGTTGGCCAGGATGGTCTCGAACTCCTGACTTCGTGATCTACTTGCCTCAGCCTCCCAAAGTGCTGAGATTGCAGGCGTGAGCCACTGCTCCCAGCCTAATTTTTGTATTTTTAGTAGAGAGGGGTTTCACCATGTTGCTCAGGCTGATCTTGAACTCCTGACCTCAGGTGATCCACTTGCCTCGGCTTCCCAAAGTGCTGGGATTACAGGCATAAGCCACCGCATCTGGCCAACATGGTCTTTTAACTGTTTGTTAACTTATCTGTCTCCAACCTGGGCCATATGTCTCTTGTATACTATTGTATCTCATATATATAGTGAAGTCTAAGAAGAAACTCAGTGAACAAGTGAGGAATGAATGAATGAGCACTTGTCCAAGAGGACCTGTCCACGGGCTGCTTAGTATCCTGAAAAAATTTTGATAATCTGAAATTTTAAAAAAACCTAAAACTGAAATAAGTTGAGCAAATTGGACTGGACCATTTAGGAATTACAAAATGGGGAACTGTTGAGAAAATCTGTAGTTAGTCATGGGCCAAAAGCTGGAAGTGGTAGTTGAGATGAGCCATGGCAACAATGGCTGTGTTTACACTAAAATTATGAGGAAACAAAAACTGTGGTTAAGCAGAGAAGAAAACAGAGCAGTCATACAGAAAGAAGCAATTAGGTCAAAAGACAATGAGGCAAAGAGAGCAGCTCACTCCATCCAGACTGTGTCTGGAACAGCCCTTGCCCTTCTTTACCTGACATGAAAGCTGAGACCATGTGACAGCTCCTCAGGAAGCCTCCCTGACCAGCAGTGTTTGGGGGCAGAAACCAATGTTCTCTGAAAAAATGATCATATGCTTCTTTCTAGCCCTGAATGCCAACCCCACCTGACACACATTGTAAGAATTCAGAGGCCAGGTGCGGTGGCTCACGCCTATAATCCTAGCACTTTGGGAGGCCAAGGTGGGCGATCACCAGGTCAGGAGTTCGAGACCAGCCTGGCCAATATGGTGAAACACCAGCTCTACTAAAAATACAAAAATTAGCCCGGCATAGTGGCGGGCGCCTGTAATCCCAGCTACTCGGGAGGCTGAGGCAGGATAATTGCTTGAACCCAGGAGGCGGAGGTTGCAGTGAGCCAAGATCACGACACTGCACTCCAGCCTGGGTGACAGAGGGAGACTCTGTTTCACAACAAACAAAAAAACAAAAAATTCAGAAATGATGTGCTTAAGACAAAATTGCCCATAGCCAGTTTCCAGTTATCTTCACTTTTAGCATCACTACTCCAAGCACTCTCCCAGCCCCCAAGGGAAGGGAGAAAGGAAAAAATTTATACAAAGCATATGCAAGGTGGGGATGGAAGGTCCTCCTGCTCTTTTTCTGAATGTCTGAGGCAGCAAAGGTAGAGATGTGAACCTCTGGTGAGCGAGCTGAGGAATAAACAGGCTGGGATGTGAGTGTGGCTGGGAGCATGACGGGGTGGTATAGGTATAGAACAGGAAAACCAGTATCACAGTGTCCTCTTGGCTCACCCACTTAGTTTTGGTAACTGAGGGACTTTACATTGATTTTTATAGCACTGATAAGGTGTTTTAGAACAAGCACCTGCAGGCTTATCTCACTGTCCTTGAGCTCCTACGTCACCAGCTGTCATGAGCGTGATGTGTCCTGGCCTGGCCTGGCCTGGGTAGCTATACATTCCACAAGACAGTCTATGTAAGATACACATGTTCTCATAAAAGTTTATGACAACTTTAAAAAATGCTTTTATTTTTGAGATGGGGTCTTGCTTTGTCACCCAAGCTGGAGTGCAGTGGCATGATCATAGCTCACTGCAGCCTTGACGTCCTGGGCTCAAGTGATCCTCCTGCCTCAGCCTCCCGAGTAGCTAGGACTACAGGCACAAGCCACCACACCTGGCTATTTTTTTCTTTTTCTTTTTTTGTAGAGATGGGGTTGCCCTGTGTTGCCTAGGCTGGTCTCAAACTCCTGGACTCATGCGATCCTCCCACCTCAGCCTCCCAAAGTGTTGGGATTACAGGCATGAGCCACCATGCCTGGCCTAAACAACTTTTTGAAAAAGAAGAAATACAGGCTTGTGATGTATTGTTAAAAGTTGTAACAAAGACAGCACTCTGGCCACGTGTGGTGGTTTACGCCTGTAATCCCAGAACTCTGGGAGGACAAGGTGGGTGGATCACTTGAGGCCGGGAGTTTGAGACAAGCCTGGCCAACATGGTGAAACCCTGTCTCTACCAAAAATACAAAAATTATCCAGGCGTGGTGGTACACACTTGTTGTTCCAGCTACTCAGGAGGTTGAGTTATGAGAATTGCTTGAACCCAGGAGGTAGAGGTTGCAGTGACCCAAGATTGCACCACTGTACTCCAGCCTGGCAAAAAAAAAGACAGCACTCTGATTTCATTTCTTATATATTGCACCAAATGAAAGGAAGGATTACGTGGTATATATCCCTGGTATCCAGGTCCAAAGTCTTTCCCTGATTTCCTCTGATCTTTGGGCTAGGTGAGCTGCCTCCTCCAGGTTCTTGTGGCACACTGTGATTTCCTCACACTGTATTGCTCTTTACCCTATACAGACTGTAAACTCCCAGAGATGAAGACCATGCTGTGTCCCGATTAATCACATAGAGCCTGGTATACAAGAGGCCTGTAGCAATGTTTGTTGAATGAATGAATGAATGAATGAATGAGTGATCTAATTACTAAATACATCTGTGTCAACAAGAAATATGTTGGTGTTAAGATTACTTCTTTTTTTGTTTTGTGTTTGATACAGGGTCTCACTGTGTTGCCCAGGCTGGAGTGCAGTGGCAGGATCTTGGCTCACTGCAACCTCCACCTGCTGGGTTCAAGCGATCCTCCCTCCTCAGCCTCCCAAGTAGCTGGGATTACAAGAGTGAGCCACCACACCTGGCTAATGTTTGTATTTTTTAGTAGAGACAGGGTTTTGCCATGTTGTCCAGGCTGGTCTTAAACTCCTGGCCTCAAGTGATCCTCCTGCCTTGGCTTCCCCAAGTGCTGGGATTATAGGCATAAACCACCGAGCCTGGTCTTAAGATTACTTTAATCTTATACTCCTTAGTTGACCTGTTACCCTGCTTGGAAAACGTTACCCCCAATAAACCTGTAGTATCCCTGAAGGCTAGCCAACTGATAGGGTTCCTAAGTTGCCCCCAAGGGCTTCCTTTCCTGTCCAGAGGCCTGGCCTCCTTCCCTCCTCTGAGTTTGGGGATCCTGCCTGCATATAGGTTGATTGCTCATCACCCTGCCCCAATATTGAGCCCTGTCTAGATTTCCCACTCCATGCCCTGTCAGAATCATTAGACTGTCTGATGCAATTATTTCTGGGATGAAGCGGGGATGACGAAGAAGACAGAGGAGGGTCAGCCTTCTACTTCTGACACCTATCTTAGGTTCTTTTTTGAGGCATGGAGGCTGAGGTGGTTCGGTCCTATGGTTCCCACTGCTGGTGGCACCTGACACCAACATCCCCAACAGTTTTGTCTGACCTCTCTTTTCGCTAGAAAATGCTTTGGCTGATTGATTATTCTGGCTTCTGGAGAACTGCTTTTGTTCTCAACATGAGGCACATATGGTAAGCCTCATCCTTAAGGAATAAGGAGTGAGTTGTTGTTTTTTTTTTTTTTTAAAGTGACATTTAAGATGTTGTAAGTAGGAATGGTGGTGCTAGTCCTTTCTGGAGATTGCCTTTTACATTTTATTTTTTTTGAAATGGAGTCTTACTCTGTTGCCCAGAGGGGAGTGCAATGGCAGGATTTAGGCTCACTGCAGCCTCCGCCTCCCGGGTTCAAGCGATTCTCCTGCCTCAGCTTCCCGAGTAGCTGGGATTATAGGCGCCTGCCACCACACCCAGCTAATTTTTGTATTTTTAGTAGAGACAGGGTTTCTCCATGTTGGTCAGGCTGGTCTCAAACTCCCGACCTCAGGCGATCCGCCCACCTCGGCCTCCCAAAGTGCTGGGATTATAGGCATGAGCCACCTCGCTCAGCCGCCTTTTACATTTTAAATAGGGAAACATTACAGAGAACTGGAATAAAAAGAGTTAATTTGACATTGCTAAATGCTCCATTTTTTTCAAAATGAAAATATGTTCATTCTTTTCTGATTATAAAAATGATACAGACTCTTGGCCAGGCGCGATGGCTCACGCCTATAATCCCAGCACTTTGGGAGGCTGAGGTGGGCGGATTGCCTGAGGTCGGGAGTTCGAGACCAGCCTGACCAACATGGAGAAACCCTGTCTCTACTAAAAATACAAAATTAGCTGGGTGTAGTGGCACATGCCTGTAATCCCAGCTACTCAGGAGGCTGAGGCAGGAGAATCACTTGAACCCGGGAGGCGGAGGTTGCGGTAAGCCGAGATCGTGCCATTGCATTCCAGCCTGGGCAACAAGAGTGAAACTCCATCTCAAAAAAATAAATAAATAAAAATGATATGGACTCTTGTTAAAATTTCCAAACACATATAAGAAAAAATAGATATAAAGAAGAGAACAAAAATCAGCCAAATGCTATCGTGTAAAGATAACCACGGTGTTGAGAACATGGGCTTTGGGCATACCTGGGCTGGAAACACATCTTTACCACTTACTACCTATGTGGTTTGGGATAAGTTACTTAATTTCTCTGAGCTCCAGTTTCTTCATCTGTACAATAGGGATAATAATTTAAGCTAAGTGACATCTATAAAATACAGATAATAGTAGGTAAGTAATAATACTTACTTTATTGGTCGTTCCAAAGATTAAATGAAAATATTCAAGTAAAAGGCCTAGCATCGTGCCTACATATGCAGTGAATGGTAATTCATAGTGAACACTCTGAGGTCTCCTTTTTTCTCAGTCCTATATTTTTCCCCTTAAATCTCACTGCTTTTAGTGTAATTACACGTAAGTCAGGACAGGCGCCGTGGCTCACGCCTGTAATCCCAGCACTTTGGAGGCCGAGGCAGATGGATCACCTGAGGTCAGGAGTTCAAGACCAGCCTGGACAACATGGTGAAACCCCATCTCTACTAAAAATATAAAAATTAGCCAGGCATGGTGGCAGGTGCCTGTAATCCCAGCTACTCAGGAGGCCGAGGCAGGAGGACTGCCTGAGCCCAGGAGGCGGAGGTTGCAGCTAGCCAAGATCATGCCACTGCACTCCAGCCTGGGCAAGAGAGTGAGACTCTGTCTCAAAACACCAACCAACCAAACAAACAAACAAAAAAACTAAATCAGTAAACATTTATTAAGAAGCTATTAGACACTGGTGGTGGTGTTGTCATTATTATTATTATATTAGGATGAGGCTAGTTGTAAAGTGCTACTTAGTTATTTGTTTAAGCAAACCTTGTCTTAGAACTTACATGGAATTGTTTTCTACTAACTCTTCCCATTAACAACATAAAATTGATCTCAAATTTGGGTCCTTTTTTGGTGAAGGGATAATTGAATCTAACAGGATTGGCTGAGGATTAAATAAGCCACTCTAGGCAAGGTACTCAAAACACGGTATGTGCTCAATAAATGATAGTTATTATCATCCAAGCAATGTATACAACCTAAAAGACTCTTCATCTGGGATTCATGGCAGTAAAAGTACAGAGGAGTTCTCTTTTCTGGTTTACTTTTGACCCTAAAATGAAGCCTTCAGGCATTATCTAGATAAAATACTAATCTCCTGGACACAGTCCTAGGTTTCTTCACTGGCATTTGCTAGCTGTAGTTCCCTTCTAAATCTAATCAAAGGTCTATACTCCCCTCAAACTTCCCTTACCTCCAACACCTGACTCAAAAACTTTCAAGATTAACTTTTATTTGCCTGGACTCTATGTTGTCATATGATGTGATACTCAACATATCCAATTTGTTACTTGGTTTCTACTGAAAGTAATTCTCACTTGACTGATGTGCACAGGAATCCCAAAATTCTGCAATAAAATGTGTTAGAGTTCACTGTACTTATTATTGGTTTTATATGTACAGTTGTAAACTAATAATGAGATGGCAAAACACAGTGTTTAAGATCATGGATGCTGTAGCCAGATTGCCTGGGTTATACTTCTAGCTGTGTTGCTTTGTGACCTTGGGCAAGTTATTTAACCTCTCTGTGACAGAGTTTACTTTTCTGAATAAAGGGAATAATAACATGCTTTACTTTCTAGGGTTGTTACAGAGATTAGATGGGTTAATATTTGTAAAGCACTTGGAATGGAGCCTGTCATGTAGTCAGTGGTATATAAGTGTTTGTTATATAATAATAGTTGCCATTTATGGAGCACTTAATTATCTCCAAGGCACAGAACATGTTACTTTCAACCCTCTCAATCATGCAAGGTAGATAAATTATTTACAGTGATGCACGAGAGCTGGTTGATGCACTTGCTTATGAGAGCTGAATGTTAAATTTTCAGAAAGTTTGCAAGTCAGTTAAACAGAGCCATTACTGAAAATTAAATTATATAAATGTACAATCAAATTATATTAAACACAAGACAATATTCAAATTTCATCACTTCCTAAGTGTTTTACTACTATCTATGCTCTTTTTCATTTGTGTTTTTCTTTTATAGAGAGACAGGTCTCACTATGTTTCCTAAGCTGGACTCGAACTCCTGGGATCAAGGGATGCTCCTGTCTTTGCCTCCCAAAGTACTGAGATTACAGATGTGAGTCACTGTGCCTGGCCTATCTATGCTCTTGAGGTTATTTATGTTTATTGTGTCTGTATGATGGAAATAATGGTGTGATACTGTGCATCTCTTCCTAACTCTGCATTCTATGGCATCAATATCTGTAGCTTGAATTCTGCTATGTGGAGTATTTATACCACAGAAGTGCAACCACTTCAAATCAGGGCTTTTTTTATTTAGCAAGTTGGTTATTACACATTTATCTGTACATCGCTGGATATTATTATCTCTCTTCTTTTAAGATGATAAAAGAAGTTAAATGATTTGCCTAAAGCCACACTGCTAGTAAGTGGTAAAGCTGGAATTCAGGCCCAGATGTTTGTTTGTTTGTTTGTTTGCTTTCTTGCTTCTCACAAGAAACATTGTTTCCAAAGCCCATATGCTTTTCATTCAATTACGCTCCAAATTGGAAAAGGAAAAATCAAACTGGATAGGCCTTAGACACAGAAACAGAAAAGCTATCTCTTCTCTTCCCCCTCCAGCTCTCCTGCCCTTAACCCAACCCCCAGCCTACCCAATCCTGTGCAGAGCTGTAGTCATTCCTTTCTAGTCCCATTATCCCAACCCAGACTTGGAGATACCTTTCATTATTTATCTTGATTTGATAATCCAATTACTGCCTTGCTTTGCACCACTTTTGCCCATTATCCCTTCTTCCCAGAATCTCCTTTCTATTGTCCAAGGTTAAGATTAAACCCATTCTTTCTAATACCTCTACCTATTTTCTATTTTCCTAGTTTGAAAAGACTTGACACTGTAGTTAAGATTCCTCAAATAATTTCCTTAAACTTTTGATTCACGCAAACATCCATATAGAAAACTATACATATCAAAAGTATATACCTCAAATCATTTTCACAAACTCAACACACCATGCAACCAGCACCAAGATCAAGAATATTACCTTCATCTCAAAAGCCTCCTCATACTCCCTTCCAGTTTCTACCCTCCCAAGGGTAACCACTAATCCAGCTAAGTCATTCAACCCTAATATTGGCAGGTCCATTGGGTTGGGCTGGGCACTCTAAACAGTGTGGTTGATATAGGAGTTAAGAAGAAATCACTTAGGCAGATAGTAAGGGTATAGAAGTCCATGGTAAGGCTTTTCTTTTTCATGAAAAGCAGCCCCAAATCATTTTCTAACAAAGACCAGCCTGTAAAGTTGAGCTTCAGACATAGACAAGCAAGCTGGGAGCTTGCACGGGTGAATGTGGGCAGGAACTAGGGACTAGACATGTTCAAGATGGCGACTCCATCATCCCTTCTCTGCCAGCCACATGTACAGTAAGGAGCAGACAAGATGGTGCCAGCCAAGGAGAGTTCATTTGCATCATAAGATCAGGGTGGGGATACCAGCCTTCACCCCTGGGCTATGTAAATGTCACACCTGATCGAAACAATCTGTGAGCCCTACATAAATCAGACACCGCCTCCTCAAGCTGGACTATAAAGTCCAGCGCATCTGCCACCATGATCACTAGGAGACCCCTCTCTCTATATATAAAGAGAACTGTTTCTCTTTCTCTTCTGCCTATTAAACCTCCGCTCCTAAACTCTTCGTGTGTGTTAGTGTCCTAAATTTTCCTGGTGCCAGACTACCAACCCCAGGGTATATAGCCCAGACAATGTAGCCACCTCATTGTCATCTGCTCCATTTGGCATAGGGATAAGTATCAAGACTCTTCCCTAGCTAATTATCTTGACTTACTTCCCACTCCTGTGGAGCACTGACAAGAGGCCTGAGTTCTGATCCCACAGCAACCACCTAATAATCCTGGAAAAATCTATTTCTCTCTGAGCCGCAACAATCCAGTCTCTAAAATATGGACAATGGCCAGGCACAGTGGGTCACACCTGTAATCCCAGCAGTTTGGGAGGCCGAAGTGGGCGGATCACTTGAGGTCAGAAATTTAAGACCAGCCTGACCAACAAGGCGAAACCCCCTCTCTACTAAAAATACAGTTGGGTGTGGTGGTGCATACCTGTGATCCCAGCTACTCAGGAGGTGGAGGCATGAGAATCGCATGAACCTGGGAGGCAGAGGTTGCAGTGAGTGGAGATCATGCCACTGCACTCCACCCTGGGCGACAGATCAAGACTCCATCTCAAAAAATAAAACAAAATAAATAAACAGGCTGGGCACGGTGGCTCACACCTATAATCCCAGCACTTTGGGAGGCTGAGGTGGGCGGATTGCCTGAGGTCGGGAGTTCGAGGCCAGCCTGACCAACATGGAGAAACCCTGTCTCTACTAAAAATACAAAATTAGCTGGGCATGGTGGTGCATGCCTGTAATCCCAGCTACTCGAGAAGCTGAGGCAGGAGAATCGCTTGAACCCGGGAGGCAGAGGTTGCAGTGAGCAGAGATTGCGCCATTGCACTCCAGCCTGGGCAACAGGAGCAAAACTCCGTCTCAAAATAAATAAATAAATAATAAAATAAAATATGGACAATATAATACATTTGCAGCATTGCTATGAGGACTAAATGAAATATTGCTCTTAAAGTACCTGGTATAGTAGGTCTGGTATATAATAACGTAATAGTCAACGATCATAGATTTTATTGTGTGCAGGTACTGCATGAGAGTTTTATGTATATTATCTCATTTGTAACTGGCCAAATAGAATTATTTGATTTTCTCATCTGCTTCCAGTCTTTCACGTCTCAGTCAAGGGCATCACCATTTACCTAAAGATTTATGTTCCATATCTAGGTATTTTCCTTGATTCCTGTTTTTTCCACACTCCACTCGTGTAATTCATCAGCAGGTTTTGCCGACTCTAAAACAAAACTCAAGTCACTCAGTTCTCTCAATTTCCACTACCACTACTCTATTTTAAAAAATGTATTGGTTTGGCGTTGTGGCTTACGCCTGTAATCCCAGCACTTTGGGAGGCCAAGGCAGGTGGATCACCTGAGGTCAGGAGTTCGAGACCAGCCTGGCCAACATGGCGAAACCCCCTCTCTACTAGAACTACAACAAAATTAGCCGGGTGTGGTGGCGCATGCCAGTAATCCCAGCAACTTGGGAGGCAGAGGCAGGAGAATCACTTGAACCCGGGAGGCAGAGGTTACAGTGAGCCGAGATCGCGCCATTGCACTCCAACCTGGGGAACAAGAGCAAAACTCTGTCTCAAAAAAAAAAAAAATTATTATTTTTTGAGACAGGGTCTCACTCTGTCACCCAGGCTGTATGCAGTGGCATGATCAAGTGCTCACTGCAACCTCTACCTCCTGGGCTCAATCCATCCTCCCACTTCAGAACTGGGACCACAGACCACAGACCACAGGCTCGTGCCACCATGGCTTTTTTTTTTTTTTTTTTTAGTAGGGACGGAGTTTCAGTATGTTGCTCAGGCTGGTCTCGAACTCCTGGGGCTCAAGTGATCCACTTGCCTTGGCCTCCCAAAGTGCTGGGATTATAGGTGTGAGCTACTGTGCCTGGCACTGCTACCCTATTTTATTTTATTTATTTATTTTGAGGGGGGTCTCACTCTGTTTCCCAGGCTGGAGTGCAGTGGCACCATCTCAGCTCACCGCAACCTCGGTCTCCCAGGTTCAAGTGATTCTGCTGCCTCAGCCTCCCGAGTAGCTGGGATTACAGGCGTGTACCACCACACCTGGTTAATTTTTGTATTTTTAGTAGAGACGGGGTTTCGCCATGTTTGCCAGGCTGGTCTCGAACTCCTGACCTCAGGTGATCTGCCTGCCTCGGCCTCCCAAAGTGTGGGATTACAGGTGTGAGCCACTGCGCCGAGCCATTTTATTTTATTTTTAGACGGAGTCTCTCTCTGTTTCCCAAGCTGAAGTGCAGTGGCATGATCTCGGCTCACTGCAACCTCCACCTCCTGGATTCAAGACATTCTCATGCCTCAGCCCTGGGAGTAACTGGGACTATAGGCACGTGCCACCACGCCCGGCTAATTTTTATATTTTTAGTAGAGACAGGGTTTCACCATGTGGGCCTGGCAGGCCTCGAACTCCTGACCTCAGGTGATTCATCCCCCTAGGCCTCCCAAAGTGCTGGGATTACAGGCGTTAGCCACCGCGCCCGGTCTGCTACCCTATTTTAAACCACCACTATCTTTCACTTAAAAATCTCAGAATGTAAGTTACATGTGAACAGGCTCGGTTTATTATTGCTCATAGCTGCAGCCCCAGCACCTCAACACTCAGAATAGTATCTGGCCTTTCTCAGGATTTTGCTATGCTTTGAATGAATGCATGTCGCGACAAGCCTTTGAAGTAGGTACTGTTATTATTCCCATTTTATAGATAAGGAAATAGGCTCCTAGTGGCTAAAGAATTACCTAAGTTTACACAACAAACAGCAAAACCAGGATTCAAACCCAGTAAGTCTGACTCTAGAGCCCACTCTCTTACGCACTACACCTGCGATACTGAACTGCACCGGCTTATGCTGAAGTCAATTATTAAAGATTTTTGCGGGGGTGATACTAGGAGAAATTTGAGTTGAAATTCCCCAACCTGATAACTTTTCTCCAAGTTTTCCTGAGAACACAGCTCAAGCGCCTCTTCACAGTCTCCTAGGCACAACGATTTGGTTTCTCCCAAGTCTCTCTCATCCGCCTCTTCTCCTAACAATCCAGAGATAATGAACTCTTTTCCAGCAAATTCTCCTGCTTCTATCCGAAACACTCAGCCTCTCCTCAACCCCTCTGGAAAAACCTTCCCTAATTTCTCAACTCTGAGGGATTATAACAGGCAGTACTTTTCCCCAGTTGGCAGCACTACTAAAATTACTTGTTTTCAATAGTCTCCCCTTTATCCTGGCTTTCCCGGGTTTCATCACGCGCAGCCAACCTCGGTAGGGAAATATTATACCCAATGACATCTGTTGAGAGACCATATTCACTAATGTTTATTACAGTATAATAATAATTGTTCTATTTTATCGTTAGTTATTTTTGTTAATCTCTTACTGTGCCTAATTTATAAATTAAACTTTATCATAGGTACGTAGGTATAGGAAAAAACCAGCCAGGAGGCCCCGCACTTCGGTGTTTTCTACTAGCTCTGCCTACCTCCGTCTGCGCCGTCTCCCTGACTAGTTTGACCCTTCGAGGGCCGCCGTAGTGCGTCGCCTCCGTTGCCGGGGAAACGACCCGGGACCTGGGAGGGAGCAAAGACGTTTCCCGCCGGCGGGAGCTGTGGCTGTGATTGAGAGAGGGGTTAGAGGCGGGTCCCAGCGCTGCCGCACCATGGCGGACCAGCTTTATCTGGAAAATATAGACGAGTTCGTCACGGACCAAAACAAGATCGTGAGCAGCTACTACTGGGGAACGCGGGCGTGCGACCGGGGTCCTGGGCCCGGCTAGGGCGGCGGGAGCCTTGACCCTCTGTCTGCTTGTGGCTTCGTGGGGACCAGGGGAGACAGGTCCCCACGAGGGGACCTGGGCGAGCTCTGTGCCCCAGAGCGAGCGAGGACTCGTCGGGAAGGTCCTCCAGCACACACGGAAGTCCGCGTCCCTTGGGTGGGCGTGCTGGGAACAGAGCCTGGGGCTGGAGCCGCGGAGACCGGGCGCGGAGGGAGGGCCGTTGGCTGAGAGTTCTAAGGCGTCCCTACACCTTTCTTTTAAGGTGGTTGGCGTTTAAAGTTTTAAGTTTACAGTTGAGGAAATCGTGTCTTAACTGTGTTAAGTTACAAGTTGCGTAACCTCCAGATACTGTTTCCTCTTCCTGGAAATTTAAGCATTGATAGAGGTTTGATCCGCTTCACACGGGTGAGGAAAAGATCGAGCGAATTGATGGATGTGAGTGCACTTTGCAAACCGTGATGATTGAGTGCCTGCTGTGTGCCAAGGCACTTTAATCTTTACAGTGACCTCCCCGCACCCCATCCCAGGTCGGTGGTGGTATCCCGAGATGAGGAAATTGAAGCTGAGGGGCCAAATAACTTGTTTATTTGCGTTTGGTAAGGGATAGGCAGTTTTTCAACCTAGGTCTGTCCTCTTACTAATGCTTTCTTCTACATCACACTGCCTTTGCCTAACCTGTGCAAGTCTTCTAACTATTGGAAGCTTGACATTTGGAATTGGAAGAGACTTTGAGAGAAGAGAGTGCAGGCATCCTGGGTCTAGGAGGGATGAAGGCTTGATGCTGGTAGTTCCCAATCTAATCTCTTATAAAAATATTTACCCACTTTTTTCGTTTCCTGACCCCTGCACCACCTGTGCCCTTTAATGTTTGCATGGGTGCAACTTTCTTTAGAAGTTTCTGAGACATCACACTTCAAAGTCATCTAGCTTCTGAATGAGTTTTAGGATGGCTTTGGCTGGTGGCCCCCAAAAAAAACATCATGAGGAAAGGGCCTGAGTAAAACAAGGAATGTGAGGAAAATGAGAGTTTTTTCTGTTAGGTATGTTCAGCTTGTCTTTTTAGATTACTTTTCATTAGTTCATGAAACAAACTTCTTAGCATTTTTAAGATAAATAGGTCCTGCCTACCCAGATAGATAGTTCTTGGGAAAACTGCAGTGGCATTTATTGTAATTTGTAAGGCATAATCATCTAAGAATAGGAATCTTTAGCAACAGACCTTCGGGACTGATGTGCACTCTGGAGTCATCTAATAAAACATTTGAAAAATTTTTTCTTGTTACAGGTGACATACAAATGGCTGAGCTATACACTAGGGGTTCATGTTAACCAGGCCAAACAGTAAGTCCAATTTACTACCAATTTTAATCATATTGGAATTTTTTTTTGTTTTGTTATGCTTTGCTTTTAACTCTACAGATAGCCTACATAGATTAGAGCTAATTTGGTTTGCTGGCAATCATTGGTATTTCTTGGCTTGTAGCTGCGTAATTCCAATCTCTGCCTTCATTGTCATGGCATTCTCCCTGTATATCTGTATCTTTGCACGTCCATCTTATATGAACACCAGTCATACTGAATTACGAATCCACCCTACTCCAATATGACCTTGTCTTAACTAATTACATGTGCTATAATTCTATTTCTAAATAAGGTCACATTTTAAGGTATTGGGGGTTAGGGCTTTAACATTACCTTTTTGGAGACATGATTCAGTCTGTAATATGGATACAACAAGTTTTGTTTATTCATCATTAATGGACATTTGGGTTATTTCCATATTTTGACTGCTATGAATGATGCTGTTATGAACATTCATGTATAAAACATTCATCTATAAGTGTTTATATGAACATATATTTTCAGTTATCTTGGGTATTTGTGTTAGTCCATTCTCATGCTGCTATGAAGACACACCTGAGATTGAATTTATAAAGACGAGGTTTAATTGACTCACAGTTCCGCATGGCTGGGGAGGCCTCAGGAGACTTGGCGGAAGGCATCTCTTCACAGGGTGGCAGGAGAGAGAATGAGTGTCGAGCGAAGGGGGAAGCCCCTTGTAAAACCGTCAGATTTCGTGAGAACTCACTATCATGAGAAGAGCATGGGGGAACTGCCCCCATAATTCAGTTATCTCCACCTGGTCCGTCTTTGACATGTGGGGATTATTACAATTCAAGTTGAGATTTGGGTGGGGACACAGCCAAACTAGGATTGGAATTGCTGGGTCATGAGATAATTCTGTATTTAACATTTTGAGGAACTGACAAACTATTTTTCAAAATGGCTGCGCTTCTTACAGTCCTAACAGTATATGAGTATTTCAGTTTCTCCACATTCTGGTTAACACTAACACTGTTTTTTCCCTCAGACTTCTCATGGATGAACTCTTTTTTTTTTTTTTTTTTTTTTTTGAGATGGGGTTTCACTATGTTGCCCAGGCTGGATTTGAACTCAAGGATCCTCCCGCCTCAGCCTACCAACTAGCTCTACAGGTGTACATCACCACACCTGGCAAAAACTTTTTATTATGTCTTATTTTAACCATCCTAGTGGATGTGAAGTGGTATCTCATAAATTATGTTGATTGGCATTTTCCTAATGACTAATGTTGCTGAATATCTTTTCATATGCTGCTTGGCCATATCTTTGGAGAAATAGATATTCAAAATTATGCCCATTTTTGTCATTGGGTATTTTTGGTTGTTGTTGAGTTTTAAGAGTTCTTTATATATTCTGAATACAAGACCCTGATTGAAAAATTATTTGCAAAAATTTTCTCCCATTCTGTGGATTGTCTTTGTACTTTCTTGATGGTGTGCTTTGAAGCACAGACATTTTTTGTTGTTGTTGTTGTTTGAGACAGGATGTCACTCTGTTGCCCAAGCTGGAGTGCAGTGGTGTGATCTCAGCCCACTGCAGCCTTGACTTCCCTGGGCTCAGGTGATTTTCCCACCTCAGCCTCCCGAGTAGCCGGGACTACAGGTGCGTGCCACCACACTCAGCTAATTTTTAAATTTTTTGTAGAGATGGAGTCCCGCCATGTTTCCCATGCTGGTCCCAGGCTGGTCTTGAATTCCCAGGCTCAAGCCCCTGCCTTGGCCTCCCAAAGTGCTGGGATTACAGACATAAGCCACCATGCCTGGCCCATGGAAGTTTTTATTGCTGATGAAGTCCAATTTATTTATTTTTCCTTTTGTTGCTTATGCTTTTTTAAGTTTAAATTTTAAAATGATTAAATTTTTTTTAATCTTATTTTTTTTTTTTTTTTAGTAGAGATGAGATCTTGCTATGTTGCCCAGGCTGGTCTCAAACTCCTGACCTCAAGTGATCCTCCCACCTTGGCCTCCCAAAATGCTGGGATTACAGATACAAGCCACTGTGCCCGGCCTAAGAAGATTTTTTTTTTTCTTTTTTTTTTTTTTGAGGCAGAAGCCTTGCTCTGTCGCCCAGGCTGGAGTCCAACGGCGTGATCTCGGCTCACTGCAACCTCCGCCTCCCTGGTTCAAGCTATTCTACTGCCTCAACCTCCGAGGTAGCTGGGACTACAGGCATGTGCCACCATACCCGGCTAATTTTATTGTATTTTTAGTAGAGTTGGGGTTTCACCATGCTGGCCAGGCTGGTCTCGAACTCCTGACCTCAAGTGATCTGCCCGCCTCGGCCTTCTAAAGTGCTGGGATTACAGATGTGAGCCATCGTGCCAAGCCAAGATTTTTTAAATTGAGAAATAAAGTTGTATGTATTTATTGTGTACAACATTATGTTTTGAAGTATATATACACTGTGGAGTAGTTAAATCTAGCTAATAAATGTATTACATCACACAGTTATTTTGGTGGTGAAAACATTTAATGTCTACCATCTTTTCATTTTTCAAGAATATATCATCACTAACTGTAGTCACCATGCTATACAGTAGAGCTCTTGAACTTATTCCTGTCTAACTGTAATTATGTATCCTTTAGACCCACATCTCCCCATTCCCCCTCCCCTAACCACTTCAGCCTATGGAAAGAAAATTCTGCTTTCCACTTCCGTGAGATCACCTTTTACAGATTCCACAAATGAGTGAGATCATGTAGTATTTGTCTGTGTCTGGCTTATTTCAGTTAACATAGTCTCTTCCAGGTTCATCCATTTTGTTGCAAATGATAGGATTTTATTCATTTTTATGGCTGAATAGTATTCCATTGTGTATATACACTATATTTCCTTTATCCATTAATGGACATTTATTGATTCCATATCTTGGCTGTTGTAAATAGTGCTGCAATAAACATGTGAGTGCAAATATCTCTGACATACTGATTTCATTTCCTTTGGATGTATATCCGTAGTGGGACTGCTGGATCATACAGTAGCTCTATTTTTGATATTTTGAGGAACCTCCATACCGTTTTACATAATGGCTGTATTAATTTACATTCCCACCAACAATGTATAAGCATTCTGTTTTCTCCATACCCTTGTTGTGTTTTCTTTTTGATGTGTTGCTTGTGCTTCTGACATAATATCTAAGAAGGCTTTGCCTAACCCAGGGTTATGAAGATTTACTCCTGTGCTTTTTTCTAAGATTTTTTAGTTTTTGCACTTATATTTAATTCTGTAATCCACTTAGAGTTTAAAAAAATCATGGTTATCACTATGTTTAAGTTTTCTACAGATCGTGTGCTTGTTAGCATCATTATTATTATTGTTTTGAGACAGGGTTTCACCCTGTTGCCCAGATGGAAATGCAGTGGCGCAATTTTGGCTCACTGCAACTTCAGCCTCCCAGGCTCAAGTGATTCTCCCTCCTCAGCCTCCCGACTAGCTGGAACTACAGGCGCATGCCACCACACTTGGTTACTTTTTGTATTTTTTGTAGAGACGGGGTTTTGCTGTGTTGTGCAGGCTGGTCTCGAACTCCCAGGCTGAAGCCATCCTCCTGCCTTGTCCTCCAAAGTGCTGGGATTGCAGGCATAAGCCACTGCACCTGGCCATGTACTTGTTAACATTAGAAATGCTTCAGTCGGGTGGCTGTGGTGGCTCAGTTGTATTAGTCCCAACACTTGAGGAGGCTGAGGTAGGAGGATTGCTTGAGCCCAGGAGTTCAAGACAAGCCTGGGCAACATAGTGAGACCCACATCTTTATAAAAAGTTTTTTTAAAACATGAGCCTGGTGTGGTGGCATGCACCTGCAGTCTTAGCTACTCAGAAGGCTGAGGCAGGAGAATTGTCTGAGCCCGGGAGTTCAAGGCTGCAGTGAGCTATGATCACACCTGGGTGACAGAGCAAGAACCTATCTCTAAAAGAGAAAGAGAGGAGAGAGAAAAAAGGGAGGAAAGAAAGAAAAAGAAAAAAATGCTTTAGTTCCTACAGTAAGACTATACTAAAGCTTTCAGATTAGGTGTTAGTTCAAGCTAATTTTTAAATGAATCACTGAAATGTATAAATATTGACTATATCTTCTAGGAATCACTTGGAGTTGATTTTTTGTGTATGGTGTAAGGAAAGGGTCCAGCATCATTTTTTTGCACATGGGTATACGGTTATCCCAGCATTTTATAATTCATATTATTGTCTTGGCATTTTCTTGCTAATTATATGTCTTTCCCCACTAGAATATAAACTCTATGAAGGCAGGAAACTTGTCAGGTTCATCACTGTTCTGATTACTATTGCTGTGTCAGAAATCACCCCAAAATGTAGTGCCTGGAAACATCATTTTATTATGCGCATAGATTCTTTTGCTTTGGAATTTGGATAGGGCACAGTGGGAATGGCTTATGTCTGTTCCATGATGTCTGGCATCCCCGCTGGAAAGTCTCAATAACTGGAACCTGGTCATCTCTAGGCATCTTTATGCACATGTCTGGCTGTTGATTCTGGCCATCTGTTGGGCCTTTAGCTGGGGCAGTGGACTAGAGTGCTTGCATGTGGTCTATCTGTATGGCCTGGGCTTTCTCACAGCCTGGTGTCTCCAGGTAGTCGGACTTCTTACATAGAAGCTCAGGGCTCCAAAAGCTTGTGTTCCAGCACAATGTAGAGCCAATTGCCTTTTCTGACTAGCCTCAGAAGTCAAGCAGTGAATAACTGGTCATACCAGATTCAAGAAGTGGGCTCTACTTCTCAATGAGAGAATGTAGAAGAGCATATGGAATGGAAGATGCTGTCTCAGCCATCTTTGGAAAATATAACATGCCACAATTATTCTGTCTTCAGTGTCAGGCACATAATGAATGCCAATACATACTGAATGAATACCAAGCACTATGGTTTATGTTTGTTTTGAGATAGAGTCTCACTGTATCACCCAGGCTGGAGTGCAGTAGTTCAAACATGGCTTCCTTTAGCCATGACCTCCTAGGCTTAAGGGATACTCCCACCTCAGTCTCCTGAGAGTAGCTGGGACCACAGGTACATGCCACCATGCTAGCTGATTTTTTTATTTCGTAGAGTTGGGATCTTGCTGTGTTGACCAGGCTGGTCTTGAACGTCTGGACTCAAGCAGTCCTCCTGCCTCAGCCTCCCAAAGTGCTGAGATTATAGGCATGAGCCACCATGCTCGGCCTCACTATAGTATTTTCACAAACATTTCTCTCAAGTAATTTTTTTTTTTTTTTTTGACGGAGTCTCGCTCTGTTGCCTAGGCCGGAGTGCAGTGGCGGAACTCAGCTCACTGCAACCTCCACCTTCCAGGTTCAAACGATTCTCCTGCTTCAGCCTCCTGAATAGTGGGGATTACAGCACCTGCCACCACGCCTGGCTAATTTTTGTATTTTTAGTAGAGACAGGGTTTCACGATCTTGGCCAGGCTGGTCTTGAACCCCTGACCTCGCAATCTGCCCACCTCGGCCTCCCAAAGTGCTGGGAGTACAGGCTTGAGCCACCGTGCCTGGCCTCATACTGTTTTTTTTTAGCATTATTTCAGGCTATGTCATACAACAGTAAACCTGACAGACAGGGTCCCTCCCCTGGTTGATTTAAACAAGATAATTTCAGACTGTGAAAATGCTGTGAAATAATTAAGTTGGGTTAGAGAAAGCGGTATGGGCAATACACTGTACTCATCCTGGGGAACATTATGGGTGGAACTGATCAGGAGGGAAGATTAATGAATTAAAATGGGAAGCTATAATTAATCATGTGTAGGAAGTGTATCTTGTAAGAAGTCATATATGTTGTTATTATTATTATTTTTTTTTTTTTTGAGACAGCTCTGTTGCCCAGGCTGGAGTACAATGGTGCAATCTCGGCTCACTGCAACCTCCGCCTTTAGAATTCAAGCAATTCTCCTGCCTCAGCCTCCCGAGTAGCTGGGACTACAGGCACATGCCACCACGCCTGGCTAACTTCTTGTATGTTTAGTAGAGATGGGGTTTCACCATGCTGGCCAGCTGGTCTTGAACTCCTGACCTCGTGATCCGCCTGCCTCGGCCTCCTAACATGCTGGGATTACAGGCATGAGCCACTGTGCCCAGCCTGTTGTCATTCTTATTTAAGAATATTTTATATTTTGTTTATTAAAAAATATTTGGCTTAGGCTGGGCGCGGTGACTAATGCCTGTAATCCTAGCACTTTGGGAGGCCGAGGAGGGCAGATTGCCTGAGCTCAGGAGTTTGAGACCAGGCTCAAGCTATCCTCCTGCTTCTGCCTCCCTGAGAGCTGGGATTACAGGCGTGAGCCACCACACCTGGCGCTACTGAAATACAAAAATACTAAAATACAAAAAATTAGCCAGCGTGTGCCTGTAGTCCCAGCTACTTGGGAGGCTGAGGCAGGAAAATCACTTGAACCTAGGAGGCAGACATGGCAGTGAGCTGAGATCGCGCCACTGCACTCCAGCCTGGCGACAGAGCGATACTCTATCTCCAAAAAAACAGAAAAGTTTGGCTTAAATTAGATAAAACATGTTTTAAAGACTCAAAAAGTAGGCAGGAATTCTTTCCTTTTTTTTTTTTTTTTTTTTTTTTGAGATAGGATTTTGCTCTTGTTGTCCAGGCTGGAGTGTGATGGCACGATCCCAGCTCACTGCAACCTCTGTCTCCCAGGTTCAAGCGATTCTCCTGCTTCAGCCTCCCGAGTAACTGGGATTACGGGCATGCGCCACCATGTGCCCGGCTAATTTTGTATTTTTAATAGAGACGAGGTTTCTCTATGTTGGTTAGGCTGGTCTCAAACTCTCAACCTCAGGTGATCTGCCTGCCTTGGCCTCCCAAAGTGCTGGGATTACAGGTGTGAGCCACCGCACCCAGCCACAAGAATTGTTTTTTAAAATAAGAGTTTGCTTTGCATTTTCTGTTAATATAAGAGAGAAGAACTGGGGTCAATTTGGGGAGACAAGTGCATAGAGGACAATGACTGATGATATGGGCAGGACTATTAGTTGTGGATAAAAGATAGTGCATTTGGCCAGCAAGCTTGCAAGCATTTTGGGCATGGTACCTGCCTATCATGTCTTCCTTTAGCATGGTCCAAACTAGCATCAATAAACCAAAATGTTTGTGGATCTGTTAGCTCATTTATCCTTCTAACACAATTGTTGTAATGGAAAGAAACATTAGAGGGCAAAGAGGAGGAATCAGCAAAAATCCTGACTAGGGCACCTTTTTGTACTCAAGGTGTTAACAGTCTAGAGGGGATGCGTCATATGTAAAATAAATAGTTAGAAGGCAGGGTGATATGTGCTGTAATAATAGATATGGGATAAAATTTGTTAGAGCTTGGATGGCAGAAGCTCATTGTCTAGGCATGATGGCTCACTCCTGTAATCCTAGCATTTTGAGAGGCCAAGGCAGGAGGATCACTTGAGCGCAGGGGTTCGAGGTCAGGCTGGGAGATATAACAAAAGCCTGTTTCTACCAGGAAGAAAAAATAATAACCAGGCATGGTAGCATGCACCTGTGGTCCTGTTTACTTAGGAGGCTGAGGAAGGAGGATGGCTTGAGCCCAGGAATTCAAGGTTATAGAGAGCTGCGCCACTGCACTTCAGCCTGGGCGACAGAGTGAGACTCTATCTCTTAAAAAAAAGATGTGCCCTGGTGACCTGATGGTGTTGGGGAAGGGTTCATACTTCATAGAGGAGGTGACAACTGAGCTGCTGTCTTGATGAGAAATTAGGTAGTTGAGGCCTGAGAAGAGCCTTCTAGGCAGAAGGAAGGGCATATACAAAGGAATAAAGAGAATTGTAGAATGTTTCATTAAGGATGAAGATAGTGTAGGTATGATGGGGAATGGTCAGAGATACAGAGCCCAGAACAAGAAGGGTCTTACCTGTCATTGCTAGAGATTTGAAGTTGATCCTTAGGGGATGAGAAGCTACTGAAAGCTTTGTTACACTTTTTTTTTTCTCCTCCCTTTTTGTGGAACATGGGGTCTCGCTATATTGCCCAGTCAGGTCTTGAACTCCTGTGCTCAAGCTATCCTCCTGCTTCTGCCTCCCTGAGAGCTGGGATTACAGGCGTGAGCCACCACACCTGGCGCTACTGAAAGCTTTATAACAAGGAATTATGTTTCAGACAAGACTCTCTAGCAACCTTTTCAACATCAACAGTGACTAATAGGCATTGCAAATTTAATATGCCCCCAAACCTAACTCCTGACTTCTCCCCTCAACACCTGCTTTTCCTGCTTTTCCCCCATCTCAGTGAATTACAGCTTCCTTCTTTGGGTTGCCTAGTCCAGTCATTTTTGACTCTTCTTTCTCTTACACTTCAACACAGTATATCAGCAAATCCTGTTGTTTCTCACTTTAAAATATACCCAGAATTCATCCACTAATTACTACCTGCACTGCTACTGCCCCAAACTGAGCTACCAGTCATCTCTAGGCTGGGTTATTGCAATAGCCTAACTGGTCTTGCTTCCTCCCTTGCCCCTCTACAGTATATCATCCACATAACCTTCTCAGATCCTTCTGAAAGGTGAGATCACATTACCTCTGCTCTCAACTTTCTAATGGCTTCTTAAAGTCCTGTGGTAGCCACAAAGCCCTATGTGCCTGGCACTCTGCCCTCTCTCCCCTACTACCGTCCTTATTCCACTACAGCACACTGGCCTTTCTGTTCCTTGGATCTTGCTGACCTTCCTGCCTCAGAACCTTGGTATTTGCTGGACTCTCTGCCTAGAACATTGTTTCCCAAGATATCCACCTTGCTGGCTCCCTCCCTCCCTGCAGGGCTCTGCTAATGAGGCCTTCCCTAATCACCTTATATAAAATAGCAAAACTTCTCAGGCACCCTCTGTCCTCCTTAACTTACTTAACTTTGTTTCCATAGACTTACTGTCATCTGAGATTATATATTATATGTTTATTGTGTGTCTCCTTTCTAGAATGTAAGCTCTAAGAGTGGACTTTGCTTTATTCACTGTTCTGTCCCTAAGGCGTAGAACATAAAGTAACCACTTGGTAAAGTTTTGTTGATTGAATGACTTGATTTGCATTTTTTAAACTTCACTCTGGCAGCATCATGGATAATGAAGGTGAGGTGGGGAGGAGAAGAGGAATTGATACTTGGAATTGAAATAGTCTAGTCAAGAGATTTGGAGGGCATGGAGTCAAGAATTACTTGGGAAGGAGAGCTGATGAGACTTGGCAACTCATTGGATAGGAAGAAGTGAAGTATAATGACTCCCAGATTTCTGGCTTGCGTGGTTTCAGCAGATGATGTTGTTGTCAGAGATGGATGAAATAAACCGAGGAAAATATGTAGTAGGGTGACTAGCCACCCTGGGTTTGCCCAGGATGGTTGGTTTTGTCACTGAAAGTTCCACATCCCAAGAAACCCCTCAGACCCAGGCAGACAGGAATGGTCAGTCACTCTAATACATAGAGTGAAAAAATAGCTAAAGACAGAATACCAACAGTTAAGGAAAGGGAGGAGGTAGAGAAGTCTCTTCAGAAAGTAAAGCAGAAGCAGTGAGAGGGGTAGCAGAAGACTCAGTGGGGCATGGTTTTATGGAAGCTGAGAGAGCAGGCTCTTCAAGAAGAGAGTGAACAGCAATGTAGGTTGAGCTTCTCTGGGGATTTTTAAATTTCTAGCTATGCTTGGCAGAAGTATATTATAGACAGATTGTAAATGTTTCTCAAAATAAAAGACATGTCTCTTTGTTGTTTTTAAACTAGATTATTGAAGGGAGCCAACTTCTGATACTTGCTGGATCATAGAGTAAAAATGAATTTAGAGATTTTACTAAAAGCAACATTATTTCTGCATTTAGTATTTGGCTATCTCAGGTTAATGAATTATTCTGAATACTGGGCAATGTGAGTAAGCTGTTACATTCTGCAATTCTGAACCGGCATTAAATCTGAGTAATCATAAAATTGGAATTTCAGAGCTGGACATTTGTGATCATATACTTAGTAGTTCTTAATGTTTTGGAGTAATTCACTCTTCAGAATCCATTGAAAACCCTCACACATCTCCCAAAAAAGCACATAAACATTTGCTGAAACTTTAGGATTGGAGGGTTATAGATGGCCACCTGAATCCCAGGTTAAAAGAATCACTAATCTAATATAACCCTCCTGTTTACGCCTTGGGATATTAAGAGGCCTAGACAAATTAATTAACTTATCCAGAGCTTAGACAGTTACCAAACTACTTCTTGATTCAGTGTTCTATTTATTATGTATCATTGCCACTGTTTTAATGCAGGTTCAGTCCCTCTTGGTCTATTATTAATCTTATTTCAGTTAATGTACTGATCACTGTGCCAGCTCCAAACACATGGACTCTACTCCCCATGTCCTGTCTGAAGTCCATCCTTTTTTTTTTTCAACTGTCCATAGGCCAAGCAAAAATGCTACTGTTCAGAAAATTTGATGGACTACCAGATTTCATTTATCTTTTAAGTCATTAATTAAGAGTTGATCATGTAAAAACTCTTACTGATGTCTTACTTGTGCCTTCTTTTCTTTGGAATAGGATGCTGTATGATTATGTTGAAAGGAAACGAAAAGAAAATTCAGGAGCCCAACTGCATGTTACCTACTTGGTGTCTGGCAGTCTCATTCAGAATGGACATTCCGTAAGTTCTCAGAGCCTTGTAATGAGCTTAAATGTGTTTGTGTTATGAAGAGTGTTATAACATAGTTCAGGGGAGAGAAAAAAATCAAGATTCTGTGTTATAGTAGTTTTAAAGAGCTACTTGATGGTGATGATTATTTTGGATTTTTAGATTAAATCTAAAACTGAGAAGTTTGGGTAATATCTTGGCTGTGATGCAGAGACTGTATCATTATTATGCAATAAGATGTTAGGAGACTGCTTCTGTTATTCCCTATATCTCTTTTTTTCCTCTTGAAGGTATATGGAGAACAATGGTGTTTAATTTTCCACCTGTTCAAATTTCAAACCATGAATACAAGTGTTCAAAAATTATAATTTTTTTAACTGAACTTCTTTTAATTTTGAACATTCATTTGGGTAGGCTTACGTCTAAGTGCCTGAAGGGTAAGAGTTTTTGGCAGGAGCATAGCTAATGCAGTGCATAGGCTGGGAACATTTTATTCTCCTTCCTCTTCTTTTTGTAGTCCCACCTGGTATCTGGTCATCTGGCAACACAGGTGACTGCTGGATTTCATCATCCTGACTGTAAGGCTTTCTCAGGTCTGCTTGACTTTTCTCTTAACTATTTTCATGTCCCTCTCAGGGGCACAGGGATCATTCTATTACTCCCATGCCTTGGTGGCTACCAGAAGCTCTGCTAAGATATCTTGTTCCCTCTCCTGCACCAAACTGGGCCTTGGGAACTTTAATAATTCCCCCTCTCTGGCGTCCTCCCAAAAGTAAGGCATACCTCTTCTGTTCTCACTTCCTCAAACTTCCTATCTGAAGGTTCTTTCGGGCATAAAAAGCCCCATGGGACTTGGCCCAAAGGTCAGGTGGCCGCTTCTCAGAGATCCGCTGTTTTCCTCTTTCCTTTGATTTTCCCTCAGAATCATAAGTTCAGAGCCCTGATTTGTCAAAATATTGACTGGATTTGTTTTTTAGCGATTGAGTCCCCAGCATGTGAGATTTAAAACTGAAATGCCAGGCTGGGTACAGTGCCTTGCTGCTGTGATCCCAGCCCTTTGGGAAGCTGGGTTGGGAGAATCACTTGAGCCCAGGAGTTCGAGACCAACCTGGGCAACCTAGCGAAACCCCATCTCTACAAAAAATACAAAAATTAGCCAGGCATGGTGGCATGCGCCTGTAGTCCCAGCTACTCAGGAGGCTGAAGTGGGAAGGATTACTTGAGGCCATAAGGTCAAGGCTGCAGCGAGCTGTGATTGCGCCACTGCACTCCAGCTTGGGTGATATAAAATAAAACTGGAACGTCAATTTAGTAATTTACAAGGAGCAACAAAACTGCTAGAGGGATCCTATCCTTATACTCTCTAGCCAACATATTCTTTTCTTGTTTCCAAGCTATTTGGCAAGCCAAATGATAACCAAGATATTTGCAAGTGTAAAATAAGATGTCATTTATATCTCTGAAGCAAAGTTAAACAGACGTAACTCATTTACTTGCAGAGATAAACCTGCCTCCAGAGTTCTGCCACTGTAGAGCTCTTGAATGGATACTGTCAAAGTTTATGGCTGATTGTCATATTTTCTTCTGTTTCCAGGGTCAACTGACCTTCTGTCTCTTTCTCTAATTAGTCAGTACCCTCAATCTAGTCATATTCAAGCCTTTACTTGGAAATCATTATGTTTCTTTAAAGCAGTGCTTTTTATTCTTTTTTTGGTCATTGATCCCCTTGAGAATCTGAAAGAAAAATGCATATGTTGACATTCATAAAATTTTGAGTTCATGGATCTTCTGGAATAGGATCCAAAGTTAAGAATTTACGTTTTGAGATAATGTAGATTTTTACTCAAACTGACCCATTATAACAGGGGCTCTTAATTTAGGATTCTTAGATGGTCTTCATGGTTGGTCTTCAAAGTCTAGAGTTTTCTTAGATGACACTGAAAGTGTTCAAATTGTGTTCCTCAGTGCATATTTCCGAGACCATTTTTCAAAATGATGTATAACCTATAATCAGTTAAAAACTAAGCCATGGCTTGCTTATAAAAAGGTCTTCTGTTTCTAAGTATAAGATGGCATTTAAATTCTGCCTATCTTTTTTTAGCAGCAGAGTGCTTTTTCAAACAAAATCTTAATCAGAGTTCTATATATAAAATTTATTAAGAGTGGGGTTGCTGTGGTTGAAGTGGTTGTGAGGATTTCAGAGCCCTGGACCTGCCCTCCCAATAGCCTCACTGGGAAGCTCTGTGGAACCCTGTAGAACGAACTGACCAAATGTGGATGCTTACCTATGCCTTTTTTCCCTTAAAGGGAATCCTCCTAAGGAAAGGCAGATTATTAAGCAATATGATCAGGTTTTGTTCTTTTAATTCTTCTATTAATAATTTCCTTTTTAAGTTTTTAGTGCTTCTAGAAAGAAAAAAGACATTACGCAGCTTTGTATGGAATTTATTATTATTATTATATATTTATTTATTTATTTATTTATTTATTTATTTTTTGAGACCGAGTCTTGCTCTGTCGCCCAGGCTGGAGTGCAGTGGCGTGAACTCAGCTCACTGCAAGCTCTGCCTCCTGGGTTCACGTCATTCTCCTGCCTCAGCCTCCTGAGTAGCTGGGACTACAGGCGCCCGCCACCACGCCCGGCTAATTTTTTTTTTTGTATTTTTAGTAGAGACGGGTTTCACCATATTAGCCAGGATGGTCTCGATCTCCTGACCTTGTGATCCACCCACCGCGGCCTCCCAAAGTGCTAGGATTACAGGCGTGAGCCACCGCGCCTGGACTTATTTTTATTTTTTATTTATTTATTTATTTTTTGAGACAGGGTCTCACTTTGTCATCCAGGCTATAGTGCAGTGGCAGAATCTCGGCTTACTGTAGCCTCAATCTCTTGGGTTTAAGCCATCTTCCTGCCTCAACCCCCCAAGTAGCTGGGATTACAGGTGCTTGCCACCACGCCCAGCTAATTTTTGTACTTTTTGTAGGGATGGGGTTTTGTCCTGTTGCCCAGGCTGGTCTTGAACTTCTAAGTTCAAGTGATCTTGAACTTAAGTGATCTGCCCTTCTCGGCCTTTCAAAGTGCTAGGATTACAGAAGTGAGCCACTGTGCCTGGCCTGGATTTTTTTAAATGTAAATAATTTTTATTTTTCCAATGATTATTATAAAAAATGTTTAACAATATATAGAACGTGAAAGCTTCCTTCAAATCTCATCCCAGAGATTCTTCCAGAGGATTATTTGAAAATTTCAAGGAAATGTTTGGTTGGTTCTTTTTGTAATGTGAAGAACTGTCAACCTGATCTATGCTTTATGGGTTCCCTGTTAGCTTTTCATCTAATGATTTTAGCTGAGATTAGTTTTAATCATTGCCTAAATCATTAATTCACTAAAGGTTACAAAATGGTGATGTTTTGCCTTGAACTCCTGGGTCCAAGCGATCCCCTTGCCTCAGCTTCCTCAGTAGCTGGGACTGCAGACATGCACCACCATGCCCAGCTTATTTTTTATTTTTATTTTTATTAGAGACGAGGTCTCACTATGTTGTCCAGACTGGTCTTAAACTTCTGGGCTCAAGTGATCCTCCTGCTTCGGCCTCCCTAAGTGCTGGGATTACAGGCATGAACCACGGCACCTGGCCTTTCTGTTTTTTTAGCTGTAATTTTTCTGTGAATAATTTTCTCTCATCAACTAGCCGTGTTTTCCCTGTTATGCTAAGAACAGAGGGCTTACCCCCTCCTAGGCTCTGGGTTTGTGGATGCTCCCTAACTCCCGTGTCCACTTTAATAGGAACCCATTGAATCAGAGCTCCACTCTGGTCTGCATTGTTTTAGCACCAGCTGGCATTTCCATTCTGTTGTTTTTATGTACTTTCAGTATCCCCCAGGGCAGTATATAGCCACACGGACCTGTCTGGTCTATTCAGATCTTCTCATGAGGTGCGAATTACTGTTTTTAGGGCTCTTACTGCAAAGCTGCATTGGTTTTGAGTGGTTCATTCCTAATGGTCTGTAATTTTTATAATAAGCTCTGTAATTTTTAGTGTGCAGTTTTACGGAACATGACTTTTTTCTTCCCTTGAATAAACCAATGAAAATGACATTTTTAGGAGTGCCAGTTTTAAGAGAAAATGCATTATGAGAACATTAATAATCCCAGCTCAAACTTATGGTTACACTTTTTAAAAAACTTATTTGATGTTTAGATTGCTGTTTTTTTTATGTTGTGAATTTTGGTGGTTCCGAACATTAACAAAAATATCTATTTGCTTTAGACAAATACACGAGGTTTAGAAAAGCAAAACCTGTATTATTACCAACAATTTGATTACTGAAAATAAGATTTCTTTGCAGTTCTTTGTCTGTAGGATATGTCCTGCTAAGGATGCACAGTCATCCTGTATTTTAGAATCACTTGAAATAATTCCTCACTGTACTGAAGCCACCAATTCAATATCTAGTTCAATTCAATTTTTTTTTTCCATTTTGCTTTCAATTGATAGGTTCCCTCCTTTCCCTTAGAGGTAACTGTTACATTGAGTTTGCCTTCTCCTTCCATTGTTTTTGATATATATATATATATATATATATATATTTTTTTTTTTTTTTTTTTTTTTTTTGAGATGGACTTTTGCCTGTTGGCCAAGCATTGGAGTGCAGTGGCGTGATCTCAGCTCACTGCATCCTCTGCCTCCCAGGTTTAAGCAGTTCTCCACCTCAGCCTCCCGAGTAGCTAGGATTACAGGCGTCCACCGCCACGCCCTGCTAATTTTTTTTGTATTTTAGTAGAGACGGGGCTTTGCCATCTCGGCCAGGCTGATCTTGAACTCCTGACCTCGTGATCCATCTGCCTCGGCCTCCCAAAGTGCTGAGATTACAGGCGTGAGCCACTGCGCCTGGCCTGTTGTATATATTTTTAATATAAGAAAATATATATTCATTTTGCCTCTCTTTGTTAGATAAATGTTTTCATACGTGCAAACTATTTTACACTCTGCTTTTTTTTACATAACAGATTCAGAGCATCACTCCACAGCAGTTATAGAAATATTCCTCATTAATTATTACAGCCACATAGTGCCACATTGATAGATATACCTTAGCTTATTCAGCAATCCCTTATTGGTAGTTGTTATTTATGATCTTTGGCTATTACAAATATTAATAGTGCTGTAGTGAATAGCTTAGTGTCTGTGTGTTTTGTATATTTTTGCTAGTGTGTTTTAGGGTTACATTCCTAGAGTAGGATTGCTCGGTCAAAGGGTGAGTGCATGTGTACTTTTGTTGGATGTTGCCAAATATCACTCTGCTTCTTGTTCCCACCAACAATGTATGAGAGTGCCTGTTTCCATATAGCATTATGTTATAATATGTTTTAGGGCTATTTATATTTCTTTTTCTGTGAACTGTCTGTTCCTACCACTTGCCCTTTTTTTTTTTTTTCCTTTTTTGAGACGAAGTCTTACTCTGTCACCAGGCTGGAGTGCAGTGGCACGATCTCAGCTCACTGCAACCTCTGCCTCCCAGGTTCAAGTGACTCTCCTGCCTCAGCCTCCCGAGTAGCTGGGACTACAGGCATGCACCACCATGCCCAGCTAATGTTTGTATTTTTAGTAGAGTCAGGTTTTCACCATGTTGACGAGGGAGGTCTCCATCTCTTGACCTCGTGATCTGCCTGCCTCGGCCTCCCAAAGTACTGGGATTACAGGCATGAGCAGCCACATCTGGCCTTTCTTGCCCATTTTCTAAAGAGTTGTTAGTCTTTGTTTTCTTTAATTTTAGAAGTTGTGTATTAACCCTTTGTGATGTAAGTTGCAGTTTTTTTCCGCTTTATCATTTGTTTTTGTACTTACGTTTTTTTTTCATTTAAAAGTTGCTTTTTTAAAATAGATTATTTCAGTTATTTCTGGATTTTGAATTATACTTAGGAAATGTTCCCTCTTTCTTAGCTTATAGCAGGTTATAGAATTCACACATGTTTTCATGTGCATATATGTGTTCTTCTCTTTTTTTTGAGACCAAGTCTCACTCTGTCACCCAGGCTGGAGTGCAGTGGCACAATCTCAGCTCATTGCAACCTCCGCCTCCCAGGTTCAAGTGATTGTCCTACCTCACCCCCCTGAGTAGCTGGGATTACAGGTGCCTGCCACCATGCCCAGCTAATTTTTGTGTTTTTAGTAGAGACAGGGTCTCACCATGTTGGCCAGGGTGGTCTCAAACTCCTGACCTCAGGTGATCCACCCACTTCGGCCTCCCAAAGTGTTGGGATTACAGGCGTGACCCACCACACCCGGCCTTATTTTTTACATTTAAATCTCTAATCCATTTAGAATTTATTTTGGTATATGATGTGAGGAACAGATCCAATTTTTATCTGGTTCCATGTGATTATACAGTAATTCTTATTAAATCACTCACTAAAAAGCCTTTGCTCACACTGATTTGAGATGCTGTATTTTTTTAATTGTAGTACTGAAATCTGTGCTAGATCACTTTCCTTAACCTTATTGAGAAGTTTTAAGATAAGCAAATTATTATTTTTTTTCCTGAAAGTAAGCAAATTAAAAGTGAGTCTGACTTTATTAAATTATAACATATGTTTTAAGGAGTGCCTGGTGTTTTCCTAATTTCACATCCAAGCACAATTGAATTATTGGAGCAAGGAAACTAAAATTGCAGATTCTTACATTAAGCACTAATAAAGTGTTATTTTCTTACAGTGCCACAAGGTTGCAGTAGTGAGAGAAGATAAATTGGAAGGTAAGTGTTTTAGTGACTTAGCAAGTTTTTCCTCTTATGGCATCAGTGTAGGTGCAATAAAAAATCTGCCTCTAACATCTGCGTATAATATATTTAGCTATTTAACTGAATAGCCCAATATTCATTTTATGAGTAGTTTTTAAAGCATGTTAAAATATGATACTACATCTGCCTGACTTCCCATTTTTAGGGCCAATAGTTGCTGACATTTATAAAGCACTTTTATCACAGAATTTCAAAACTCGTGACACATGCAGAAACTGTTATGAATACCATATGAGCTACCTCATCAACTGTGAAAAGACAGTGGCAGTTTTTTTAGGAAACAAGTTAAAGAATGCTTTTCTGGAAGTCAGAAAGACTTCTAAATAACTTCTAAATTAAATTTGTCTAACTGTTTCAAGACTATCAGTGCTACCGTTGGATTGTTTAAAAACCCAATTCAAAGGAATTTAATAACAGTCAGGGTCCTCATGATCTTGGACCTATATCTCAAGATAAAACCTGTACTGTTGTACTTTGTATATAAAGGCTCCTTGGCCTGCAGGCCCCATTTCACAGATTGGGACTGAGGAGGGTGGAGGGCAGCCACGCCAGGGACACAAAAAATATGTGTATTTTAAAAAGAAAGAGTTCCTGTCCATGGGGGTAGGGTGGGGGTATTTTACCAAATTTAACTCTGAAGTATTCAGAGTGGTGGGTTTGTCCACTTTTTACTTTCTGAATTCCCACAGTGTTAAGCAAAGCAAAATTTCTTTATTCTGTAGATATGTAATGATGATCTACTATGTGCCAAGCTCTATACTAGGCACTGGGGACATGGAACAAGTTAGCTGCAATCCCTTCCTTCGCGGAACCTAACATTTATTCTTGTGGTGTTCTTTTGTGTTTCTCTTCCGTAGACTTATCTAGTTAGTAGTGTTTTTATTACAGAGTTGCTTTCTCTAAACTAAAATTGAAATATATAAATGAATATTCTCAGATAGAAATTACTTAGTACTCTTTAATTATATGCTATAGTGTAAGGCTCTTTTCTGACCAAAAGAAAAAGATCATCGTAGTCATCATCAATCATTAATATTTACTAAGTGTCCACTGGATGAGTGATACCCTCTCAGGTGCTGTCCTTAGAAATGACTCACCACCACCTACCTTGTCATAATGTCCCCATTGCAGACAGAAGAGTTGATGTTTCACTGTATATGTGGCTGTGTGGCCTTTAGAGTTTTTTGGACCACCACAGATTACAAATGCTTTAATGCAGAAGGGTTTCTTGTTAAAGTCCCCACATGCTATGAAGTTTGTGTATTAACTGACTGCTTTTCCTGTTGACTTGTAGCAGTGAAGTCCAAGCTAGCTGTGACTGCCAGCATCCATGTGTACAGCATCCAGAAAGCCATGCTAAAGGACAGTGGGCCTCTGTTCAATACTGACTATGACATCCTTAAAAGCAACTTGCAGAACTGCAGCAAGTAAGCGTCTTAATGTTCCTTGTGGGCTTCTTTACGAATTGATTTTGTAAGATGTTTACACAGTGGCTGCCTCTTAAGAGTGAATGCCAAGTCTAGTAAAACCCCATTTATCTTGCAGTAAGAAACATGCCTGGTTTTATTAGTACATCATAAGGTGAAAAATAGCAGCCACAACCCATATTGAAAACCCCAGTGGACTCTCCATAAATCTATTTCTCATGTATTTATCCTGTCACTGCCACCAGAAATGTTTGTCGTGCCCTCTCTAACTCCCTTACCCAGTCTCTGCTTGTCTAAATCCTACCCATCCTTCAAGAACCAGTTCAAACGTTGTCCTTAAAAAAACAGTTCCTAATTTGATATCCCTCTACTTTTCATCCAAAAGCAACTTTTTCTTGAGCTTCCATAGCCAGGATCAGGTTTTTTTTTAAATCTTTTGTATCCTTAACAGCACAAGGAGGTAACGGACTATAATGCGTGTACATTTTGGAAATTGGTGGTCACAGGCTTGATTTGTGGCTTTGCTGCTTAGTAGCCCAGTGGCATTGGACAAATTACTTAAACTCTTTGAGCTTTGGTTTCTTTGCCTTTAAATTCAATGTAATAATGTCTCCTTTGTGGGGTTGTATTGATAATTCAGATCAGTTCCCCAGACATACATTGAGCACCTACTACTTTGACAGGTACTGAGCAAAATCATTTGAATTCATTCAGCAAATAACTCATGAGTACCTATGACATACCATACAGTATAGAGTGAATGTGCCCGCGTACCTTTTCATGTAACTGATGGGAGACAGGCAGTTATGGTACAGTGTAAGAGTACTGTAATAGGAGGAATATTGGGGGAAGATGTTGGCAGGGGCACTTATCTCCCACTTTTGGATGGATAGAGTGAGGGGACAAGACTGTTATGACTTATGACACAGAAGGTTATGATATCTCAGTTGAGGCCTGAAGGCCCAGTAGAAATAGCCAGGCAAAGGAAAAATGAGAGACTAAGGACAGAGCTAAGAGAGAAAACATGCTTGTGCAGAACCATGATCGTTTTCTATGGGTGCAACTTAGAGTGAAAGGTAGGAAATAATTAGATAGAAGACTAAAGAGGCCAAGCAGGAATTACATTATGCTTTGACTACTAGGATAAAAATTTAGACTCTATTCTGAGAGCGCTGGGGAGCCACTGAAAATATTTAAGCAGATGGAGTGAAATTATCAAAATTGCATTTTAGAAAGATTGCTCTGGTTGCAGTATTGAAGATAAATCAGAAGAGAATAATCTGGAGGCAAGGCCATCAGGGAGGAGAAATGTGGCAGTAATCCAGGTGGATATGACAGTTTTCTAATGTGAAGTTGTGCTGTTGGGGATGGAGAAGTATGAAGGTTAATGAGTCATGACCATCAAAAAACCTCAGTTTGGCCGGGCACAGTGGCTCACGCCTGTAATCCCAGCACTTTGGGAGGCCGAGGCAGGTGGATCACGAGGTCAGGAGATTGAGACCATCCTGGCTAACACGGTGAAACCCCGTCTCTACTAAAAATACAAAAAATTAGCTGGGCACGGTGGCAGGCACCTATAGTCCCAGCTGCTCAGGAGGCTGAAGCAGGAGAATGGCGTGAACACGGAAGGCAGAGCTTGCAGCGAGCAGAGATCGCTCCACTGCACTCCAGCCTGGGCGACAGAGCAAGACTCCAGCTCAAAAAAAAAAAACCTCGATGTATGGTAGTGGTTGGGGACAAGGTGTGTGGGGGTAGGGGATGGTGGAAGACAGCCTTTCTTGGTATTGAAAGGTTGATACCCATGCTTCTGGCTTGGGCAGCTGGGTACTAAGAAGGGGAATATAACAGGAGGAGCAGGCTTTAGGAGAGATAGAAAAATGACAAATTGGGTTTTAGAGATGTTGAGTTTGAGAAGCTTGTGAGAAATCCAAGTGAGGATGTCCATCGCAAAAGATAGGTGAATCTAGAGCTAAGGAGAGAAATCTGGGGTAAAGATAGAGATTTTGAAATCAGAATAGTAAATGGGCCATAGCAGTAGATAGAGTTATCAGAGAGAATGTATAGAATGAAAGAAGGGCAGAAAGTAAAACTCTAGGCCAAAGTACTAGTTGTCTGACCTTGGGCAAATTATTTAACCTCTCAGTGCCTCCCTGTTCTTGTCAGTAAAGCTGACAGTAGTACCAGCCAGATAGGGTTGTAGAGGATTAAATGGACTATTATATGTTAAGCACTTAGAATAGCACTTGGCACATAGTAAGCACTATTTAATGATAGCTGCTTTTCAAGGGAAGAATAGAAAAAGAGGGGCCCAAGGGGAGCCACCAGAGATAAGAGTATATGGGGTTTCAGCCCCTAAGGAAAGAGGTTCAAGTAGGAGGAACCAGTCAACAATGTCAAACAATGCTGAGAAGCCAAGTAAGTTAGGAAGTGAAAATTGTCCATGACATTTAGTGATAGCCTTGGTAAGAGCATTTTCAGTGGAGTGACCAGATTCTGGTGAGCTAAGTAAATGGGGACAGAGGAAGTGAGACAGCAAATATGGACAGCTCTTTCCAGGAGATTAGACTGCAAAGCAGAAAAGAGGGTGGTAGCTAAGGAGGGATTGAGACGGGAAGGATATATACATTTCTTAAGTTGAGAATGACTTGAACTTGGGTTGTTAGAAAGGTGCTGTAGGAAGAAAAGGTTGAAAATCCTGGGGAGGTGGTATGACTGATAAAGATGGGTCCTCAAGGAGAGAAAGATATAGAATTGCCATAGTTTCTATAAGTTCCATGAGAATAGGGATCGTGTCTAAATTGTTAACTATATACCCAAAATAGTGCCTGGCACACTAATAAGTAGTTACTGAGTGAATTAATGATAGACATTAGTTCTTTTTTTTTCTTTAGCTCAAAACCTTGAGTATAATAAGCATACAAATATTTATTAAATAAATATATGGCCAAAGAGGAATAATTTACAAGTCTCTTATCTTTTAGGGAAGGATTTCAAGAAAATATTAACACCCTGATAAGTTTATTTGAAATATATTACTAGATTTCAAAAAATTTTAAAATCTAGTTGGGTATTCCAGGCTCTAAAAATCAGTTCCCTTGTTATATCTAGCAAGTAAGCAAACAAGAATAAAAGTGACGCAAAAGTTCAAAATGAAATCTGCCAGGGCCCACTAAAATAAACATGGCAAGTAGAAATGTGGTAATAGGAAGCACTTCAGTGAAACTTTACCTAAATACTTAAAGTATCCTCAGTAGAAAAGTGAATTTATCTCCAACAAATGAGTTTGTATTTAGTCCTGAGAATTATGGGCCAACTGAGATCTCACTTATGATTTCGTGTGTTTTAAGAAGTGCCGTGACATGAAGAGAGTTGAAATTTTAGGATTGAGCAGAGATCTCTTGTCATCAGACATACTCCTAGCCTAACTCGGTCTCTTCCTCATTGCCAATTCCTGGTCCTGACCCTATGGTGTAGAATTCAGACCAGAGGAGAAAGAGTTGTTTCAAGGCCAACTTCAGACGTTGACAGTGAAATAAAACATTACTCTTTTCCTTGTATATGGAAGCACTGCAAGGTCAGAGAGGAAGAGCAGTGGGTGAAAGCAAATGATTTCCGTCTGTTCTTAACTCTGATGCATAAAAGATGTGTGTAAATACAGAGTTTTCTGATGAAGACCATAATAAATCAGTGGAAGATTTTTGGAGCTTTTGACTCTAGCTTTGGGGCTGCCCAGTCTAAAGTTACTTCTGAGATGAAATGATGTATCAGGGATTTTTTTTTTTCATTAGGCCAGGTATTCTAGCAGTTAATCTTGAAGTTGTGCCTGGTTGATCTTTTAAGATAATTGCCATCACCACATAGTTTAGAAATCTCCCACCCCAAGTTGAAGGTGATACACTAAAGAAGGGAGAGAAGCCAGAAGCCTCACTTTCATTCACTTAGTCATTCTTTCAACATGTCGTTTCCAGCACTTTTCTATGTGCCAGGTCTTGAGCTGGGTGCCTGAAATAAAAAAGATAAATAAGACTTCAAGGAGGTCTTACATATGCTCAATAAGCAAGACTGGGAAAAATAAAATATTTTTCTTTGTTAGAAAAAGCTGGGGAACTTTGCTTTAAGTACAATCCTTTGAGAAGGCTAAATCAATTACCCATTCACAATGTGGAATGTTACATTATGGATTTGTGTGAAACGGCACTTCTATAATGATTAGAGAGAGATGTATGTTCCCTTTAATATGCCACACAAGCTGTTCCACCAATTTTCTTCTCTTGGCCTTGGGCATACTTACTTGTCCGGTGCTGTTAGTATTATTAGAAATTATTAACAAATGGCTGTAAAGGACTATAGGTTATAGGAGCCAGTGGCTCTGCTTCCAGCTTCTCCCATTTTTTTTTGTTTTTCATTTTGAGACAGAGTATTGCTGTGTCGCCTAGGCTGGAGCGCAGTAGTGTGATCTTGGCTCACTGCAACCTCTGCCTCCTGGGTTCAAGCAATTCTCTTGCCTCAGCCTCCTGAGTAGCTGGGACTACAGGCGCGTGCCACCACGCCCAGCTAATTTTTGTATTTTCAGTAGAGACGGGGTTTCACCATGTTGGCCAGGCTGGTCTTGAACTCCTGACCTCATGATCCACCTGCCTTGGCCTCCCAAAGTGCTGGGATTACAGGCGTGAGCCACTGCACCTGGCCTCTTCTTTGTTTTAAAGCATGATTTATTTATTTATTTTGAGACAGCATCTCACTCTGTTCCTAGGCTGGAGTTGAGTGATGAGCTCATGGCTCACTGCAGCCTTGACCTCCTGGATTCAGGTGATCCTCCTACCTCAGCCTCCTGAGTAATCAGGGCTATAGGCATGCGCCACTACACCCAACTAATTTTTGTATTTTTTGTAGAGACAAGGTTTCACCATGTTGCCCAGGCCCATCTTAAATTCCTAGGCTTAAGCGATCCGCCCGCCTCAGGTTCCCAAACCGCTGGGATTACAAGCGTGAGCCAATGCGCCCAACCCTACAGCATGATTTACTCTGGCCAAGAGAGTTGCCAGGAAATTTGTTAATATTTAAAGCTTAGTTTTGATTCAGTCAATATTGCAAATCTAGCCCTATCAGAGGAAGGTCTTTAAAAACAAAGGCTATTTCATTTCCCAAGGATAATGAAATTACTGCATCTTTTATTATTGTTGGTTGCATTCCTACTCTTTTGAATTAGAATACTTTTATCAAAAACAAGAATATTCAATTAGTGGTAGAAGGCACCTAATTCCAATCCTATCTATTACTAACTAGATGTATAACCTAGTAAAAGTGACTCACTTCTCTCTAATATTTGTTTCTTTATGTAATAGAGAGTTTCATACATTTTTCTAAAGTCGATTCTAAACAATATTAGAGTTAAGTATTGTGTGGAAGAAGCAAGAGTTTGAAAATAAAGTTTTATACTGACATTAGTTTTTTTTTTCTTTTTTTGTTGAACCACCCAAGAATGCATATGCTGACATTAACTTAATGTAACATTTCTGTCCCCAGATTTAGTGCTATACAATGTGCAGCTGCCGTCCCTAGAGCTCCTGCTGAATCCTCTTCGTCTTCCAAAAAGTTTGAGCAGTCACATCTTCACATGTCAAGTGAGACACAAGCCAACAATGAGCTGACCACCAATGGTCATGGCCCACCTGCATCCAAGCAGGTTTCCCAGCAGCCCAAAGGAATTATGGGAATGTTTGCCTCCAAAGCTGCTGCTAAAACCCAAGAAACCAACAAGGAAACGAAAACAGAGGCTAAAGAAGTAACAAATGTAAGTCTTCTTTGAAGATACCCCTTCATTGCAGCTCAGAGTGGGTAACTAGAAAAGCATTAATGGTTGCAGTGGTAGTAGTTTATTTATATAAGATTCTGATATTCAGTTCTGATTTTTCTACTTTAGTTTGAACCCTTTAATACTTGATATTGTTATCTGAAAGAGTTCTTTTGCTTTTGATAATGATTCTCACCAAACCTTGGATTTCCTTTGCAAAATGGTAATGCCTACCTTGTGCACATTACAAGATTGTTGTGAAACCCAGATGAAAACATGTGAAAACACCTCGAGAATTGTTGACATTCAAAAAAATGTTTATTTGCAATATGTCTTTCTGAGGAACATCTTATATTCTGGGCTTTGCAACATATACCTTCCTTCCTAGTGTATTTCCCATTCTTATACTTTATGCAGGTTTTTTTGTTTTGTTTTTGCCTTATTTGCTTCTCTTAGATTTTTATTGTTCAGTCATCTGAACTAACTCAAGGGCATTGACTTAAGAAAAGTATCATTAAGATACTATTTTAAAAATCCAGAAAAGCATAATTATTGTTGTTACTATTATTATTATCACTGTCATTTTCCAGTGTCAAGTGTATTTAATTCAGATCACTGTCATTTTCAAGCGTCTGTCTTGGGAAAGAAGAAGGATGGAGGAAAACACTAACGTTTATTGAATTTCAACTGTGTGCCAGTGTCTTTGTTTAAATCCTCTTATCAGTTCTGTGAGGGAGATATTAACTATTTCCCTTTCGCATATGGTAAAACTGAAACCTAGACTTAAGTAATTTGCCTGGAGCCCATATTGCTACTAAATGGTGGGAACCAGGAATTCAGATCTACTTCTGATGATTAAAAATGTAATGTTTTAGGTTTTCCCGCTTTGTGTACATACTGCCTCTGATCTTTTTTAATTCTGTCAAATTAAATAGTTTTTAAATGTGCTCAAGAAAAGTTTAGCTATATCCATGGATAATTAATTTTATAAGATATATAAGAAACTAAGCTTTAGAGATTAACACCAGTTACTGTCTGGTGTGGATTATTGTTCTAGATTTGTTCTTATATCTAACACCTACGCGTTTTGGCATGATTATATAGAGACTATACCATCGCAACAGTTTGCTATAGAAGAGTTTGTTTGAGACTGCTACTTCATGAACAGCCTAAATGCCAGCAAAAAATCATATGTGTTTTCTGTGCTTGTAGGCATCTGCAGCAGGCAACAAGGCACCAGGGAAAGGGAATATGATGAGCAACTTTTTTGGAAAAGCTGCTATGAGTAAGCATGTTCTTACCTCACTTTGACTAACGAATGAATGTTAATGTAATGACATATTATACCTGAAGTGAAAGCCACTTTGTCTAGTTTTTGCCAATCCAAGAGACTACCTGCATTCTAACAAATTTCCAGTGTACTGCCCAATATATTGATGAAAGTAACTCAGCTAGAACTTTATGGGTGAGTTAGGCTCAGTTGAGATCTCTTTGAGAGCAGTTTATTATTCCTGGTTTAACTTCCTGCCTTGAAAAGATAATGAACTATTTGCTTCATAGGGCCCTTGAAAATGGGTGATTAAAATAAAAGGGAGGCTGCCTGGCTACGCAGTATAGTGTTGAGGTTAATAACGTGGATGCTAGAGTCAGTTTGCCTGGTGTGACCTTTATTTCTTCTATCTCTCAAGGGTCCACAAAAGCAAATATTTTGCCTTTCTTCAGTTATTTTTTGCAGATTACTCACAGTAATGAATTAGACTTCCAGTGTGAATTAGAAGGGCCCAAGTAGTAATGGACATTTAAAAATCTTTTTTGAGAAAGCAAAAATCTTCTTTATTTTTAAAAAGATACTTAAGTAAGAATTCTTTCGTATGGAAAGAACCAGTAGTCACATATTTTCATACTTCTCATATCAAGTGTACATCCCCTGAGAGTATGTGGTAGAATACCAGGAAGAATGCAGGAGCCACAGGATAATTATGGCACACTTTCTTGGAGCATCAGTTTTACAAAGATTTTTCAAGGAGGCATTTTGTTACATGCCTATGCAAGCAAAATTAGTTAGAATTCTGCCTTTCCATGATGGCTAAATTGGTGGTCACGGGAGGGATTGAAGTGACTTTTTTTTTTTTTTCATATTCTGCTTATGTAAGGGTGACAGTTTTTGTGTTTGCTGTAAAAGCTATCAGAGAACGTTTTTGTGTTCTTGCAGCTCAGAATGGGTAACTAGAAAAGTGAATGGAAAATGTGATACTTAAAGGTTACTCGGAAGCATTATTGTATTACTGCAGGCACAGTTGGTGCACAGGGAATGCTTCCTACTTCTGTTAAAACAGGTCTCCAACCCACAGTCCACTGATGGGTAGCAGTCCGTGGCCTCTTGGGAACCGGGTGGCACAGGAGGTGAGCAGCAAATGAGCAAGCGTTATTATGCCTGAACTCCACCTCCTGTCAGATCAGTGGTGGCATTAGATTCTTATAGGATTGTGAACCCTATTGTGAACAGCACATGTGAGGGATCTAGATTGCGGGCTCCTTATGAGAATCTAATGCCTGATCTGAGGTGGAACGGTTTCATCCTGAAACCACCGCCCCCGACCCCCCACCGCCGCCCACCACCACCCCTGTCTATGGAAAAATTGTCTTCCATGAAACTGGTCCCTGGTGCCAAAAAGGTTGGGGACTGCTGTGTTAAAGCATCATGCTGTCACTGACCTGCCTGGCTGTTATGGTTTTTTTTAAAAAAATCAAACCATACAGAAGTATGCTTATTTAAATCATGTGTTTAGTTAGCAAATAGATTGAGCACCTGCTATGTGCATGGCATTGTTATGCAGTGGTGATACAATAGAGGAAAAAGACAAACAAGGTCCCTGCCCTCAAGTCCTTATATTCTACTGAGAGAGATGGACAAATAAATATGGAAAAAAAGCCAGGCATGGTGGTACGTGCCTGTAATCCCAGCTACTCGGGAGACCGAGGCAGGAGATTTGCTTGAGCCCATGAATTCAAATCCAGCCAAAAATGTAGAAGACCTCATTTCTTTTTATTTATTTATTTATTTATTTTATTATTATTATTATACTTTAAGTTTTAGGGTACACGTGCACAATGTGCACGTTAGTTACATATGTATACATGTGCCATGCTGGTGTGCTGCACCCATTAACTCGTCATTTAGCACTAGGTATATCTCCTAAAGCTATCCCTCCCACCTCCCCCCACCCCACAACAGTCCCCAGAGTGTGATGTTCCCCTTCCTGTGTCCATGTGTTCTCATTGTTCAATTCCCACCTATGAGTGAGAATATGCGGTGTTTGGTTTTTTGTTCTTGCGATAGTTTACTGAGAATGATGATTTCCAATTTCATCCGTGTCCCTACAAAGGACATGAACTCATCATTTTTTATGGCTGCATAGTATTCCATGGTGTATATGTGCCACATTTTCTTAATCCAGTCTATCATTGTTGGACATTTGGCTTGGTTCCAAGTCTTTGCTATTGTGAATAGTGCCACAATAAACATACGTGTGCATGTAAGACCCCATTTCTTAAAAAAATAAAGGGAAAGGAAAGAAAGAAAACATTTGAATAGTGGATGATTGTAATTGCTAGGTAGGAGTAATAGGGTGTTATGATGGCATGTAACACGGTGAGGGGGAAAACCTGGATAAAATAAAATACTATTAAATATTAATCTAAAAATTGCTTACAAAGTTAATTTATTTGACATTTCTTCAAGGCTGAATGTTCAGAGTAAAATTATGACTTTTTTATTGTATTCGACACATGACAAGATCATTACAATGAAAATGAAGCTTGAGAATTGGATGAAGAGAGTTCACTGTGGGGACTTGAACCATTTAAAACTTAATACTGGACAGTAACAAGTGTTGGCAAGGATGTGGAGAAATTGAACCCTTGTGCTCTGCTGTAGGGAATGTAAAATGATGTGTACTCACTTTGGAAAATGATGTGGCAGTACTTCTAAAAGTTAAACATAGAGTTTACCCAGCAGTTCCTCTCCTAGATATCTACACAAGGGAATTAAAACTGTATGTCCACACAAAAACTTGTACAAGATGTTCATAGCAGCATTCTTCATAATAGCCAAAAATTGAAACAATCCAAAAGTCTGTCATCTGATGAATGGATAAACAAAGGTGGTATATCCAGACAATGAAATGTTATTCAGCTATAAAAAGTAATGAAGTACAGATGGATATGTGATATGACATGGATGAACCTTGAAATATTAAGTGAAAGAAGCCAGATAGAAAAGATCATATATTATTTCATTTATATGAAACGTCCAGAATAGGCAGGTCTATAGAGACAGAAAGTAGGGGCCGGGTGTGGTGGTTCACGCCTGTAATCCCAGCACTTTGGGAGGCCGAGGCGGGCGGATCACGAGGTCAGGAGATCGAGACCATCCTGGCTAACACGGTGAAACCCCATCTCTCCTAAAAAAATACAAAAAATTAGCTGGGCCTGTTGGTGGGCGCCTGTAGTCCCAGCTACTCAGGAGGCTGAGGCAGGAGAATGGCGTGAACCCAGGAGGCGGAGCTTGCAGTGAGCCGAGATCACGCCACCGCGCTCCAGCCTGGGCGACAGAGAAAGACTCTGTCTCAAAAAATATATAAATAAATAAATAAGTAAATAAAGGTTGTCAGGGGCTGGACTGGGGTTGAGGAGGAATGCTAATGGGTTCAGGGTTTCTTTCTGGGGTGATGAAAATGCTCTAAAATTGGACAGTGATGGTGGATATACAACTAAAACGCTGAATGTAAAGTGATGAATTTTATTGTATGTGAATTATATCTCAATTTTTAAAAGTAACGCTTTATATGTAATAAAATTCAGCATTGATGACAAAATTTAAAGGTCATAATTGGTTATCTTTATTTGCTTGAAAAGGTTTCGTGTTTTCTTGAGTATAAAAAGGAAATGCTTTTAATCAGCTAGAAGATAGGTGACTTGATCATTCAGGTAACAAAAAAAGTCATTAAATTTTCCTTAATAATTGCCTTACAATGTTGCATTAAACTACCTCTTTACCAGTTAATTGGCTATTGGTAGCTGCATATATGTTTAAGTTGGAGTTCTCAAAATTCTGTGAAACCAAGACAGAAGAAACTCTGGATGCTGAATCTAATGTTTGATCAGTGGCATTTTAATTCAGATCAGTTTTCTGTAATTGGTAAACTCAATGCAATAGCCTCTCTTTCCTTAATCCATAGGTAGGTAGGAAGTATTTGGAGGTTTTTTTCTCCTAATGATGCAATTTTTAAAACAATTGCTATTAAAACAATATAATTTATGTGATAGATTGCAAAATTTGCATAAATTTTAAAGCTACACATGTGACTCCAGTGAACTGTATTTTTTGGATTGGCTGTTGACCCCTAGACCCCTGGAGATGCATGTTTACTCTTCTATACAATTTGGGATATTTGAGAGGCACTGATACTTGAGAACAACAGTTGAAAATGCAAGAGTATGCCATCGTTGGGAAGGTGGATTCCACCATTCGCATTTTCCATTCAAGTCTTCAGGAAAAAGAAAAGTATAAATAGATTGCATTTTACACTTTGGTCCATCAACTACCCTTCAAATAATACACATTATTTATAAATTATTGTACTAAGCTATGCATAATAGCCCAGACTATGATACCAATTTTTTTCTACACTGTAGATGGTTTAAGCTATTATACAACATATAACCAAAACTACTTATTGAAGCACCTCCAGCTAATGACAGCTTTCTAATAGTATTTTGTGCCTTTACTTGTGAAAAGCTATCACTAAGTACAGCGTGAAGGCTAGATGACATGCTTCTATAGTTCCTCAGATGGCTAGGCCTGTTTGCATTTCTTAGTTCTCCCTGCTGCACTGTAGTCATTCTTCAGCTTGGTGTAGGGAAAGGGTTAAGGACTTTGAGGAGTTAAACTGACTTTGGTTCAAATCCCTACTCTTTTCTGTCAGTGTTACCTGGATAAATCATTTAACCAATACTGATCTCTTTTAATCCTTATGATAATCTTGTAAATATTATCTCAGGTTTAGAAAAGACTGACTTAGATAAAATAACTTGCCCAGAGTGAAGCGGGGTTTGAACCAAACTTCTTTGACTCCAAAATAGTCTTTAAATTTTATCATTAAGGTAGTAGTGAGATATTAAGGGTATCCAGGCATTAAAAGATAGAATATATAGAAAGCAAAGGTCTTGCTGCAAATCGTTGTCACCATTTGTAAACTGTGTATTGTTGGGAAACATCTTGTAATCCTTCTGATTCTTGATTTTCCTCATCTGAAAATGAGAAGGATGATGCCTCATAAAGTTGTATGTGTTTTTTCTAAGCCTTGCTTTTACTATCATTTAGCCTGGGGGCTGTGATACAATGAGGGATTAGCAGGAGGCAGAAATGAAAAGTTACAGTTAGAGTGGTAGTTGGAAAGGAGGAATGTTTCTGAATAGTCCATGAGCTCCTTTTTGCCCCTGCTCCTAACATATTACCTGGCACATGGTAGACTGTCAAAAGAATGATGTATTAATATTGCATGATGGGGTCATATGTCGTCTGCTATACTTTATTTATAGATAAATTTAAAGTCAATTTGGACTCAGAACAAGCAGTGAAAGAAGAAAAAATAGTGGAGCAGCCTACAGTGTCTGTCACGGAACCAAAGCTGGCAACTCCTGCAGGCCTGAAAAAATCCAGCAAAAAAGCAGAGCCTGTTAAGGTGCTGCAGAAGGAAAAAAAAAGGTAGGAAAATTTTGTTGCTTATTGGGGAAGAGTCTTTACTGGGGGTGAGAAGGTCTCTTTGGGCTTATTGACAGCAGGCAGTTTTCAGTTAAGTACTAAATCCTACTTAATGCCTAAGGGATACAACTATACAACCAAAATGGAAAGAGAAGCCCAGTAGCTTATCTAGTGGAGTAGGACCGTAGGATCAGCCAGTTTGGATGATTTAAGGACCAAAGTCGTGTTTTTGGCCGTATTGATCTAAATTGATTGTTGATTTTTGTTTTAAATTTGTGGACATGGCATAAGTGTGCCTAGTTGTGTGTGTGTGTGTGTGTGTGTGTGTGTGTGTGTTTCACTTCAAATTGCCAAATGAACAGTTACTGTTTCCAGTCAAATTTAAGAGAAAAACTTCTTTGTTTTCTTTTTATATCAATGAGTTTATTTTTCAAGTGGTAAAATGTAATTAGAAAAGAAAATAAAAAGCACATAAAGCTATTAAAACTAGATCCAGGAATTGGAGACACTACCTCATAGTTGGTAGAATTAGTCTGCTGAAAGAAATTCTAAAGGACACTGTCAACACTGATAGGCCTAGAAAGACGACTTTTGTGGCAAGTTTGGGACTACTCTCGTTGAAAACATCAACAAAATGGTGAAATTTTAGAGGGTTAAAGCTCTGTCCAGTGGGCCTCACCACCTAGGAACATATGACTTGTATGGATTAAAATGTCCACAACCATGGGTACGTCACTCACTGTTGATACTTATTGCCAGCAGTGCATTCAGTATTTCACTACTAAATGTGATGATAAATGTAGATTTTTAATAGATGCCGTTAACCAGATTGAGGAAGTTGTTTTTTGTTCCAAGTCTGCTAAGAGGTTTTATCATGAGTGGGTATTGATTTTGGACAGATGCTTTTTTGAATTGATTGGATGCTCAGATGGTGTTTTTATTAATGTGGTGAATTACACTGATTTTAAAATGTTAGGCCAACCTTGTGTTCTTGGGATAAACTCCACTTGGTTATGATGTATTATCCTTTTTTATATATTGCTGGATTAGATTTGTTAATATTACACTAAGCATTTGTTGCCTGTGTTTATGAGGTCTACAGGTCAGTTACATTCTTTTCTGGTAATGTCTTTATCAAGTTGCTGTGTCAAAATTGTGCTAACTTCATAAGATTACTCATGCGCTGCATAACGATGTTTGGGTCAACAATGGGCTGCATATATGACAGTGGTCTCGTAAGATTATAATGGAGCTGAAAAATTCCCATTGCCTAGTGACATCATAGCTGTCATGACATGGTAGCGCAACACATTCCTCACGTGTTTGTGATGATGCTGGTATAAATATACCTACTGTGCTGCCAGTCATGTGAAAGTATATCATATATATTAATAGTTATATATACATAATACTTGATAATAAAAATGACTATGCTACTATAATTACTGCACTATACTTTTTATCATTTTAGAGGGTAGTCTTTCTACTTATAAAAAAAGTTGACTGTAAAATAGCCTCAGGCAGCCCTTAGGAGATATTTCAAAAGAAGGCATTGTTATCATAAGAGATGACAGCTTCATGTGTGTTACTGCCCCTGAAGAAGACCTTCCAGTGGGACAAAATGTGGAGGTGGAAGACAATGATCATTGATGATCCTGACCCTGTGTAGGCCGAGGCTAATGTGTGTTTGGGTCTTAGCTTTCAACAAAAAAAGTTTAAAAAGTAAATAAAAAATTTTTAAAATAGAAAAAGGCCTATAGAATAGGGATATAAAGAAGAAAATATTTTTGTACAGCTGTACAATTTTTTGTGTTTTAAGCTGTGTTATTACAAAAGAGCCAAAAAGTTATAAAATTGAAAATACAGTTAAAGTAAGCTGTTTATTATTGAAGAAAGAAAAACATTTTAAAATAAATTTAGTGTTGCCTGAGTATCCAGTGTTGATAAAGTCTACAGTAGTGTACAGTAACATCCTAGGGCCTTCACATTTCACTCACCGCTCACTCACTGACTCAGCCAGAGCAACTTTCAGTACTGAAAGCCCCATTCGTGGTAAGTGCCCTATACATGTGTACCATTTTTAATCTTTTTTATACAGTATTTTTACTGTATCTTTTCTCTTTTTAGATGTTTAAATACACAAATACCGTTGTGTTACAGTTGCCTACAGTATTGAGTACAGTAACAATGATGTACAGGTTTGTAGCCTAGGAGCATAGACTATACCATCTAGGTTTGTGTGAGTATACTCTGTGATGTTCACACAGTGAAGTCACCTAACAATGCATTTCTCAAAATATGTCCCTGTCATTAAGTGATCCATGACCGCAGTTGGGAGAAGTTTCCTCTGTTTTCTGAAGGAGTTTATATATACGTGTATATTTTTCAAATGTTTAATAAAATTTACCAGTGAATCCAGGGCTGGATTTTATTTGTGGGAAAGGTTTTTATTGTGAATTTGATTTAACTAGAGCTGTTCAAATTCTCTAGTTCTTCTTGGATCAGTTTTGACTGAGTTGTGTTTTTAAAACTCAGTCAAAATTTGATCTAAATTGTTGAGTTTATTGGCATAAACCCGTTCATTATATAACTTTATTCTTCGAGTTTGTAGAACCTGTACTCGATACAGATTTCTTTACTGTTTCATTCCTGATTGATAATTTATATTTTTCTGTTTTCAAAATGGGTTTTATAAAAGGCTTATTAATAAAATTAATCTCCCAAAAATAACAACTTTGGCTTTGTTAATTTTCTCTTATTTTTTATCTCACTGATTTCTGCTCTTATCTTTATTGTTTCCTTTTACTTTGGGTTTAATTGTTCTTTTTCTAGTTCAAGGTAGAAAGGAAAGTTGGTATTTAAAGTTATATAGGACATAAGGTACTTGATGGCAAAGATTATGTCTTGTATATATTTGTTTCTCTAACATTCAGTAGGCCTTTGATAAATTACTTGTTGGTTGCATGAGGAGTGTGATGGAGTATCCATTCATCCAGAGGAGCTAAATAATGTCATGATGGAGTCTAGGATTTTTTTTATTATTATTATGTCATTAGAATCACCTTAAAAGGATATCTCTGCCTTTGCTCATATTGTTCTTTCTCTTTAAAATATGTTTCCCCTTTCTACATGATGAACTTCTACTTAGCTTTTAAGTTTTCCAAATATGAATTATATTCCATAACATTTTATTTGTCCAGTTAAATCTACCACATTGCCTTATAGCCAGTGGTGTTTGCCAGAGCTTCTTGAAAACAGTATTTTCTTCTGTATTGTTGCATTCTCAATGGCTAGCAAAGAGCCTTGTATGTATGTAGTAGCTGCTTATTTAATGCTTGTTGGATAATTGAAAGGCCAATCAGGGAAGTAAGAAGGAATTTGGAAAGATTCTTGATAACCTGGTTGTAGCTTCCAGCAGTCTCTAGAGAACTCTAGAACTTTTTTATTCAAGTCACCTCATGAAGTGACTTAGTTGTGGTCAGTTAGCAGAGTATCCTTAACAAGAGTCCTTCTTGGACTATTTGGCCGTCCTTTTCTACCCTCTGGAATTAAGACCACGAGTTATAAAGCAAAACCCATAAGAGCATGTGAATACTTACATTTTTGTTCTGTGTAACACGCTTAATTTATTTCTGGATGGCAACAGGGGGAAGCGAGTAGCATTATCTGATGATGAGACAAAGGAAACTGAAAACATGAGGAAAAAGAGGAGAAGAATCAAACTTCCTGAATCTGATAGCAGTGAAGATGAAGGTGGGCATTACCATTCATTTTGGGTTAGGGGGATCAATTTTACTTTCAATGTTCAAGGAGCTAAAAAAGTAATGGATTAAGGATCACAATGAGAGTAGTAATTCTAGCATTAAGAGACACCATAGCACCTCTTTCTGTTTGAAATCTGCATTAGCCTTTTGACTAGAACCATGATCTTTTGGAAATTTGTCAAAATAACACAGAAGGAAAGAGGATAAGAATTATTATTATACATATTATCTAAGACTTTTTCTTTTCTTTTCTTTTTTTTTTTTACTTTTAAGGGGAGGATATTCCTTTAGCTACCTTCATGTGAATCTTTTAAAAATTGTGACGTTCTAGGCAGCCAGGGTATTACTGGTGGTGGTCCACACAGGTAAAACTAGGGTTAACTGGAACAACCTACAGTGTCATTGTTAGAAGGGAATGACACTGTGGACCCTTCTAGTTTTAGGCTGTGGGCAATGTTGTAAGATAAGCAAACCTCATAAGGGCAAGAGTTTTACCGGGAACATTAATATGCTTTTAAAAAAATATCAAGTATTTTGAAGAGCCAAGATCTTGCCCCAAATTGTATAAAGTATATAGAAAAAGAAGGAGGCTAAAAAGAAAGTTAAATGGGTTGAACTGATATGCTGGACGACTCTACCTTGAAAAGCCCACTTTGAGACACAGTGGTGAAAAGTTTGAACTGCTCTAATCAATTGTCCATGAATTCATGGCATAATGGGTATAAAACATTTTAAGTAATGAGGGGAAATCTAGTCCAAAGGATTTCAGCATCACATAAAGATACAGAGACAAACACGAACAGATACTAAAAGGGAGAGTAAAGAAGAATAATGAATGCAAAAAAGGAACCTACTGAGCTATCAAAGGACAAACTTGTAAGATTCTGAAACTTGTAAGATTCTGCTTTTTCCAGAAACTACTCTAAGAGGAATTGAAAATGGTAAGAGAGGCTTCCGAAAAAAGGATATTAGCTCAACTATACAAGTGAGTGAAAAAAAAACAAATTATATATACAGTTGACAGTAATGCAAAAGAAATGAACAGACCCAAGAAATAGTAGCAGGAAGCTGAATCTGTGATAAAGGTGTAGCATCTTTGACACTTCTGTGGATTTAGATTCTACCATTCATGCTATGTGTTTAGAATTACAGCCTGTGATATCCTGTGAGAGGTACAATGTCCTTCCGTGGGTTTTAGTGGCTCTTTAGAATGGGTAGGAGTAAGACACGTGAGCATCCCAGAGAGGCAAATGCTGTATTTTCATTCCATTGTCATTTATCAAAATGCTTTGGCCAAGGCTGCTGAAAGGAACAACTCCATGTAGACACATGGGAAAATAATTAGGAAGTAAATGTAGGAATAGGTGCTAATTGGAACAGTCTTCCCTATTTCCAATCAGTAAAAGACCTTGGGAAGATTTTGGAAAGGTCTTTGAAGCTATCAACTAGATACTCTAGTATTAGTAAAGGAGTCAGTTCTAAGTTAAGGAATGACTATGGTTGGTTGAGCACTCATTATATCCTTCTGAAATATTCCCTATAGTTCTGATCTGTAGCCTACAAAAATAATACTGTTGGGTGATTAGAAATGTGAGTGGGGTTATTTAGTTTTGAAAGGAATGTGAAGAAATGCAATAGAGGTACACAGCCTATAATAACAGATGATATAGAGCAGAAGCTCTTAGATTTTTTTCCTCTGGCAAAGATAATTTTTGGCATCTGACTAAATTTATAAACCTCTGACATTTTATTCTTAAATTTCATCTTTGTATCAAAGCCAGTGGGATTTTATTTTCAACCTTTACACAGTCTTTAACTTATTATTGCTTTATTTCTGTTACACTGAATATGTCATATTAGTTCAATATGCTGTCTTCAGCCAGAAGTTAGAAAAGGAACAGCAGGAGTAGAGAAAATACAAGAACTTTGGAGTCAGGCAGACCTGGGTTTAAATTTTACCTTGACCACTTATTGTGTGACTTTAAGCAGATTAGTTAACTTGTTTAATTCCTTGTTTTTGCATCTCTAAAATGGGGATTTTTATCACAGATGGTATAGGCTTTTTATGAACATGAAATAAGATGATGTGTCAGAAGTGCCAAGACAGTGCTTGGTACATGGTTTTCTTTTGTTTTGTCTTGTCTTTTTTTTTTTTTTTTTTTTGAGACGGAGTCTTGCTCTGTCGCCCAGGCTGGAGTGCAGTGGTGCGATGCGATCTCGGCTCACTGCAACCTCCGTCTCCCGGGTTCAAGCGATTCTCTGCCTCAGCCTCCTGAGTAGCCAGGATTACAGGTGCCTACTACCACGCCCAGCTAATTTTTGTATTTTTAGTAGAGATGGGGTTTCACCATGTTGGCCACGCTGGTCTTGAACTCCTGACCCCGTGATCCACCCGCCTCGGCCTCTCAAAGTGCTGGAATTACAGGCGTGAGCCACTGCGCCCGTCCTGTTTTTTTCTTTTACCTGTGTCTGGAAACAAGTTCAGATAGTTTTCTTATTACTCACTCTACTCTTCCTGCTGAGGTGCCCATACTTGCAAGTACCTTCAATTTTTTCAGAAAATTCCCCTCCACTTCTGTTTGTAACTTTCTACCCAAGGGACTGTTCCTTTCTCTTTTACCCCTGCGGGGTCATAAGCACCTGTAGTACTATATACTCTCTTTTTAAAGCAAAAAAAAAGGCCAGACCCAGAAAGAAATAACATTAAGAATAACATCTACATTGCTAGGAGAAATGTAGTTTTAACTGATATAGTTAAGTCTTTGCTAATATTTTCAGTCCTTGCAAGTTGCTTATGGAGAATGTTAAGCAAATGATCCCCATTTTTAGGTAAAGGTAGGTATTTTTAAAAAATAGTCCTAGGAAGCTGTGAATGGTTTCCAGGAATTCTAATTACCTGTCTCTGCCAGAGAACTCTTTGACACACTGGATCTCTGAAATTAGTTTCATTGCAGTTTTTATTCTGTCCCAACAAAGGTTGCTTTCCTGGAATAAGTGATATTTCATTACTTACCTTTTGCTTGAAGAGCTGCAGATTGGCTACAAATCTGTTTAAAATACACCAGTGCATTGGACATTCTTTATGTCTGTGTCAGTAAAAATGTATTGAGTGGGGATGTTTGGCTTGGTAAAGACTAAGGCAGACAGACATATATTCTAGTACATGAATGGCGGCACGTTTAAACAAAGCAGTAGATATTTACAATTTTAAAAGTCAGATAAAAATAGAAGTTTTATGATAGATGATAATCTCTACTCTCTGGCTCATCTAATTTGACTGATGCTTCTTTTGTCAACTTTCTCCCATCTGCCTTCCACCTTCCATGGATTTGTTGAAATTTCTTAATCATTAAGGACTCTTGACTCTACTATTCTCTTCCCTGTTTGGGGGAGTTATAATGTTTTACTCATTTATTATCAACAGTGTTTCTCTCAGGGAGTGTGTGGAAGGAAGAGAGAGATATATGTTGTCTTCCTTGACCTGGATGTTCCTCATCCCAAATTTAGTTCAGAAAGTGGTGGTTTTCCTTTATTTAAGTAAATACACACACACACACACACACACACACACACACACACACACACACACACACACACACAGTTACTCTATGTTTATGCCAGGGAAATCGTGGTGTCTCTGCCTTTTTGGAGCTTAGAGTCTAGAGTGGGGATCTAGATAAACATTTGCCTACAGTGCTGTGAGAGAGGTCTTAGAGGGTGTCACTAGGATTGTTTTCTTTGGTTAAGTCAACTGGTTTCAGAACTGGAAATAGAATAAGAACGCCTAAGTTTATTACTGTGAGTCTCAAAATTCCTTTGGCTTCCTCATTGCCTAAATTTTCCTCCTCCCATTATAACACATCTACCATTGTGGCCCAGCTTTCTTCATAGCTGTTCCTTCAGAACAATGGAGGCTTGCTTCTGGGGTTTGACTTTTCTCTTGCCTGAGCTCCCATCATGTTCTAGCCTCCCAGAGCTGGCTAATAGCCGGACCGCTTTCCTTTTATGTTTCTCTCTCTTGTTTCCCAGAGCTTATAAAGTTTTTGGGGCCCATTTTATACTTAAAGTGTGTAATTTATTGTTCTTTCTGGCTCTTGTTCTGCTTCACCTCTTTAGGCCATTTGGCCTTGAACTCTTCACTGTCATAATTTTTAACACTGACCTAATCAGTTGGGAGAATTTCAGATCCAAGACTTGTGTTAAGAATTTGAATACAGCCAGGAGATTCAGGGAGCAGGTGAGGCTAAGTCGCTACCCGGTCCCCTGACCAGCACTTTCTTTGTGGTGATTGAGTAATAGGTCAGTTGAGGATTTTTACTTCCCCTCTCATGGGCTGTTTACTAAGACCACCAATTCTGCAATTGTTGAGAAATGATGGGATCCCTCTGGTGGTGCTCATTTCTTGGGTGATGCCACTTCCACAGCAGTATTTTTTTCCTAAAAGTGTTCTTTCCTGTTAACCTCACTGTAGCAGAACAAACCTTATCAGTGAAGCAGTCACTAGAAATATGCAAAATATTAAGTAGGTCCTAGTTGTCAGAGCTTAAATAATGATAATTGTTTAAAAGATGACTTCACCCACCTCCAAGTTTATACTGTTAACATCAGCTGGAAATTTTCAGTCTAAGAAACATCTCAGGTGATTAAAAGTAACCCTTAGGTCACAGTGAAAGACTCTGGCATGGAACATTTGTTATAACCTGAGGATTATCTCCACATAGATCTTGAGAGATAATGTCTTGTCCTCAATGGTAAGGCGGCATGGGATAGTTGGAATAGCAAGGCTGTAGAATTGGATTGACTTAGGCTTAAAACCTCCTGTCTCAGTTATAAGCTGTGTGACCTTGGCAAGTTTAGGAACCCCTCTGAACCTCTATTTACTGTAATGTGCAAATAAGAAAATCTGTCTCTTAGAGTTGTTGTAAGAATAAAGTGAAATACATGGCATATGAAAGGCGATAAGTGGATATTTGTAAACCAACTTCATAACCTGACTAGCTATAAAAGAAAATATTTAGCTAAGATACTTCCGGCTGTAATAATTCTTGATTCTCTGATTTTATTTGTATAAAATTAATAAAATATGTATTTTAAAGATAACTATATAACTACAGAGTTCTTGGTTGTCATGAATTACTGCTTGCTAAATCCCCTTTGCTGGACATGTCAATTTAGAGAACCAATGGAGAAGGCTTTATACCAGATAGTGCTTGTAGTTCTCTGATCTAAGTCCGTTTCATTATTTCAGTCTTTCCAGACTCTCCTGGGGCTTATGAAGCTGAGTCACCATCCCCACCTCCTCCTCCGTCTCCACCTCTTGAACCAGTGCCAAAGACTGAGCCTGAACCTCCTTCTGTCAAGGTAAAATTATACTGGGATTCTTGCATGTCCATGCATCCTTTGTGTCTTAAGGACCTACAACCACTATGCTAAATTAGTTCCCTTGCTGTATACTTCACAAATGCCAGTAGATGGCTCTTGTCTCATTCTGCTGTCCTACAGGTTGTACAGAATGGGCGTTCCCTCCATTCTTACCTGAAGGGAGATTTTGCTAGTGGGTATAGTCTCAGGAACGTTGCAGAGGTGGAACCTGGGAGCTGTTCTGTTTTCATGACCTTCAGCATCTCTGCTGTGCTGTACAGCTCCTGTTAGAATGGTGTAAAAAGAGATCCCCCCTGCATCAGAGCAACACGTGAAAGACAGAGGGGAACAAACAACTTAACACACGTTTGTTGCTCTTCAGAAGCAATTCTGGAAAAGGGCTGGATGGGAAAACTGTCAACCAAAGGGGAAATATAGCTTTGAACGCTCTTCAGCTGCATCTTATCTACACCTATTAGTGTAGATAATGAAGAGTTGAAAAAATAGTCGCTGACAATTTTTTTTTCCTTTGTGGCTGTTAGTTTTTCTTAATTCATTGTGTTAAGACCATCATTTAAATCTTACGCTGATTTCCTCATTAGCTGAAGAGAAAATGGGACGAAAGAGACCAGTGGAGATAAAAGGAAGTTGATACTAGTAATACCTATTTTGAGACTAAATTAGATAGCTATAATGTTGAAGTGTCAAGGCTGGCCAGGCGTGTTGGCTCACACCTGTAATCCCAGCACTTTGGAAGGCTGAGGTGGGCAGAATGCCTGAGTCCAGGAGTTTGAGACCTGGGCAACACAGGGAGACTTTGTCTCTACTTTAAAAATATCTGGGCATGGTGGCACATGCCTTTTAGTTTCAGCTACTTGGGAGGCTGAGGTAGGATGATCATTTGAGCCCAGGAGTTGGACTGTTGCAGTGAGTTATGATTGCACTTCTGCATTCCAGCCTGGGCAACAGAGCCAGAACTTGTCTCTAAAAAACAAACAAACAAAAAAAGAAGACAAGAAATGTGAAGGCTGACATAGCAAGTATCTACAGCAAGGGCATATGCCACAGAAATCCCTGGTGTGGTTTAGGGGCCATCCCTGTGTACTCCCATAATATCTGTCTCAGCCCTCACTACACTGTATTGCAGTGGTCTGCTTTCCTTCTCTCTCTCCTCCACTAAGGTCCTTATCCTATATGTCTTTTTAACCATGCTGCCTGCACTACCCAACAATAGTTTATTGACTGAATGAACAGAACACAGTTCTTTCTTCAGCATGCTACTTTCCTTCTTATGAACAATGAAGTATCAAGCCTGTGTATATAGTGGGCGTAACTTGTCTGTGTGATGGGGTTGGTTCTCTAAAACTAATGTAGAGTTTCTCTTTCAACTTTTTATCATAATGGAGTATTGGAGAGTGATTAGTATAGATTTAAAAGCTTTTGTTATTTTTCTGTATAACATAATTGATCCAGCTTAACATTGTATCCTCTGACCTTTTAGAGCTCAAGTGGAGAAAACAAAAGAAAACGAAAACGCGTACTAAAATCTAAAACTTACCTGGATGGGGAAGGCTGCATAGGTAAGACAAATATTTGGCTCCAAATCCAGAGATAGAATCTCTTATTACCACAGAGGCACCATAATCCCTTTTAGAACAGGTACATCTCAAACTTTAATTTACATGTGAATCATGCCCAAGTGGTACTGATGCTGTTTGTCTATGGCATACACTTTGTGTAGCAGAGTGTAAGTCAGAACACCTAGGTTCTTGTTTAGGTCATAGACTATAAAAATAAGCACTGAGATCTTGGCTAAAAGTTATGTCGTCCCTGGTGAAGAGTTTCTTATCTATGGAATATCTATTTTGCCTAAATGTGCAGTTATGAAGATTCAGGTGGCATAAATATATCCAAAAACAAGATGGAAACCACAGTATGGGCTTAAGATGTTATCATAGACATTGAGAAGCTTTTTTTTTTCTAGAATATTTGTTTTTATAAATTTGAACAGTGGAAAAGAAGCTACAGATGATTAGACTGTAATCAAGAGTCATCTTTGGTATTTGGTTCCATTTGTTCTTCAGAAGGGTATGACTCATCGAGATTGCTTCCTTTATGTTTCCTATTTGTAAGCCATGTTAGGTAAAAGCATGTGCTTGTTATGAAGGCCTAGGGAGGAATTAGAGTTCAGGCTTTGAGTCATTGGCTAGTTCTTCAGCCATGTTTTAGCTTCTTCTACCCTTTCCATAATCACACTAGACTTCTGTGGAGCTTTTAAGATTTAGCACTTGAGGTTTGATGGGATGCTCAGATCCTGGTACTGTATTTTTGTGTTTGAAAAGAGTTGTGGGTTTAGGCTCTTACCTTTGTTAGTTGGATAGCCCATGGTTGTCATTTTGCCTTTTGTGGCACCTGCTACAGCTTGGATCTTCAGAGAAGATTATTTTCCCTGTTACTGATTTTTTTTTTTCCTAGTTCAGACTTGTTTTGAAAAGATTGGCTCTGAAGAATCAACCTTTCCAGGTTCTTAAAACTAGTGAAGACATTTTGTCATCTGTGCTCCCTGTCCCACTATTCCCCACCTCCCAGTCCTCTGAAAAGGCCTCTGCCATTTTAATTGTAACATGTGATTGGGGAGTAAAATTCTTTACGTGTGGAAATTCTGTCTTTTCAGTGCCAAATTTCTTGTGAACCTGTGAATTCTGGACTTTGAATGGGTTTTTTTTTTTCTTTTTCTTCCTTTTTTTTTTTTTTTTGGCTTTCAGTCTTTTAATAGTTGCCATTTTCAAGCCTCTTGGTTTGGCCATGGGTGATAATATATGTGTTTACTGTTGAATTTCTTAATTCAACAGTGCATTTTTTAAATTTAAGAGGACAAAAACATTGGTGCCAGTTTTTTCCTCCTCTTTCTGCCCCAAAAGAAAAAAGTCAAACGTCTTTGTGAGAGTGAGAGTTCATTGGGAATTTGTGGGTAATTATTTATTGCTTTGTTTAAAATATAGTACTCGAGTTTTGGCCAGGTGTGTGATGTGGACTTTTTTGCACTCCTGTCTCCAGACAGGACTGTTAAGAGCCTTGGATGCAGCAGTGAAAACTGTGCTCACATTGCACTTTTTTTTTTTTTTTTAAAGGTTTTTGGTCCAAGCTCAACCTAATGAATCTTGGCTTTGGTTACCAACAAAGGAGTTCTGCTTTCCTCTCTCTGCTCAGACTGTTCCAAATGTACCAGCATAGGGGGCTTGCCCTGTCCTGTGCTGGATCAGATTTGTTCTATGGGTTTAGAAAGCTCATCTTTCTCTCTTTGTGACTTTGCAGCAGAAATTGGGTAGTTGGGCCCCTGAGATAAGTTTGGAGTAGACTTCTGGACAAGGGAATGGGTTTCTAAGAGCAAAGCAGTTAAGTGGAAAAGAAATCTGATGTTACCCACGAAAACCAGGTTTGTTTGCCTTTTTTTAATGGCAACCCAGAAAAGTGGCATGTTGTTCAGCTAAAATAAAGGCCCTATATTTTTAATGGAGACCTCCTTTTTTCTGGGGTTTGCGGTAGCTACAGCTTTGAATATAGAAATATTCCTTTTAGTTCTTACAGTATACTGAATATGCTGCTAAAGAAATTTTGTTGGTGCTGCCCTGACTGTTTTTTAACTCCCCTGAGCAATGTCTCACACAAAATTGGCAATGAGACAGCCATTGATTTCATTAATAAGTAATGAAATAATGAGCTAATTGATGCTGAAGTATAATGTAGACATGCTGCCATTTGAGTACAGAATATAGCTTATGAAGGAGCAAAGTCTTATACCACCAACTAGTAGAAAGTAATTTCCTTTCTGTATCTGTAGATGGCTCTTCAGACTTTTCTAATTTAAGATATTGAATAAATAACAGCTCGTAATTTTGTCCCATTAATTCAGTTACATAATGCTTTTGAAGATGCATGTGAGATGGAGGTGGTGTTCTGGGGTCTAATTGCTGAACGAATAGGTATGCCATGGGAATTCTCTAATTATCTTAGAGCAACATTTCTCAAACTTTGCCGGCTATGTGCATTACTTGAAGATCTTGCTAAAATTGAAATTCTGCATCAGTAGGCCAGGAGTGGGAACTGAGAGTGCATTCCTAATAAGCTCATGGGAGATTCTGTTGCCTCTGGTGTGCGGAGCACAATTTGAGTAGTAAGGCCTTTCAGAATACTTAATATATATCTAAAATTTATCAGTATTTTTTAGCCTCTAAGTGAACATCAAAGTGAATTCTGGGCTCTTACAAAATTAAAGACAAACTCTGGGAACTCTCTGGGAAGGGATTGTTGATTATGCAGCCTTAATGGGATTAGCTGGATAAGAGGGACGGAATGCTCCAGTGGCAATTGCACTTCAACATTTAAAACAGGGAAGGAGAGAACATTAATTCCCAGAGTGTGGTCCCCAGACCAGCAGCATCAGCATTATCTGGGAGCATGTTAGAGAAGCAAATTCTCAGGTCCCACCCCAGATCTGCTGAGTCTGAAACTTGAGAAACAGAATCTGGCAATCTATGTTTTAACAAGCCCTCCAGGTGGTTCTGATGCACAGTAAAGTTTGAGATGATATCTTAAGTAGCAGAGTAGGTATTGGGACACACATACATTTGATTCCAAAGCTTATGCCTCTAGAACAATTTGATATATTTTATTAGAAAGAATTATCAATAAAAGCTCAAGACTGTCATTGTTCTTTAATGGAAAAAAAAACCTTTTACTTTAATCATTTGAGCATTTATTATGCATATTAGGTTACGCTTTTCAGCTAAGAACAAGCTCTTTTCCTTCAATGTTTCTCTATCGCTTGCTGCAACCAGGAAGGCTGAGAAAGAATTTAGATAGCATTGGTTATACAGCTGCCACAGCTCTCTAAAATTACAGAAAGGTGGCATGCTGTTTCTTGTGGTTGGTATATGTGTTGCAGTAGTGTAGATCCTCCTCGGTTATGTGACGTCATGGCTGGAAGCCACTATCTGTGCCTGTGTCCTTTGGGGCTTGCTCATAATGACTGCTTACTGTTACAGTTCTTTTCCAAGTTTCCCTTGGGAAGGGTTCAGTGAGTTTTAATAGCAGGGGAAAAGCAATTTATGCCTTCGGCTGATAGGGAGTAAGAAAACTGGTAACTTTGTTTCTCAATTTATCACTGTCATTCCTTTAACACGTGTGTCATCCGATAGCATTTGCTTGAGATAGTTAACCTTCATGATACAGACTACTACTAAATTTTGGGTTAATTTGCAGCCATTAAGAACTAAGAACCGAACAGTTGAGTAACTAATCTTCAATTCTCTGTACCTAGGATGTGCAGAGAGTGGGTGGCATCAGGTTAGAGCTAGACAGGAGGGTCCATGGTGACCTTGGTTAAACAGAATGGAGGCAGGCAAATAGGCCAGCAGTTTAAGACCAGTAACGGGAATAGGCAGGCATTGTAGGTCAGAGAGGTGATACTTAAGAAGCCAGTCAAAGCATGGAGTTAGAAGTAAGTGTTTAAGATATAGACAATTCGGATATAGAGTTCAGGAAGTTAGCCAGCATAGGCCAGGACCCAAATAAAGGATTTAGGCAATTCACTGATAAAGGGCCATTTAAAGGCATGGGATATAGCTGTGAGGGAGAAAAGTGAACGTTAATTCTAAGCATCAAATAGAGACTGTGTGAGCTCAGGATCCCACATAGTTCCTACCTTAGGCTAGATCTGATCTCCCAGTGGGAGAAAGATTGAGTCCTAAGTAAGCATATTTGCCTTGATCAGAGTCTGAAATGATTGGGGTTAGCAAGACATCCCATTTTCTTCATAGAGTAAATGATTCAGCCCACCCATGTTCCATTTTTTTCTCATCCTACCAGTGACTGAAAAAGTCTACGAGAGTGAATCCTGCACAGATAGTGAAGAGGAGCTTAACATGAAGACATCCTCAGTACACAGACCCCCTGCCATGACTGTGAAAAAAGAACCCAGAGAGGAACGAAAGGGCCCCAAGAAAGGGACTGCTGCTCTGGGCAAAGCCAACAGACAGGTGTCCATTACTGGCTTCTTCCAGAGGAAATAAACTGCCATCTCTGGTAGATCAGAGACTTGGAGTGGTCAAGGGAGAAGACCAAGAAATGTACTCCTCACTTACTATGTAAGTTCATCTAGATCTCCACCTCACCTGTATCAAAAGACTGTTCTTTCATCCTGTGAGGTTTATACTATTTCTGGTTTTTAACCAAAAGGAAATCATCTGGAAGCAGGAGGCAAAAAGCTGTTACCTTCTAATGACATTTAAAAAGCACAGTCTTTGACCTGTCCAGGAGAAGGATTTACTCCAAAATTATACTGGAACAGTTTTCAGAATTCTCACTGAAGCCATTTAGTGGCTAACCCACTGTGCTCCACTCACCCTATGCCCTGGTCCGCATATGGCACAGGAATTATTCCTTCTTGTTCCTCTGTATTCTAAGAATTCATGTGGGTGTTTCTTATCCTTACATTCTGCTGGATACGTTTACCCCTCTTGTCTTCCTGCAGTACCACACTTCTGTCCCCTAACCTCCTGAGGCTGTTCTCTGTAAGTCTTTTAAGTTTTGGTTGGACTAAAGGCTGAAGTGAAAATCTCCCTGTAATCCTCTTCCTCCATTATGCAGTACACGGACACCTGGCTACAGACCAGGACGTGGCTTGTGTTCTGTTCCTTTCACAAAAGCTCTCTGGGACCTTCACTTGCAATTAGTGGTTAGGGAAAAGCCTCAGGCAGAACACAAATAGAAATTTAATGATGTGTTCAACTCCACCAGAAATTACCTCGAGTCAGCATTGACGATATTGGAGGAGCTGCCGTGCTGCTGATACGGGGTGTGCTTTATGCTGCTCTTTGCGGTTTGTTGATCCCCTCCTCCCCCACTCTCAATACCTAGAGAGTGAAACCCGTACAATGAGATAAAGACTAAAAAGAGAAATCCCTTCCTATATACAGTGTGCTACATTTACAAAAAATTTCTCCTTAAGAAAACAGAATATTCAAAAACAGCACTTTTCCAGGAAGTTAGTGAGGAAGATAAGGCACACATTTATTTATAAATGGATGTTGCTCCTTTGTATTTTTAGCTTCCCTATTTGCTTAAAAGTACAGGCTCCCTAAGAGAGGATGGAGAGGGAGAGACTGAATTGTTAGTAGGTCTAAACATCAAAGAAAACATTTTTATTAGTTACTTATGGAAAATCATCTATTACAATGATAACCTTCAAGTGACTTCCATTATGGCTGGACAGGCGGTGAGCTCAGTGGATTGCAGTGGTGTGCTGGTGATTTTGCACAGTGAGCTCTGCGGAAGGGGTCAGGCTCAACTGCTGATGTGTCTCACACGTAGCAGACAAGGGGTGTCTGACTGGCTTCTTTTGCCTCAAGATGGTGTATGTCGTAAGTGATGCAATCAGCTGTCTGCTTTTTAAGGTTGGGATTGTGCTGACTTTGGGATTAACATGAGCTTCTTTAGCAACCAAGCATGAACTTGATTAAGACCAGAAGTTTGGGAGATGAGTCCTGGCATTATGTCTAGGACTAAAGCAGTGGCTTTGTATAGCAAGCTGAGTAAAGGTTGACATATTCCAAAACCCTTCTTTTTAAAAGGAAAAAGGATGGAGAGAAGGATGGAAAGCCTGGACTTAAACCTTTAGAAAAAACTTCTGGAGAGAAATCCCTTTTAAACAGTTACTTTTGTCATTGCCTCTGGTCATTTGTCTAAATAGGAATGGAAAATTAAAAGAAAAGCAACAATCCAATCTTTTTTCTAAAAATTATGCTGGGGTCTCGACTAAAACTGAATTTGAATTGGAAAATTCTGGTGTTGGTTGGAGTTCCATCTTGCAAGGGATAATACAAATCCTATGATCTCTATGCCCAATATGCTGCCTCAACTCTGAGCTGTCTGCAAGGCTTAGTAAGTATTGAGTGGTGTTTTTTTTTTCTTTTTATACAATACCATGTTAACCACATGAGTTAAATAAATTTGAGAAGTTGTTTTAAAACAGTGCTTCAAACTGAGTATCTGATGAGTCTCTTATTTGATGGATGGTAACAGTGTTGCAATTATTTAAGCTCTGAATGGGAAGAAGGCTGGTTTTCAGTTGATATTGTTAAAACTGCATACCCACAGTCTGAGATGAACAAGTTATTTGCTGCCTTCATCGTTTTTTTCAGCACTGGGGAAATGTTAGTTTCAGCCAACCTCATTTTTTAGTTCATCTAGAAGAAAATCTAGCACATTGTATTAGTTTGGCTTCATCACTTGCTAGCTGTATGACTGTGGGCAAGTTTCACAGCCTCAAGTTCTTTATCAAAATAAAACTAAAATGAGTTACCAAGGGTGTCAAGACTAAAGTCAAGTGTATGTAGCATGAATTCGGTCCATGTTGGCGGTCACATACGCGCTCTACAAAATGGTGGCTTTCTTTCTGATGTCATAAGTGATGTAATCAGCTAGCAGCTTCCTGAAATGTTATCAGTTATACGACCCAGGTGGTATATTCTTCAGTCATTCTGGCTGTACATGTAGTAAAAAGGGGAAGATAGTTGTCCTATTTCATGAAAGGTTTAAAGAGAGTAGATATTTTCCTACTGAAGGAATTATAGATGCCTATATTTACTGTTCATTTATTGTGTATCTACTATGTGTCAAGCCCATGACCTGGGGACTAGAGGATATAATAGAAACCATAGAATTTGGCACTTGATCCTCACAATTTAGTGGAAGGGAAAGCCAGTAAAATGAAATGACAGTGCCATATGTGAGTGCAATGTACAGGGTCCTCCAAGAGTTCCCAGGAGGATGGGTATCAAGGCAGTCTTCCTGGAGCAAGCAGTTCTTTGAATGATGAGCAGGATTTCACCCAGCAAAGAGGAATGGAAATGACTTTCCAGGCAGAGGAGCATGGCTTTTGGGAGAGGTGGGCTGTAGAACTTGAGAATAGGGAGGAAAATGTATTCAGAAATGAAGTTGGGGCCTTGCTAAGCAGTTTGGATTTGATTTGTAGATAATGGGAGCCAACTGAAGAAATTTAAGAAGAGTAACAGAAGTTGGTTCTCAGTTAAGAGTGACAGCCAGTATTTACTTTGATTTTGTATCCATGATAGTATTTCTACCCTTGCATATGCACATTGTATCTTAAAATTCTAGCGGGATTAAAGAAAACCATCTTGGTTAAAACAAGGCCGCTTAATTCTGGCAGTCAGCATAGACAATTGCAGTGTTTCCCTTGTCTTCCCCCGTCAACATAGATTTCTGTAGCAGAATCAATTTTTTAAAGTGATTTCAAAAGCTGGTATTTCTTCTTTGACACTCTCAGTGATGAGCCTCCACTCACCTCCCTGGAAAAAACTGGGAATTCAGGGGCAGAGGGGGCTGGTAAACGAGTGAAACAGTTCTCTATTCCTTTTCTATCTTTGTTTCTTTAAGAAGACATTAGTTATTATACAGGAGAGGGCTGAAGAGAAGGGCCATATAAGGAAACTAAATAGTTTCTCCAGGACATGAGTAGAATGAGTGCCTAATAATGTATTTGCCAGAAACGTACTCTGTGTCAAGACTCGTTTTGGTAAACTTGTCTCCTTTCATTGGTTCCAGGATCTCAGTATGCTGTAATGCAGCTTTTACCACCATGAAACATTTTGGGGCTGCCTCGTTTTGTTGTGAGAAGGCAGTATTGCTTTCTGAGTTATTGCCCTGGCAGCTCTGTAAATTAGCCCATGCTGTCACCATGCCCTCTCTGAAGGGCACATTGTACCCAAATGACTGCATTTAGGATTGACTCTTACCACTCCCTGCTGCATGACACTTTTCTCCACTTGTATCTGTGTCCAGTTTTTTGTGTTCTTAGGTGCGGACCACCCACAGATTACCACCCAGGCTCTTTAGCCAGAGAAACTTGGTAAGGCTTCTGATCCAATATTTTTCCATTGGATCAGAATCCACCTTAACTCTACAATTCCCCTTCTACTTCAAACCCTTAATGTTTTCTGAACACCCATTCCCCTTAACTGTTCTCATTTTCTCTTTCCAGACTCCATGTTTCTTGAGGTTTCACCTTGGCTCCCTGTACCTACTTTCTTAATATTCAGAGTTCTTCATGGCTGGTTCTTCAGCTTCATTCTTTTGGTGTTTTAGGCTTTCTCAAGGCTCTTCATGGCATGTCTTTTACCGGACTGCTCTTGAAGAATGGAAAAACTACTTTGTTTAGTGTCTGTTTGGGATCAGTCAGATCCAAAGCATAAAGCAGTTATTGGAAGCTAGTTATGTTTAGTCCTGGATAAAATACTTTGGGGATTGTAAGAGCCCGTAAGTTACCATTTTGGAGTGACAAGACAAACATACTAAATAGCATTTAGCATTTGACACAATGCTTAGATGAGTGATAGACATGGGACTTAATAATTTAGGAATGAATTAGGATAATCATTATGGGCAAAATATTATATTCCTATGCAAAGAACAATAAAAGATTTAAAGAAAGAAACAGGCTGAGGTAGGCTAACCATTTTATTGGGTGTTATTCAGCTATTTGAACTTCACTTGCCACTTGTACATTCACGGTGTAAGTAAACCATGATTTAGTGAATCTTTAATTAATGGAGTTATTTCTGTTGTGCTTTAAGCATGAGAGTATTGACGAGAAAGCAAGCAGTTATCAGGAATTACTTCAAAAGGCAGTTTATACAATATAAAGTCTGTATAGGCTCCACTCAGTTTTGTACACACTCAACAATTTTGACCTACTAGGGAGGCAGGATGCCGGGATGGAAACAACACAGGCTTTAGAGACAGAGGGCACTGGATGCAAACCCTGTCTGAGGCACTGACCTTAAGCAAGATATGCATCCTCTCTGAACTTGTTTCCTCATCTTTAAAAATGAGCTACCCACCTACCTTAAAGCGTTGCTTTAGGGCGTTAATGAAATAATGCATGGGCAGTCCCCAGTATTTTGACACCTATTAAACTAATACAAAGCAGAGTAACTCACATTTACCTCTTTTAATCCTCATAGCAGCCCTGTGAGATAGGTACTTTTATTCCCATTTTGCACATGAGAAAACTGCGGCAAAGGGGTTAAGTAACCTGCCCAAGGTCAGAGCCACGATATAAATCATGACAATTTGGCTTCATTGCCCTCAGTCTTAACCACTGTGCTATATTGCCTCTTGGCTATGTATTAGTTCATACTTCCATACCGCCCAGTGATGATTGATGTTTTTTTTTTTTTTTTAAGACAGAGTCTCGCTCTGTCACCCAGGCTGGAGTGCAGAGGCACAATCTCGGCTCACTGCAACCTGTGCTTTCTAGGTTCAAGCGATTCTCTGCAACCTCCGCTTCCCAGGTTCAAGCGATTCTCCTGCCTCAGCCTCCCGAGTAGCTGGGACTACAGGCGCATGCCACCACACCTGGCTAATTTTTGTATTTTTAGTAGAGACGGGGTTTCACCACGTTGGCCAGGCTGGTCTCAAACTCCTGACCTCAGGTGATCTGCCTGCCTCGGCCTCCCAAAGAGCTGGGATTACAGGTGTGAGCCACCGCGCCCGGCCTGATTTTCATTTTTATAAGTGAAAGTGCAGCTGGTTGTTGAGATCCAAGATTGTCAGATTTGAAGGCAATCTTAATGCTTATTCAAATCAACCTCTTATCTGATGTCTGCATCTTCTCTGCAGCATCCCTGCCAAGTGGTCTGGAATCTATAAACAAAGATTCAATTATGTTCAGTATACCATACTTAACTAAATTACAAAGTTAGATAAGTAGGCTAATAAATGTTAAGAATTTAAAGAGAGGCTGGACTAAAATTAAGTTTTCTGATTAATTTTAGATCACCAGGAAACTTCCAAATAGAGCATACTGCTGTAAGCAGTCCATTTAATTGCTTTCAGTTTAAGTCGAGAACATTGTTTTCCTTGAAAAAGCTTGTCTGATTCTTGGCCTTGCCTCTGACTTAACATTTATAAGAAAATCAAGAGGACATTTGGCATTTGTGCCCTGTTTAAGCTATGCTACAGGTTCATAGGTTGAAAAGTGGTCCTGGGGTGCTTGCAAGTGGGTTAGGCCAGGGTGGTGTTCTCCACTTTGAATGTCAGAGCCTTGTTTTCCTAGGATACTTGGTTTCAAGCTTATAAGGTATGTGAAGATTACATAAACATAGCATAATGACGGTACAGTGCAGTGGTCCCCAACCTTTTTGGCACCAGGGACCGGTTTCATGGAAGACAATTTTTCCATGGCCAGATAGGGGAGATGGTTTCGGGGTGAAACTGTTCCACCTCAGATCATCAGGCATTAGTTAGATTCGCATAAGGAGTACACAACCTAGATCCTTGCATGTGCAGTTGACAATAGGGTTTGTGCTCCTGTGAGCATCTAATGCTGCAGTTGATCTGACAGGAGGCGGAGCTCAGGCAGTAATGCTCTTTGCCCGCCTGCTGCTCACCTCCTGCTGTGCAGCTAGGTTTCTAGCAGGCCACAGACCAGAACCAGTCCGCAGCCCGGGGGTTGGGGACCCCTGGTATAGTACTTTTTAAAGTTCTATCCTGGAATGGGATTTACGGAAGGCAGAACCATTTTCCTGCAAACCATAAAACCTGATAGGAGTGTTTTCCCTTGTCCCTCTTAGTTGTGTTCTATATGTATTTATATGCTTTACTTTATCTTACTTCATCCTCATGATAACCTGCAAGGTCTCTCCCACATTTTGCAGAAAAGAAGCCCAGGGAGTTGAGCTAGTATGGCCAGCATCTCACAGTGAGAAAGTGTACCAGGGCTAGAACCTAGGTCTTGAGACTTTGTGTCTTCAGATGCTGCATCATGTGACTTTCCCACAGTATAGCAACCCCTAAGAAGAATATATTGGTGCACTTACAAATGTGGCTTGAGTCATTAAATGCTTGCTTATTTGCCCAACAACTATGGTGGCTACTGTGGATTCCAGAAAAGTACATGACAAGTTCTCTGCCTTCCTGGAACTGACCATCTGTTGGGAAGGCAAAAAAACATGTACATATTTGTACATTTCACAGATTTTTGACTAAAAGTTTACTGTGTACCCAGCACTGGTGCATTAAATACTGGGGATACAAAGATGAATTTCTTGCCCTTGATACATTTACTATCTAGTGAGGAGAGAGACAGACAAATATGCTATAATTATATTATAATAATATTTATAAGAGTGCTTACCACGGGCTCAAATTTTTGCTAGATATTTAATACACTTTCTCTAATCCTCACAACACTTTATTTACACATGAAGACAGGAAGGCTCGGAGAGTTTAAATGATTTGCCCAATAAGTGGCAAAGGTGAGACATGTCTCTGTTTAATAATTTATAATGAAAAGTTAGAGAAACTAGTATATTTGAACGCTTGTGATTAGCAAACCTGCATGGAAGTCAACTTCCCTTTGGGTGGATCAAAAGGAGCAAAATGAATTATACCTTTACAATTGTCATTCTCAGGTAGGTGTGATCTTGCCAGTAAGTCTGAGTCTTTTTGGCTACGATCTGCAGCTTGTATCTCCACTTAAGGAAACCACACCAGTGGACTATATGTTAGGCTAGAGATGAAGGCTTTCTCCCCTCTGGTTGGTGTTCTAGCTGGCCTGGGGAGAGGGCCACATTTGAACTCTAGTCTTTCTGACTTGAAGTCTATATTCTGACTACTGTACCATGTCCTTCCTCCTCCTGTGTAAAGGAGGTGTGTGTCCATAGGTCAGTGTGGTCCCAAGAAAGGGTTGCCTGTGACTGCCTGAGGGATTAAGGGAAGATTCACAGAGGAGGAAGTGCTTAAACAGGTCTTGAGAAAAATAGGAGTTTGCCAGATGGAAAGCGAGAAGGGCATACCAGGCAGAAGGAACAGGACATACAAAGGCATGGACACACAAGAAAGCACAGACTGTTTAGAGAGTTGTAAGTGGTTTAGTGAGAGGCAGAATGGTTGGCTATGAGGCCATATAAGTAGGCAGAGGCCAGCTCACAGAGGTCTTTGCTAAGTAGTTTAGACCTTGCACTATAGGCAATAGGAAGCCACTGAATTTTAACATGTCAGATTCGTACATTAGAAAGATCAGCTTTAGTAGCCTAAAGGTATAAAGTAGATCATAAGTAACAGCCAAATTGAACCTGTATCTTGAGTTAGAACAAGCAGAGGAAAATAATTTGAAGTTAGATCTAGTTTTGTTTTAGGCAGATGACTCCTTTGATCCCCTTGGAAACTCAGGAGAGGAGAGTATTAGGAGTGACTTCAAATGTGGAATGATTAGCCTTTTGCTAGGTCGTCTCATGCTTGGAAATTCTCTGGCTCTTGCCTGAGCCATGGTCCTAGTTAAACCATGGAGATGGGATTGGTTCCACGGTTTCACCAAGGATTCATGTAGGCCATTCTCTGACGCACATACACACACTGATTCAGACCTGGAACTGACTGCATCTCCCTGGAATTCTTTGGGTCAAAAATGACCCATAGTCCTAGACTGATCAACTAAATTCATCCCAAATCTTACTAACACCTATTCTATGCCAGATGCTTTCATATACTTTATATCATTTGATCCGTAACAACTTTGTGAGGTGTAGGTATCAGCCCAATTTGATGAATTAGGAAATTCAATGGTAGAAAGGCTGTCCAGCTAGTACATGGTAGAGCTGGGATTTGAGAGGCAGACAGAGTATCCTATTGTCATCCATTCTTAGTGTAAGTTTTTTCCAGTGGCGTGGAGTGTTGTAAACATTCTTGCATATCATAAGTGACATTCATATTAGACATTGAATGACCATTATACTTAGAAATGTACCAATGATTTAATTCTTTTCTAGCAGTAAGTTTTGCTGTGAACTCCAAAGCTCACCCCTAAAATACAGCAACAGCTATCCTGAAGCTCCTGCATGAAACCCCCCACTCTATCTTAGAATTGTGCATAGTTCATAATACATGTTATATGTCTTCCCAGCCTGTACACTTTAGAAGCAGCAAAGCAGCAAGAGACAGTTGCTTTTTGGCCACGTGCGGTGGTTCATGCCTGTAATCCCAGCACTTTGGGAGACCGAGGCAGGTAGATCACTTGAGGCCAGGAGTTCGAGACCAGCCTGGCCAACATGGTGAAACCCCATCTTTATTTATTTGAGAGAGAGAGAGAGATACTTACATTTTGGAAAGTACTCTGGCTGCAGTTGGAGAGCAGACTGGCTCACTTTTTGATGTTGTAGAAAGTCCTTGGACTTTAGAGTCAGGCAAACTGGAGTTCATGCCCTTTTACTATCAGCGTGACTCCCAGAAAGTCACCAAATTTCTCTGAGCCTCAGTCTGCTCATCTGTAAGATGAAGCTTGTATCTACCTCAAGGTTATTGTGAGGATTAGAGATAACAAATATAAAGTGCCCAGTTTATAGTGGTTGGGTTTTTATTGTTTCAGAGTAATGCTTTGGACTTTAATCTTACCTGTGTGAGAAAAATGAGTTGTCGTACTTTGCTAATTTTTTTGCCAACTAACCTTTATTGGAGTGCCTACTTTGTGCTGTAGACAGCACATCAGACTGTCAAAACTGAGGTTCTAACAAAGTGAGGAGGGAGGGCTAATGGACCCAGTGTTTCCTTGCAGTTCTGCTCACCTGTCAAATTCCTGACTCCCCTTTGTCCCACCAGCACCCCTACCTTTCAGGTGGGCTGCGTGTCATTCTGTGTGCTACACAACACACCCTTGTTTCAACCATATTTCTACTTGAAGTCGTTTAGAGGAAAGCCAAAGGTCTGAGTATGCATTCTATTTCCTCAAGTACAGACATCAGAGAATGCTGTTTATTAATGAAAAAATAAACAGATCTTTGGCAGCAAAGAAGCCTCTCCCAATGATGTATGGGGTGCTTGGGCTATAGTCACGCCTGCAGTTTGAGCCCATCTGTTTTCTCTGTTCACCTCCTGAGCACTGTCCCCTTGTGGTTTGCATCATTCCTTAAGACCAGCCAACTCCAACCCTCCTCAGTCCACTCATTCAATAGCTGTCTTATTTAAACACACACACTCTCTCTCTTTGGGTGCCAGATGTGAAGTTTCAAGGCAGCAGAGGCTGGGCTGGCTAGTGCCATGACACCTGCTTTAGTAGGCAAGCCAGTCAGCTGCCGCTTCTGATGATGTTGGCTCTTCTTCATGGACAGCATGAGGGTTTCACCCCACCAAGTGCACACACAGGCAGCTGAGGGAGCCTCATAAATTATGGTTTTGTTTGTTTACTTCGGGCAGACAGTGTGGTGTAGTGGAAAGAGCCCTGCACTTGGACGCAGAAAGCACGGGTTTGAGTGCTTGGTGGTTATGTGCTTTCTGTCTACAGAGCACCTCTTCATGGCACTTATCACTATCTCTGCTAATTGTGTATCTGTTTATCTGCTTATTGGCTATCTCCTCCACCACAATATAAGTTCTAGGAAGTCACGGACTGTCTATCATTCTATCTCCAGTACCTAGGACAGTGCCTAGAACATAGTAGGCTCTTAGAAAATATTTATTGAATGAATTAATGAATTATAAAACTGCCTCTTCTACTCACTGGCCATGTGATCCTGGGAAAGTCATTCTCTTCTCTGGGCTTCAGTTTTATCAACTTGGTTGAAAGCATTAGTTCTCTATCCCTGATGCTGTAAGAGTTTAAGAATTCATTCATTTAACAAATTACCTTGTGTCTCCATAGAGGGTACTGCCAAGCCCTAAAACTACACAGTCATGAACAAGGCAGAAACAGAACGTGCTCTCAAGGAGTTTTGAAAGAGAGAGACAACCAAATAAATAATTGCATGAACAATTATGTAATGACCATTGTGATAAGCCTTATAAAAGGATCTGTACAGGGCACTAGGAGAAAAACCACACAGGAGGGCCATGTTGGGGGTTGTCAGAGATTTCTTGGTGAAAGTGACATTTAAGTCAGACTTTACAGATAAGTAGTTGACCAGGCAAAGATGGTACAGTATTTCAGGGAGAGGGAAGAGCATTTGTGAAAGTCCAGGGTGGGCATGTGGCTGTAGCCTGGTGACCAACAGGGAGGTCATGCCAAGATCAGGCTAGAGAGGGAGGCTGGGCCAGATGGTTCAGAACCTTGTCGGCTATGGTAAGGATTCTGTCATATCTAAAGACAAAGGGAAGTCATTGAAAACAATTCCTGTCATTACAAAGGCTTTACTAGTACATACAGAGGGGAAAGCTGGACTCAGCCTTACATGGCTGTCAGAGGTAGATAGAGCAGATAGTACCTCCATTTTGTAGCTGAGGAAATAGGCCCCAGGGATGATAGGTAACTTACCAAGACCACTAGGCAAGTCAGTGGTAGAACTTGATCTCTAAAATTTTAGTCTACTTTTCTCAATACTATATCACATTACAAAGTTGAGAGGGTTTTCTTTCCCTTCACATACTCTAGATGGCCAAATTTTAGACCTAAATGCCTTGTAATAACAGCTCTCATCTGCAAATTGAATGTCTCGAAAGCAACTTTTAAGCAAGTCTGTTAGCAACAAATCCCTCCAGAGCATTATGCTTGCATTTTGGGTAACTACAACCATATCTTTGATGCCCATTTTAGATTATTGTTAGGATAGATTGTTAGGAATAGAATTACTGTGTCAAAGGATATACATTTTAAGAAACTTTTCATACATATTGCCAACTTGTCTTCCCAAAGGTTGCGTATCATCATCAGTATATGACAGTGACTTTCTCAGTGCTTCAAGTAATAGAGACCAACTCTAATTTAAGCAAAACTGAATAGAGCTTACTTTCTAATCATACATATTTTGTTCACTTAGAGATGGGAAACTCAACCAGGCTTTGGCAATTTGAATTGAGGAAGAAGATGAAGCTATAGAGATAGTGCCCAAAGGAGGCAGAAAACTCCCGAAGGCATTGTTCACTGTGAAGAGGCACACAACATAGACATTAAAGATAGGAAAGTGAAGGCAAACTCTATTGTATTCTACTAAAGGAAGAATCCTCAGCATTGTGACATTCTGCTAAAAGTAACTCCAACTTGGAAAAGCCCTTCCTCTGGCTTGCTACAAAACTAATTGGAGATCCTAACTTGGAGTTTGTTGCCATGCTTGCCCTTGCCCCACAAGAGGTTGTCATGGACCCAGCTTTGGCAGCACAATATATCATGATTTACAGGTTGTTCAAATGTTCTCCCGGATGAGAATGATGATCTGTAAGAAAATTAATCTGGAGCCCAGCATCAGAAGTATAGTTTTATAAGCATCTGTGCTGTGCTGTCAGTGGTGTAGCATGTTTGCCATTTTATTGTGTAGCTAAGCAGAACATGTGCTTTATCTTTGGGATGCTGAAGGAGATGAATGGACTTCAAAAATACCTTCAATTTTTGGACCTGCATATTTAGCTGTTTTTGTTGTTTCCTTCTGGAGTTTCATATATATTAGGTTGGTACAAAAGTAATGGCAGTTTTTGCCAAAGTATTGCAAAAACCACAGTAACTTTTGCACCAACCTAATACTTAACATCATAATATTCAGTGGTGAGGATCTTATTTTACTGCCATTCCCATTCCTTTTCATTTAGAAACAGAATAAAGTTGTATTTCAAATACCTAAGAGAGATACACACACACATAGTGTGGTCCATAACATAAGTAGAAATAAAATACTTGACAAAACTAGCACAAAGGATGAGGAGGGAGTATGGAAGTATAGTATACTCTTCTTCTTATGTTATACTTGAGGTGGTATATTATTTTTAAATTAATAACTTTTTAAACAACTTAACTGTTTTAAGTTAAATATGCGTATTGTAAACCTGAGAGCAACCACTGAAAACCACAATGTATAACTCCAAAGTATAGTTAATAAGCCAATAATGCAGATGAAATGGAATACTAAAATTACCAATGAATGTTAGAAAAGAAGGAAAAAAAGGACAAAGAATAGATGGGACAAATAGAAAGCAATAAAAAGACATTAGACTTAACCATATCAACATTAAATGTAAATGGAATGAACACTTCAATTAAAAGGCAGAAATTACCAGGCTAGATTTTTTTTTTACAAATGGATACAAATATGCTGTGTGCTAGTCTGTTCTTGCGTTGCTGTAAAGAAATACCTAAGACTGGGTAATTTACAAGGAAAGAGGTTTAATTGTCTCATGGTTCTGCAGGCTGTACAAGCATGGTGCCAGCATCAGCTTAGCTTCTGGGGAGGCCTCAGGGAGCTTTTACTCATGGCAGAAGGTAAAGCAGGAACAGGCATGTCACATGGCCAGAGCAGGAGCAAGAGAAAGAAGGGGAGGGGAGATGCCACACACTTTTGCTCAACCAGATCTCATGAGGACTTACTATTGGGAGGACAACACCAAACCATGAGTGATCCCCCCAGATGACTCAAACACCTCCCCTCAGCCCTGACTTCCAAGATGAGGGATCACATTTCAACATGAGGCTTTGAGGGGACAACATCCAAACTATATCATGCTGTTTACAGGAAAGCATGTTAAACATAAAGATGCAGATAGGTTAAAAGTAGTAGGACAGAAAAAGACCATGCGTACACAAATCATAAGAAACCTGGAGTGGCTATATTAATATCACATGAAGTAGACTTCAGAACAAGGAGTATTACCAGATGTAAAGAGACATAATAAGAGAGTTAATCAAGAAGATATAATACTCGTAAACGTGCACACAATAACATTAAATAAAACAGAACTAAAAACAAGTAGATAAATCTGTAATTTAGGGGAATATAGAATGATGAGCAGGACTTCTGGAATGACAGAGTAAGAAGCTCAGAAAATCCTCTTTAAAAAGAAATTGTCAAAAACAAAATTGATTAAAGGCTTACAACAAATTGAGAAGCATTTATTCGTGAAAAACTACTGACCCTCAAGTAAAAATAGTGGGAGTCTGTGGTGTTTTAACCTGGGGCTGCTTCCAACCCACCTTCTCTCCTCTGCTCCCCACCAGCTTGGTCACCATAGTAATTGTGCTACAAGGAAAGACAAATCACGAAAACCTGCAGCTTTGCTGTGGGAAGGAGCTCACTTGATTTGAAGCAGAATTTGAAAAACTGCATGCCCGGGGTATTGAAAGAAAAAATAGCAGTCTCAGTGACGAACTAACAAAAAGCAAGACAACAATTCAGCTAGCCTGAAGTTGAGGTCCTGGTTGGAGCAAGCAAGGGACCAGGGAGATAATGGGAATGAGAGCCATAGTGAGCTTCGATAAGCTGCCACATATCCCTAGCAAAGCACATGTGCAGGAGAGACCAAAGAGTGCCTTGGCTATCCACATACACCTGGTAGAACTTGAGGCCATGCACACAGGTAGAGGAAATGTGAGAGTGCCCAACAGAAAGGAAATGCCGAGGCAGACTTGTGAACTGCCTGAATTTTTATGCATTTCCCAACCCACATGTAGATGTGTGACATTGTGGAAAGTAGAAGTCTTACTGGCTCAAGGTATTTGAGCACAACCTCTGATCAATCATTAGCTGACCACTAAGCAACACTGACATGGGCGTAAGCCCTTGCAGCAAGGCTTAAAAATAAAGACAAGAATTTAAGAACGGAAATGAAACAAACGAGAGAGATCAATGGTCCCGCACCACAGACTCTATAGATTTAGTCTAGGCAAGTTACTAACAAAAGCAAAAACAACCCCTAGAGGGGAAATGTCAGATTTCATAATTGCTAGACTATATTATCTAAAATATCCAGTTTTCAACCAATACTATGAAATATTCAGAGAAACAGGAACATGTAACACATAATGGGGGGAAATAAAATGATATGCAAGACTTGAAAAACTTTATCAATCAACTTGACCTAATTGATATTTACGGAACACAACACTCAGTAACTGCAGAATGCCTGTTCTTTTCAAGCATGCATAGAAGACAAACCATGGGGATTTTTACAAAATTCAACACCTATATTTGACCAAAAAAAAAAAAAAGAACACTTTTCAAAAAGTAGGAATAGAAGAAAACATCCTCAACCTGCTAAATGGAATCTACAAAACACTAAATACCATATATCATACTTTGTGATGAAATATTGAAACGTTCTAAGTTTGGGAACAAGGCAGGGATGTCTGGTATCTGTTCATGCAATATTATTATGTGACTGGAGGTTTCAGCAAATGCAATAAGATGAGAAAAGTAAAAGTCATACAGATTGAAAGGAAGGCATAAAACTGTATTTTCAAAGAACAAGCAAGTAATCTACAAAACAAAAATCTAGGGCTAATATGTGAATTTAGTAACGTGACAGGATACGAGGCCAATATACAAGATTCAATCTTTTGTATATCAGCAATTAGTAATTGTAAAATAAAAATAACATTTAAAATGCCATTTATAATAGTGTCAAGAACATAAAATATTTAGGGATAAATTTAATGAAATATGTTCAACATCTCTACACTAAAAACTAAAACAGTGATGACAAAAACTAGGTTATTTGAAGTTTTTCTTCTTTTTTAATGTAGGTGCTTATAGCTATAAAATTCCCTCTTAGTACTGCTTTTGCTGTATCCCATAGGTTTTATATGTTGTGTTTCCATTATCATTTGTTTCAAGAAATTTTTTGGCCGGGCTCAGTGGCTCATGCCTGTAATCCCGCCACTTTGGGAGGCTGAGGCAGGTGGATCACGAGATCAGAAGTTTGAGACCAGCCTGACCAAAATGGTGAAAGCCCGTCTCTACTAAAAATGCAAAAATTAGCCAGGCATGGTGGCACGCACCTGTAATCCCAGCTACTCAGGAGGCTGAGTCAGGAGAATCGCTTGAACCCGGGAGGCGGAGGTTGCAGTGAGCCAAGATCACACCATTGCACTCCAGCCTGGACGACAGAATGAGACTCCGTCTCAAAAAAAAAAATTCTTCATTTCTTCATTGACCCACTGGTCATTCAGGAGCATGTAGTTTAATTTCCATGTGTTTGTATAGTTTCCAAAATTCCTCTTGTTAATGATTTCTAGTTTTATTCCATTGTGGTCAAAGAAGACATTTGATAATATTTCAGGGTTTTTTTTTTTTTTTTAAGGTTATAAGATTTGTTTTGTGACCCAACATATGGTCTATCCTTGAAAATGATCCATGTGCTGAGGAGAAGAATATGTATTCTGGAGCCATTGGATGAAATGTTCTCTAAATAACTACTAGGTCAATTTATAATGTAGTTCAGGTTAAGTCTGATGTTTCTTTGTTGATTTTCTGTGTAGGAAATCTGGCCAGTGCTGAAAGTAGATTGGGGGCATATATATTTACAATTGTTATATCCTCTTGATGGATTGATGCCTTTACCATTATATAATGACCTTCCTTGTCTCTTACAATTTTTGTCTTGCAGTCTATTTTGTCTGGTATAAGTATAGCTACTCCTCTTTTTTAAATTTCCATTCGCATGGAATATTTTTTCCATCCCTTTATTTTCAGTCTTTGTGCGTCTTTATAGATGAAATATGTTTCTTATAGGCAATAGATTATTGTGTCTTTTTTTTTTAATCCATTCAGCCACTCTGTGTCTTTTGATTGGAGAACTTAGTCTGTTTACATTCAATGTTATTATTGATAAGTAAGGATTTACTTCTGCCATTTTGTTGTTTTCTGGTTTTCTTTTCCTTTCCTTCCTGTCTTCCTTTTAGTGAAGGTAATCTTCTCTGGTGTTATGACTTAATTTCTTGCTTTTTATTTTTTGTATATCTGTTGTATGTTTTTTGATTTGAGGTTATTATGAGGCTTGCAAATACTATCTTATGACTCATTATTTTAAACTGGTGACAACTTAACACTGATTGCATAAACAAACAAAAAGAAAACTAATAACTACACTTTTTGTCTCCCCACTTGTTAACTTTTTGTTTTTATTTATACCTTATTGTACTGTATGTCTTGAAAAGTTGTTGTAGTTATTATTTTTGATTGGTTCATCTTTTAGTCTTTCTGCTTAAGAGTAGATTATACACCACAGTTACAGTGTTATAATAGTCTGTTTTTCTGTGTACTTACTATTACCAGTGAGTTTTGTATCTTCAGATGATTTTTTATTGCTCATTAACATCCTTTTCTTTCAGATTGAAGAACTTCCTTTAGCATTTCTTGTAAGACAGGTCTGGTGTTGATGAAATCCTTCAGCTTTGAAAGTCTTTATTTCTCCTTCATGTTTGAAGGATGTTTTCACCAGATATACTATTCTAGGGTAAAAGTTTTTTTCCCTTGGGACTTTAAATATGTCATGCCACCCTCTCCTGGCTTGTAAGGTTTATTAGATGCCTCAAGGTAGTCAAGTTAAATCTATTTGGTGTTCTATCATCTTGTACTTGGGTATTTTTATTAGTTCATTTTCATGCTGCTGATAAAGACATACCTGAAACTGGGAACAAAAAGAGGTTTAATTGGACTTAGAGTTCCACATGGCTGAGAAGGCCTCAGAATCATGGCAGGAGGTGAAAGGCACTTCTTACATGGCAGCAGCAAGAGAAAAATGAGGAAGCAAAAGCAGAAACCCCTGATAAACACATCAGATCTTGTGAGACTTATTATCACAAAAATAGCACAGGAAAGACTGGCCCCCATGATTCAATTACCTCCCCCGGGGTCCCTCCCACAATATGTGGGAATTCTGGGAGATAAAATTCAAGTTGAGATTTGGGTGGGGACACAGCCAAACAGTATCATTCTGCTCCTGGCCCCTCCAAATCTCATGTTCTCACATTTCAGAACCAATCATGCCTTCCCAACAGTCCCCCAAAGTCTTAACTCATCTCAGCATTCACCTAAAAGTTCACAGTCCAAAGTCTCATCTGAGACAAGCCAAGTCCCTTCCACCTATGAGCCTATAAAATCAAAAGCAAGCTAGTTACTTCCTAGATACAGTGGGGATACAGGTATTGGGTAAATACAGCCATTCCAAATGGGAGAAATTCACAAAAACAAAGGGGTTACAGGGTTCTTGCAAGTCCGAAATCCAGCAGGGCAGTCAAATTTTAAAGCTACAAAATGATCTCCTTTGACTCCAGGTCTCACATCCAGCTCACCCTGATGCAAAAGGTGGGTTCCCATGGTCTTGGGCAGCTCCACCCCTGTGGCTTTGCAGGGTACAGCCTCTCTCCTGGCTGCTTTCATGGGCTGGCATTGAGTGTCTGTGGCTTTTCCAGGTGCACGGTGCAAGCTGCCAGTGGATCTACCATTCTGGGGTCTAGAGGATGGTAGTCCTCTTCTCACAGCTCCACTAGGCAGTGCCCCAGTAGGGATCCTATGTGGGGGCTCCAACCTCACACTTCCCTTCTGTACTGCCCTAGCAGAGGTTTTCCATGAGGGCCCCACTCCTGCAGCAAACTTTTGTCTGGGCATCCAGGCATTTCCATACATCTTCTGAAATCTAGGCAGAGGTTCCCAAACCCCAGTTCTTGACTCCTGTGCACCCGCAGGCTCAACACCACATGGAAGCTGCCAAGGCTTGGGGCGTCCACCCTCTGAAGCCACAGCCTGAGCTGTACATTGGCCCCTTTCAGCCACAGCTAGAGCAGCTGGGACACAGGGCACCAAGTCAATAGGCTGCACACAGCACGGGGACCCTGGGCCTGACCTATGAAACCACTTTTTCCTCCTGGGCCTCTGGGCCTGTGATGGGAGGGGCTGCCGTAAAGGTCTCTGACATGACCTAGAGACATTTTCCCCATGGTCTTGGGGATTAATGCTAGACTCCTTACTACTTTTGCAAATTTCTGCAGCCAGCTTGAATTTCTCCCCAGTAGATGAGTTTTCCTTTTCTATCACATTGTCAGGCTGCAAATTTTCCAAAGTTTTATGCTGTTTCGCTTTTAAAACTGAATGCTTTTAACAGCACCCAAGTCCCCTCTTGAATGCTTTGCTGCTTAGAAATTTCTTCTGCCAGATACCCTAAATAATCTCTCTCAAGTTCAAAGCTCCACAGATCTCTAGGGCACAGGCAAAATGCCACCAGTCTCTTTGCCAAAACATAACAAGAGTCACCTTTGCTCCAGTTCCCAACAAGTTCCTTATCTCCATCTGAGACTACCTCAGCCTGAACCTTATTGTTCATATCACTATCAGCATTTTCATCAAAGCCATTCAACAAGTCTTGGGAAGTTCCAAACTTTTCCACATTTTTCTGTCTTCTTCTGAGCCCTCCAAACTGTTCTAACCTCTGCCGTTACCGAGTTCCAAACTCACTTCCACAGTTTTGGGTATCTTTTCAGCAATGCCCCACTCTACTGGTACCAATTTACTATATTAGTCCATTTTCACACTGCTGACAAAGACATACCCGAGACTGGGAAGAAAAAGAGGTTTAATTGGACTTACAGTTCCACATGGTTGGGGAGGCCTCAGAATCATGGTAGGAGGCAAAAGGCACTTCTTACATGGCAGCAGCAAGAGAAAAATGAGGAGGAAGCAAAACCAGAAACCCCTGATAAACCCATCAGATCTCGTGAGACTTACTCACTATCATGAGAATAGCACAGGAAAGACTGGCCCCCATGATTAAATTATCTCCTCCTGGGTCCCTCTCACAACAGGTGGGAATTCTGGGAGATACAATTCAAGTTGAGATTTGGGTGGGGATATAGCCAAACCGTATCAGTATTGATATCTTTCTCTAGGTTTTGGAAGTTCTCTGTTATTATCCGTTTGAATAAACTTTCTACTATTATACTATCTCTTTCTCTACCTCCTCTTTAAGGTCAATAACTCTTAGATTTGCCCTTTTGAGCCTGTTGTCTAGATCTTGTAGGCATGCCTCATTCTTTATTATTATTTTTTCTTTTGTCTCCTGATATGGTTTGGATTTGTGTCCCTGCCCAAATCTCATGTTGAATTGTACTCCCCAGTGTTGGAGGAGGGGCCTGGTAGGAGATGATTGTATCATGGTGGTGGATTTCCACCTTGCTGTTGTCATGATAGTGAGTGAGTTCTCATGAGATCTGGTTGTTTAAAAGTGGGTAGCACCTCCCCCTGTGCACTCTTCCTCCTTCTCTGGCCAGGTAAGGTGTGCCGGCTTCCTCTTCACCTTCCGCCATGATTGTAAGTTTCCTGAGGCCTCCCCAGCCATGCTTTCTGTACAGGCTGTTGAACTGAGTCAATGAAACCTTTTTCTTTATAAATTACATAGTCTCAGGTAGTTCTTTATAGCAATGTAAAAACAGGCTAATACATCTCCTCTGACTGTGTTTTTTTCAAGTAGCCTGTCTTCAAGCTCACTAATTCTTTCTTCTGCTTGGTCAATTCTACTATTAAGGGATTCTGATGCATTCTTCAGTATGCCAATTGCATTTTTCAACTCCAGAATTTCTGCTTGATTCTTTTCAATATTTCAATCCCTTTGTTAAATTTATCTGATAGAATTATGTATTCCTTCTCTGTGTTATCTTGAATTTCTTTGACTTTCCTCAAAACAGCTTTGAATTTTCTGTCTGAAAGGTTATATGTCTCTGTTTCTCCAGGATTGGTCCCTGGCACTTTATTTAGTTCATTTGATAATGTCATGTTTTCCTGGATGTCTTGATGCTTGTGGATGTTTGTCAGTGTCTAGGCATTGAAGAGTTAAGTATTCATTGTAGTCATCACAGTCTGGCCTTGTTTGTACCTGTCTTTGGGAAGGCTTTTCAGGTATTCGAAGGGACTTCAGTGTTGAATCTTGAATGTTGTAATCTGAGCTGTACTGCATTAGGGGGAACCCCAAGCCCAGTAACACTATGATTTAGACTCGTAGAGTCTTCGGTGGTCTTAGATAAGACCTGGAAGAACTCTCTGGATTACCAGGTGGAGACTCTTGTTCTCTTCCCTTACTTTCTCCCAGTCTTTCACTCTCTGTGCTGAGCCGCCTGGAGCTGGAGTGGGGTGACACAAACACCCCTGTGGCCACCCACTAGGACTGGGCTGGGTTAGGCCTGAAGCCAGCACAGTGCTGGGTCTTACCCAAGACCCCGTTAGCCTCTACCTAGCTTTCACCTATGTTCACTCAAGGCCCTAGAGTTCCACAATCAGCAGGTAGTGAAGCCAGCCAGGTTTGTGTCCTTTTCTTCAGGGCAGCAAGTTCTCTTAGGCCCCAGGTGGGTCCAGAGATGCTGTCTGGGAGCCAGGGACTGGAGTAAAAAACCTTATAAATCTACCTTGTGCTCTATTCTACTGTGGTTAAGCTGAACTCATGCTACGAGACAAAGTCCTTTCTACTCTTCCCTTCCCTTTCCACAGGCCGAGGAGCCTCTCCCAATGGCCACCACCACCACAGGCCCATGGGGAGTACTGCCAGTCTCACTGATGTTCACTTACAGCCCAAGGGCTCTTCTGTCAGCTTATGGTGAATGCTGCCAGGCCTGGGACTCGCCCTTCAGAGCAGTGGGCTCCTCTCTGGCCCAGGGCAGGTCCAGAAATACCTTCCAAGAGCCAAGGCCTGGAATTGTGGATCCCAAGAGCCCGTTTGGTACTGTACCCCACTGTGGGCAAGCTGGTTACTTAAGTGTAAGACAAAGTCCCCTTTACTTTTCCCTCTTCTTTTCTCAAGCGGGAGTCTCTCACCATGGCCATCACAGCTGGGAATGTGCTGGGTCTCACCTGAAGCCAGCATGTCTCAGAGTCTCACCAAGGCCCATGGCGTACTACCTGGTTATTGCTGCTCATTATTCAGAGCCCAAGGGCTCTTTAATCAGCAGGTGATGAATCCTGCCTGACCTGGCCCCTTCTCTTCAAGGGAATAGGTTTTCTTCTGGACCAGGGTGTGTCTAGAAATATCTGGGAGCTAGGGCCTGGAACGGGGGCCTCAAAACTCTTCCCACTGCCCTATCCTGTCGTGCCTGAGCTGGTATCCAAAATGCAAATCAAAATTCTTTTTACCCTTCCCTCTCCTCAAGCAGAAGGAAGCAGTCACTTTCATTGCTGAGAACTGTGCTGCTTGGAGTTGGAGGAGGAGTGGCACAAGCACTCCATTAGCCAACCCAGCTGGTGTCTCACTAGGTCACATGCCCCCCAGGTCCACAAGCTCCAAGCCCAGCACAACACTAAGACTTGCCTAGGAGTTGCAGTCCTTGTGGCACAGACTGCCTTTCAAGTTTACTTAGGACCCCAGAACACTTTAGCCCACAGTGCTGAGGCTTCCCTAAACTCAGGTTCTGACTGCTGGGATAGGCGATTCCTCTCTGGCTATGGCTGGTCTAAGTGCTCCTTCCATGGACACACATCTGCTGAGTTCAGCCCAGTTTTGCTGAGTTCAAAGTCCCACAGTTGCTGCACTCTCCCTCCCCCAACCACACAGATTCTCTGTACCAAGGGCACTGCAAGGGGATGAGGGAGGGGTGGCATTGGTGATTCAAGACTATAATTTCGAAGTTAAAACCAGGTACTGTGATTGCTTACCTGATTTTTGGTTCCTATAAAGGTGCTTTTCTTATGTAAATAGTTGTTAAAATTTGGTGTTCCTGTGGGGAGGATGATCACTGGAAGCTTCTATTCAGCTATCTTACTCTGTCTCTGATGAGGGAAATTAAAGAAACTAAATTAATGGAGTAATATACCACATTTGTAGATTGGAAGAACGCAATATTGTTAACTTGTCAGTTCTCTCCAAATGGATCAATAGGTTCAAAGCAATGCCAATCAAATTTCTAGTAGGCTTTTTTGTAGAAATTGGTAAGTTGAAGTTCTAAAATTTGCATGGAAATGGAAAAGATGTAGTATAAAGCAGTCTTGTAATAAGACAGAGGTGAAGAACTTACATTTGATTTCTAGACTTACAGTAGTGCCACAGTAGTCAAGACAGTGTGGTGTTGACATAAAGATAGAAAAAATAGATCAATGGGACAGAATAGTTAGTCTGTAAATAGTGGTTGATTTTCATCCAAGGAGGAAAAGCAATTCAATGTGGAAAGAAAAGTCTGTTCAACAAACGATGCTGGAACAACTGGCTATTAAAATGTTTTTAGAAGAAAATATATAGAAGAACATTTTCATCATCTTTGGATAGTCAAACTTTTTTAGGACCCAGAAAGCAATAACCATAAAAGAAACATCAATAAAATGGAATTCATCAAAATTTAAACCTTCTGCTAAGCAAAAGACACCATTAAGAAATAAGTAGGAAAACCATAGAATGTGAGTTAGTTATCACCATGCATATATCTCTATCTCTCTATGTCTATATATTTGACAAAAGACTTTTATCCAGTGTATATAAAAAACTTATACAGCTCAATATTAAGAAGACCCAATTAAAATCTAATTTTTAAAAAATGGGCAAAAAATAAGAACCGGCACTGAATAAAGGAAGATATACCAATGGCCAATAAGCACATGAAAATGTGTTTTAATATTATTATTCAGCAAAATGTAAATGAAAATGACATTGAGATATCACTACATGCCCATTAGAATGGCTAAAATCAAACGGTGGCAACAGCTTAAGTGGTAAGATTGTAGAATGTAAGCAAAAGTCTCATACGTTGCTGGTAGGAGTGACACAACCACTTTGAAAATTGGTCTGGAACTTTCTCATAAAGTTACCATGCATCTACCAAATGACCCAGCAATTATACTGTAAATATTTACCCAAGAAAATGAAAACATACATCCATACAAAGATTTGTACACTAATGTTCATAGCAGCTTTATTCTAAAACTGGAAACAACCCAAATATCTATCAACAGGTGAATGGATGAATAAATTGTGGTATATTCATATAATGGAGTACAGCTCAGCAATAAAAAGTATAAATTCTACCAAACACTTAGAGAAGATTTAATACCAAATTCTTCACAAACTCTTCCAAAAATTAGAAGAGGAGAGAACATTTCCCAACTTACTCTATGAGGTCAGTATTACTCTGACACCAAAACCAGACAAAGACATCATAAGAAAACTACAGACTAATATTCCTAATGAATATGGATGCAGAAATCCTCAAAAAAAAATTACGAAGATGAATCCAGTGACATATAAAAAGGATTTTGCACCATAAGCAAGAGGGATTTATCCTAGGAATTTAAGGTTGGTTTAATATCTGAAAAATCAATTAATATAATAAACCTTATCAATAGAATAAAGGACAAAAACCACACAATCATCTCAGTAGAGTCAGAAAGAGCTGGGTGTGGTGGCTCACGCCTGTAATCCCAACACTTTGAGAGGCCTAGGTGGGCAGATCCCTTGAGGTCAGGAGTTCGAGACCAGCCTGGCCAACATGCTGAAACTCTGTCTCTACTAAAAATACAAAACTTAGCCAGACATGGTAGCACATGCCTGTAATCCCAGCTATTTGGGAGGCTGAGGCAGGAGAATTGCTTGATCCCAGGAGACAGAGGTTGCAGTGAGCTGAGACCGCACCACTGCACTCCAGCCTGGTCAACAGAGTGAGACTCCATCTCAAAAAATAAAAATAAAAATAAAATAAATAAATAAATAATAAAATAAAAATAAATAAATAAAAATAAAAATTAGCTTGGCATGGGGCTGCATGCCTGTAGTCCCAGCTGCCTGGCAGGATGAGGCATGAAAATGAAAATCACTTGAACCCAGGAAGCGGAGGTTGCAGTGAGCCAAGATTGTGCCACTGCACCCCAGCCTAGGCAACAGAGCAAGACTCTGTCTCAAAAAAAAAAAAAATGAAATTAATAGAGCCAGAAGGAGCATTTGACAAAATCTAGCACCCTTTTATAATTTTTTTTTTTTTTTTTTTTTTTGAGACAGAGTCTTGCTCTGTCACCCAGGCTGGATGGAGTACAGTGGCACGATGTCGACTCACTGCAACCTCCACCTCCCAGGTTCAAGCAAGTCTCTTGCCTCAGCCTCCAGAGTAGCTGCAATTACAGGCATGCGCTACCACACCCGGCTAATTTTTGTATTTTTTAGTGGAGGGGGTTTTGCCATGCTGGCCAGGCTGGTCTCAAATTCTTGACCTCAGGTGATCCGCCTACCTTGGCCTCTCAAAGCACTGGGATTACAGGCATGAGCCACCATGCCTGGCCCCTTTCATAATTTTTAAAAAACACTAAACAAAACTAGAAATAGAAGGAAACTTCCTCTACCTCATAAAGGGTATCAACAAAAACCCACAGCTAACATCATACTTAATGGTGAAAGACTGAAAACTTACCCTTAGGATCAAAAATAAGACAAGGAAGTCTGCTCTCACCGCTTATATTCAACATTGTACTGGAGGCTCTAGCCAGGCAATTAGGCAGGAAAAAGAACAAAACGGATTCATTTTAGAAAGGAAGAAGTACAACTATTTCTGTATTCAGATGACATGATCTTCTATATAGAAAATCCTAAGGAATCCACTAAAAAACCTATTAAACCCAATATGTTAAGTTCAACAAGGCTTTAGGATACAAGCCCAATGTACAAACATCAATTATATTTCTACAAGCTAGAAATAATCTGAAAATGAAATTAGAAAACAATTGCATTTACAATGGTATCAAAAAGTTTAAAAGTACTCAGGAATACATACAACGAAGTGCAAAGCTTATATAAATTCTGAAATCTACAAAGCATTGTTTAAAGGGTGCAGTGGTTCACACCTCTAATCCCAGCTTCCTGGGATGCCTTTCCCATCTTGTTTGTCAGGAAATATCTTCTCATCTTTTAAAAAGCCATTTGAAGGCCAGACGCAGTGGCTCACGCCTGTAATCCCAGCACTTTGGGAGGCCGAGGCAGGTGGATCACCTGAGGTCAGGAGTTCGAGACCAGCCTGGCCAACATGGTGAAACCCTGTCTCTACTAAAAATACAAAAATTAGCTGTGTGTGGTGGCGGGCGCCTGTAATCCCAGGTACTTGGGAGGCTGAGGCCGGAGAATCACCTGAACCCAGGAAGTGGAGAGAGAGAGAGAGAGAGAAAGAGGACCTAAATAAATGGAAACACTTCATGTGCTCATGAATCAAAAGACTTAGTAGTATTCTTAAGATGGCAATACTCCCTAAATTGATCTACAGATTTAGTGCAATCTCTTATCAAAATCCCAGCTGGATTTTTTTTTCCCCAGAAATTGACAAGCTGACCCTAAAACTCATATGCAAATGCAAGGGACCAAGAACAGTCAAGACAATCTTGAAAAAGAAGAACAAAAGTGGAGAAATCCTTCTTGATTTCAAAACTTACTACAAAACCACAGTAATCAAGACAGGCTGGTTATAGCATAACAATAGGTATCTAGATCAGTGAAACAATTGATAGTCCAGAATTAAAACTTACATGTATGAGCAATTGATGTTTAAAGTTGCTAAAAAAAAAAAAAAAAAAATCAATGGGACACCTGGAGCATCAATGGGGGAAAGAATAGTCTTTCCAACAAATGATACTGGGACAACTGGATATCCACATGCACAGGAATAAAGTTAGGCCCCTTTCTTATACCATGCATAGAAATTAATGGGCTAGGTGAGGGAGGAATGGAGAGTTGTCCAGTTGTCCAGTAGGCATAGAGTTTCAGTTTTGCAAGATTAAAAGTTCTAGAGATTGGTTACACAACAATGCAAATGTTCTTAACACTACTGAACTGTATACTTAACAATTAAGGGCCCGGCGTGGTGGCTCACGCCTGTAATCCCAGCACTTTGGGAGGCCGAGGCGGGCAGATCACAAGGTCAGGAGATCGAGACCATCCTGGCTAACACAGTGAAACCCCGTCTCTACTAAAAATACAAAAAAAAATTAGCCAGGCATGGTGGCAGGCGCCTGTAGTCCCAGCTGGAGGCTGAGGCAGAATGGTGTGAACCCGGGGGGCGGAGCTTGCAGTGAGCCGAGATCGCGCCACTGCACTCCAACCTGGGCGACAGAGTGAGACTCCGTCTCAAAAAAAAGGTAAATTTTATGTCATGAATATTTTACTGCAATTTAAAAATTTTAAATAAAATTTAAAAATTTAGCTAAAAATGGACCATAGTCCTGAATGTAAAAGCTAAGACTATAAAACTCTTAGAAGAAAGCAGGGGTAAATCTTTGTGACCTTGGGTTTGGAAAACCTTTCTTAGACACAACACCAAAGCATAAGCAACAAAAGATAAATTGGACTTCAAAGGACACTCTCAAAAAACGAAAAGACAACCCACAGAAAGGGCGAAAATATTTGCAAATCATTTTTCTGACAAGAGAATTATATCCAGAATCTATAAAGAACATTTAAAACTCAATAGCGAAAGGACAACCCAACTGAAAAATTGGCAAAGGGTCTGAAAAGACATTTCTTCAAAGAATATATACAAATGACCAACAAACATCAAAACATCAACGTCGTTAGTCATTAGGGAAAACATTAGTCATTAGGGAAATGTAAATCAAAATCTCAATGAGAAATAACTTTACACCCACTAGAATTGCTGTAAACAAAAAGAGACAATAGCAAGTGTTAATGTGGATGTGGATAAATTTGGAACCTTCATCCACAGCTGGTGGGAATATAAAATGGTGCAGGCACTTTGGGACACTTTGGCAGTTCCTCAAAATGTTAAATAGAGTTACCCTATGACCCAGAAATTTCATTGCTATATATGTACCCAAAAGCAGTAAAACATACATTCATACAAAATCTTGTACATAAATGTTCATAGCAGCATCGTTCTGATAGCCAAAAAAATGGAAACAAGCCATATGTCTATAAGGTGATGAATGGATAAATGCAATATGATATATCATTAGAGTGGAATACTGTCCAGCCCTAAAAGGAATGAAATATTGATATATACCATTACATGGATGAACCTTGAAACATTATGCTAACTGAAAGAAGCCAGACACAAAAGCCTACATATCACGTAGCAAGGGGACCCAGAATAGACTGGAAAGGTATAGCATACAATCAGTATTTGCTGGATGAATAAATGTATTAAGTAAAATACCCAGTACAGGGCCAACTGGATTTAGAAGGTGAAGGAAAAATAAGGCTAAGGTACTACTGAGCTTTCTTAAGCTGGGTGAGTAAGGGGTGGGTGGGAACATTAAAGAGGCCCGGAGTAGCTAGGAGGGAGAATGGGGTTAGGGGGTATAATGGGAGAAAAGGGAAGATATATAGAGTTTTCCTTTCTGTTGTGTTTTTTTTACAGTGGTGCTGGACATGCAGTCCCACTCACTAGACATTTTGGAGCATTACGTGGAAATGCCCATCCAGCGGTTGGAGAGGTAGGGTAGGATCTGAAGATCTCAAGCCTCGGAAGCACAGATTTAGGAGTCACTGACTTAGAGGTGGTAGTTTCAAGTGACGTGATGGTTAAGTTCACCAAGAGAAAAAGTTTAGAAAGAAAAAGAGCTGAGCCTTCTGCCCTATTTTTTAGAAGAGGGTTTCTGAGAGCCTGGGTATTCAAATGATAAGATGGGTGTGTGGTGCAGGGACAAGACTTCAGTCAGAGGACCCAGGGTCTCTGCTTTAGCACCATCTTGCTGTGTGACGTTGGGCAGCTGACCTTACTATCAGTGCCTCAGTTTCCTCCCCTGTAACCAGGGACAATAATGCCAGCCCTCTCTCCCTCCCAAAATTATTGCATGGATCAAAAGGGAGAATGCACAAGAAAGTGCTTTGTAAACCACTCAAAAGACTCATCAAATGTAAGGGATTATTATAATTGCAGTGGGAGATGCAGGAGGCCAATAAAATGGATTTGGTTGCAGTAAGCACAGGGGTTACTTTCTGTTTCTTTAAAAAAAAGAAAAACCAGCAGCCGCAAGTACTGCCAGGTGCACGGCGTAGTTTTTCCAACTCTGAGAAGCAAATAACAGAGAGGGGCCAACTGGCTCATCCCAGGAGGCCTGTCTTCACCAATTGAATCTGAAATCACCACCAGCAGGCCCTGTCCTGGCGGGATGGGACCCAGGGAGTACAGGGCCAACTGAGGCCGTCCACATGGCCAGAGACCTGGGCCCTTCGCCCCTGCGGCTTGGAACTTCCATCAGGCCCTGCCCAACCAGATGTTCTCCTTAGAGCCCCAGGTGGCCCATGAATGGTGCTACCCGGCCCCCAAGCCACGTTCAGGAGCATCACCTCAGGGTTAGGCAGGGAAGAGACCATGGCTTTATGGCAAAATTGGCCAGGCCAAGTTTCTACGGCTCCCCAGGTGGCCGGCCTCATTAGTGTTGAGGACCACATTGGGCCTGCCAGAACCGCAGGACAAAGTCCAGTGCAGAAGGCTTGGGGAAACTGCTTCCAGTTCTTTCCAGGCCCAGAGACACGTCCCCCAAATGCCTGGCTGGATATAAGCCCCTGCAATCTGTGTGCCAGCCCGGGGGCAGTCCCCTCAATTGCACCTTTAAGGTGGCCACACTTTCCCCAAATCTTCCTGGCCAAGGCTAGAGAGGATCTTAGAGACCTTCTAGTCCAGCTCCTCCATTTTCGGTTAAGGAACCTGAGGCCCAGAGCGGGCAGGAACTTGCTAAAGGTTAGAGTCGGGGAGCTTCTCTGAGGCAGCACAATGGAGCTGGGAGCAGAAATCAGGTCTCTGGCCTCCCAGCTGTCCAACCCTCTGCTCCCCACTCTCTTTCCTCCTGCCTGTTATTTTCCAGTCTCTTCCCCTTGGGGCTGCTGCCCTCTCCCCTCCCTCAGAGCTTCCTGGCCGGCCCTACTGCTCTGAGGTCCCCACCTGAGGCTACGATTCTGCTCCCTGACTCTGCTGAGTGCCCACTGGCCAGCTCCAAGAGCATCCCCTGCCCTAAGCTGCCACAGAGAAGCTCCCAGGGAGCAAGCAGAGAACAGAGGCCGAGAGCTGAGGCTCGGCTGGGAGCCACAACTCCAGGCCCAGCTCTGCCACTGTGGGTCTGAGAGGGACAGAGAGAACGCTACTTTTTGAAAAACGACTCTTATACCCAGGCCCTGTATTGGAGCTTCTCCCGTCCCTCCTGACACTTCCTCCCGGAGCATTTATTTGTCCCTTCAGTGCTCATCCTTCAGTCAGCACAACCTTGCTGAGGATTTAGACTCCGAGCCATGCCCTGTCAGGGTGCCGAGGTACAGACACCCCTTACCAACACAGCCTTGCCCTCAGGAGCTCCCAGGCTGGTGGAGGAGATGTCAGAATGGGCATCTGCCACCAGCGTAATGGGCACATGACAGAGGGAAAAACAAGGGGACTCCAGGGGCCCAGAGGATGCACCCTCTCCCTGCAGCTGGGGCGGGTTAAGGGAAGGCCTCAGCAAGCTCAAATGGCTTTTTTTTTTTTTTTTTTTTTTTTTGTTGGAGATGGAGTTTCACTCCTAACGCCCAGGCTGGAGTGCAATGGCGCGATCTCGGCTCACTGCAACCTCTGCCTTCCAGGCTCAAGCAATTCTCCTGCCTCAGCCTCCTGAGTAGCTGGGATTACAGGTGCCCGCCACCACGCCCGGCTAATTTGGTATTTTTAGTAGAGAGACAGTTTCACCATGTTGGCCAGGCTGGTCTCAAATTCCTGACCTCAGGTGATCTGCCTACCTCGGCCTCCCAAAGTGCTGGGATTACGAGCATGAGCCACCATGCCTGGGCATCAAATGGCTTTTTAAAAGATGAGCAGGAGATCGAGACCATCCTGGCTAACAAGGTGAAACCCCGTCTCTACTAAAAAAATACAAAAAATTAGCCGGGCGCGGTGGCGGGCGCCTATAGTCCCAGCTACTCGGGAGGCTGAGGCAGGAGAATGGCGTGAACCCGGGAAGCGGAGCTTGCAGTGAGCCAAGATTGTGCCACTGCAGTCCGCAGTCCGGCCTGGGCGACAGAGTGAGACTCCGTCTCAAAAAAAAAAAAAAAAAAAAAAGATGAGAAGACATTTCCTAGACAGACAAGGTGAAAGGCATCCCAGGAAGCTCGTGCTAAGATGAGCGGTAACAGGGATGACGGGCTCAGGGAACAGTGCTGAATTTGGTGACTTAAACCACAGCCTGTGTGGGAGTGGCAAAGGCGAGGGAGTGGAGTCGGCAGAGGCCACACACGAAGGGTGCTGCAGGCAGGTGAATGTTTGGACTTGATCCCGTTCATGATGGGGAAGCCATTGAAGTGTTTTAAGCAGGGGAGATAGGATCCCATGTGCCTTTTAGAAACACCCTCCTAGCTTATAAACGCCAGGGGACAGAGGACCCTCCCTTTTCTCTCGTGTCCTGGGCCTCCTGGAGAGGTGCCAGGGCAGGTCCTACGAGCGCATGTTCTTTGTGGAGTGCCAGGCCTGGTATTTCTTTTCCTTCCTGGGGGGTGAGGCTTCCCATCCAGCAACAGGAAGGATGAAACTCAATCCTATCTCAGGGTTTTTCACCCAAGGATGAATCAGAATCCACCATGGAATTTTCTAAATGACAAACACTTGGGCTGCATCCCATTTACTAAATCATGCATTCATTTCAGAAATGTTTCTCGAGCACATAGCACATGTGGACACTGTTCCAGGTAGTAGGGACACAGCAATGGGCAAAGCCCCTGCCTTCATGGAGCTTACAGTCAGAATCTCTGGGGCAGGCCCTGACATCTGTGTTTAGAAAAGCTCCAGTGGTGACCCCAAAGCCCAGGATTATGGACTGAATTGTGTTCCCCCAAATTCACACATTTCATTCCTAACCCCCAGTACCTGAGGGTATGACTGTATTTGGAGATGGGGTCTTTAAAGAGGTAATTAAAGTAAAATGAGGTATTGGGGTGGGCCCTAATCCACTATGACTTGTGTCCTTATAAGAAGAGATTAGGACACGGACAGGCACAGAGTGAAGACCATGTGAGGACACAGGGAGAAGATGGCCAACTACAAGCCAAGGAGGGAGGCCTCAGAAGAAACCAGCACTACCAACACCTTGATCTCAGACTTCCAGCCTCCGGAACTGTGAGGAGACACATGCCTCTTGTTTAAGTCACCAGTCTTTATTATGGCAGCCTTAGCAAATGAATACACCCAGCCTCACCCAGGAACTACTGCTTAAAAAACACAAGAGGATACAGAACACAAATAGGAAGCACCTCTGAAGCACCTCTGGGCAGTGTGGGCTGCATAACCCAGAGCTTAGAGATCTCTCTATAGGTTTGTCCCTGACAGAAGCCAGTTCCATTCACAAAGGCACCACTATCCTGGAAGTGTGGGTGTTTCAGAGCAGCCTCCTGGTGGGGCCCTGCCTTAAACCCTGGCAGGCCTGCCAGGAGCTCCTCCTCACCCACAGAGGGCCACATCCACAGAAATGATGACAAAGGGCCCTTAGGTTCTTGCGTTCCACAAGGAGGCTCCAGTGGGAACAGGCCTTGGGAACCAAGGACCTGTGCTGCCCAGAGAAACCCAGGATGGGCGAGGAGCCGGCCTGAGGTCACACAGCCTGAAGGACAGCATCTGAGCTGGACTCTCACCCCCTGCTCTTGTCCCAGCTGCTTCCTTTTGCAGCCCTGGCACCTCGCCCAAATCTGCTGCCACCCGCTTCACTTTCCCACCCTCTCCCCTCCACCTCTCTGGCTCTGACTAAGGCCAGGAGCATGATTTCAGAATGATGAAACCCAGCTCCTGAGGTCACGCCGGCCTCATCGTAGTGGCTGTAATTTTGCACGGCCTCATCCCCCGCAGTAAGCTGGGGAAGCTGCCAGGCCTTTGGCACATGTCTGGGGGGCAATGTGAGGATGAGACAGTTAGAAGAGATCACTTCAAGCCAGGTCAAGAGGAATTTTTGGTTACATACCATCTCTTGTCCCAGCCCTGGTCTGGGAGACACAGACTGATAATGCAGCCTTATTATGCTCACGTCATACCTTTGGCCATCATCCCACTTAATCCCCTTTATACACACAGTTTCCAAGCCAACACCACCAAACTGCCTGCACGTCCGTCCCCACGCTGTGCTGATTCACATCTCTGGGGTTTTGCTCCTGCTGTTGCTGTTACCTCTGTGTGGACTACTCTTCCCTCCTCTTCCTCCACCCTCCTTATCTACTTTGCTAACTCCTGCTCTTCCTTTAGGGCCTAGCTGTGCTGTCACCTTTCCCAGGAAACCTTCTCTGACCATGCCCTCAGCAGGTAGGCCTGTATATTTCTCTCTGTACTTGCATAATCATCTATCTTTATGTCCTTGCATTGCATGTGAATTATCTGCTCACATAACCATTTCCCCATCCAGAATGGGAGCTTCTTAAACTTCTTGCTTGGGATGGGGTTGGGACTAGATCTGGTTCATCTTGGTGTCCCAGCCCCCAGTTCAGAACTGAACATAGAATGAGTCGGTAAGTGTTGATTGAATGTCAGCCCACCCCCTACCCAACACACACAAAGATAGATAAGGCCTCCATTTACAGAGAGAAAAGCCCAAGAGGAGTTTTTTGACCTGTTTAATGTCCCAGGGTGAGTTAGTATCAGGACAGGGATTAGCATCCAGCTCTTTGGGAGCTTAGACTAGTTCTTATGCACGAAGGACAGCATTCATAGAGCAGCCAGCCAAAGGGACCCACTCAACACCTGTGAAAAGAAGAGGGGGGCAGGGAAGAAAAGAAACAAAGGGATCACTTAGCCTGAGCCAAACTGGGCATATTCATTGTCAAATGCTGTTGTAACAAATCACCACATGGGCGCGGTGCTCATGCCTGTAATCCCAGCACTTTAAGAGGCCAAGGCAGGCATATCACCTGAGGTCAAGGAGTTCGAGACCAGCCTGGCCAACGTGATGAAACTCCATCTCTACTAAAAATACAAAAATTAGCTGGGCGTGGTGGTGCACACCTGTAACCCCAGCTACTTGGGAGGCTGAGGCAGGAGAATCACTTGAACCCAGGAGGCAGAGGTTGCAGTGAGCTGAGATCACGCCACTGCACTCCAGCCTGGGCAACAAGACCAAAACTCCATCTAAAAAAAAAAAAAAAAAAAAAAAAAAAAAAAAAAAAAAAAAAAAGCACCACACTTACCGGCTTAAAACAACACGTATCTATTATCTTACAGCCCTGAGGTCAGAAGTTCAGAGTGGGCCTAACTGGGCTAAAATCAAGGCATCAGTGGGTCTACCTTCCTTTCTGGAGACTGGAGGGGAGACTCCATATCCTTGCCTTTTCTAGCTTCTAGAGGCTGCCCGCATTCCTTGGCTCATGGCCCCCTTCCCTTCTCAAAGCCAGTGGCCGGTTGGGTAGTTCTCACAAGCATCCCTCTGACACTTCCTCTTCTGTCTCCCTCCTCAGTTCATAAGGATCTTTGTGATTATATTGGGCTCATCTAGATAATTTGGGATAATCTCATCTCAAGGTTCAGCTGATCTGCAACTGTAATTCCCTTTACCATGTGACCTAACATCCTCAGGTTCCAGGGACTAGGAAGTTGCCATCTTCTTTTTTTTTTTTTTTTTGAGACGGAGTCTCCCTCTGTCACCCAGGCTGGAGTGCAGTGGTGTGATCTCGGCTCACTGCAACCTCTGCCTCCCAGGATCAAGTGATTCTCCTGCCTCAGTCTCCTGAGTAGCTGAGACTACAGGTGCCCACCACCACGCCCAGCTAATTTTTATATTTTTAGTAGAGACGGGGTTTCGCCATGTTGGCCAGGCTAGTTTCCAACTCCTGACCTCAGGTGATCCGCCTGCCTCGGTCTCCCAAACTGCTGGGATTACAGGTGTGAGCCACGGCACCCAGCCATTTGAGGGTCCTTATTCTGTCTACCACACTGTGGGCAAGCAGGTAATGGAATGGATCTGTTGAGGGTGGGGTGACCAGACTTCTAGTGTGCTTAGAACTATCTTGGCTTCAAGCTGTCATCCTGAGGGTGATCGTACGCCCTTTTGCTCTCAAAAACATTCTGGCTTGAAGAATAAATTATATGATTACCCTAGTCACAGACTATTAGGGCAGGAAGCTCAAGCCTTCCATTTTGCAGATGAGGAAACTGAGGCAGAAAGGGGCAAGAATGTGCCCAGTGTCACACAGCTAGTAGCAGAGTTGAGACTAGAACCTAGATCTTTTGCCAGGAGGAGGACAGGTTGGTGCCCAATTCAGACTGAAATATTTCTTGCATCAAGAACACTTCCTAGAGGAAGTGGTAGGCATAGTCATCAGTGATGATAATAGTGAAGATGATAATGATGAATTTATTGCACACTTACTGTGGGCCAGGCATTGTAAATTAATGCCAAATGCTTTAGATGTATTATTTCATTTGGTCTTCACATAGGGAAACCAATTTATAGTGGTTAAGTGACCAACCAGTAGGCATTGAATCTAAGTTTCAAACTCAAATCTTTCTTATTATAAAGTGAATTATTTCCTCTGTACTTAGAGGGTTGTTGGGCTTAGGGGCCTAAGAGGATTAGAAGCTTTACTTTGGAGAAGCCCAGCTTTAGGGTAGAGATGGAGAATGATGGCGGGGTTGGGGATTTATTGAGCCTCTGAGTCTATGAGAGAATGGATATGAGGATGCAGTGGCTCAACGACTTGTGTTTAATTTCCACTGAAGACTGAAATTATGGTCACAGCAGGCGTAGATTATCTATTTATTTTTAAAGGTTTATTGTTTTCCACATCTGCTGAATGTAGAACATTTGGAAAATAACAGAAGGAAAGAGAAAATAATAACAATCATGATAATTCCATACTCCCAAAGAACCACTGATAACATTTTAGCAAATTTCCTTTCAGGGATTTTTTTTCTTTTTTTCTTTTTATCCTCTCTTTCTTTTTTTTTTTTTAACTTCCCATTCACCCAATATTACAGGGATTTTTTTTTAAATAAAGTATTTTGACTTATGAAAAAGTATAAGAATAATATGATCAACACACATGTACCCACCCTCCAGCTTAAGAAATAAGATATTCTATATATTATTGAAGTCTGGCATACCTGTTACCCAGTATATTTCCTTCCTCCCTGCCAGGAGGTCTTTCTAGGCTTTTCTCTATGCATGTTGCTTTTGCTTACTTGATGTTGCTGTGATTTTACAGTTTGATACCAGAAGAGCTCAGGAGAGACATCAGCAGGTCCCCAACCCTGGCACAGTCTAGTAGTTCCAAAATATTACCTTATAAAAAGGCAGCTTTGGACTGGCTCCACCTTCCCACATTTGGTGCTGGGTGGCCCAGTGATGTCACTCTACCCTTGGGAGTTCCTGCCCCAGCTGTGTAGCTGTGGGCCTGGTTTGGCGGGTCCCCTTGCCCTCCCTCTTCCCACCTGTCTGACCTCTGTGCTGCCTGTGCTCCCCCTCTTTCTCAGCCTCTCCCTTCCTTGTAGCTCAGCTTCTCTGCCTTGTCGCATCAATCCCCGTCTCCTCTCTGCTCCAGCTCCTCTTCTATGGGCAAGCAGCGGCCCAGGTGGAGAGAGCAACTCTACTTTCTGCCACAGGCCCTACTTCCCGAGGGTTCTAAAGCTCCCCTATCTTTCCCACCAATGCCAAGAATTCCTTCATTTCCATTTTATTCATAAAGTCATGGATTATGGGACTGGAATCACACTTAGAGCCTATGCAGCCCTTCCCCACCCCCATTTTCCAGCTGAAGAAATCGGCTGGGAGAGGACAACCCATCTGCCCCATGTCATCTGTCATCCAGAGGGGACAACAGAGCAAAACCAGAAGCCAAGGTTCTTGCCTCTTATTCCAGTGCTCCTGAGACCCCTCCCACGGGTGAGCACCCACCAGGGCTGGATGCCCCCACCCCCGCCCCTGGAAGCCTGCTTTGAGAAGACTGGGGTGTTGTGTAAGAGCGTGTGGTGTTGGTCACTGCTGCTGTTTCATCTGGAGCATATGGGATCTCCGGGGCATGGTGGGTGGGAGAAAGCCTTGCAGCTGCTTCATTCAGGGGAAGAGTGTTAGGGCTGGCGAGGTCCTAGAGATCATCCGAAGCCCACTCCTTCCAGACAGGAGGAAACAGCTGCTTGTATGGTGAGGAGGGAGACCAGTCTGGTTGATGCTTTTGAGGTCATCCTGCAAAAGGTTCTTGAATGCCAGATGAAGAATTTGATCTTCACTCAAAGGGCTGCAGATTGACGCCCAGCTCCATCAAGAACTAGTCGTGCAACCCTAGGCAAGTCACTAAACCTCCCTGAGCCACCATAGCTTCATCTGTAACACTGGATAACAATAGCATTCCATGTGCAGATGAAATGGGACAGTGCAGGGAGAGTACCCAGCCCAGAGGCTGACGCACACATTTACCCATGGTAGATGGCAGCTGTGTGACTCCCATAGATGCCCTGGGCTCACGCTGGGCTCTGTTGCCAACACCTTGAGCTGCACCTAGTTCCTTAGACCTTGCTAAGCCTCCCATCTCGACTTCATGAAGGGTCAAAGGTGAGGGGATTTATTCTCTCTAACCTGTCAAATATGGAACACATAGTCTTTTCTTATTTTTTATTATTTATGTATTTATTTTTTTGAGACAGGGTCTCACTCTGTCACCCAGGCTTGAGTGCTGTGGCATGATCATGGCTCACTGCAGCCTTTATCTCCGGGGCTCAATTGATCCTCCCACCTTGGCCTCCCAAGCAGCTGGGACTACAGGAACGTGCCACCATGCCTGGCAATTTTTTTAAAAATGTTTGTAGAGACAGGGTCTCACTATGTTGCCCAGACCGGTCTTGAACTTTTGTCCTCAAGCCATCCTCCTGCCTCGGCCTCCCAAAATGTTGGTATTACAGGCATGAGCCACTGCACCTGGCCAAGCTCATAGTCTTTTTGAAGAGATAGCTGCATACATATTGGAGATACAGTTCTTGATGGTGAGGGGTCGGCTGTGCCAGGATGGGGCTTGGGGCACTGGGAGCTCTGAGATGTGCAAGTGAGTCAGCTCTGGTCACACCACAGGATCCTCAGGGGTTAAAGCTCAAGATTCTGTTCTGGATGCCCATGCCCAGCACAGGGCCAGTCAGGGACTGACTATGAGGCAGCACCCACCAACAACCCTCTTTCAACAGCCTCACAGGCAGCCAGGGGTGCTGGGAAGACCAAAGGCCTCAGACTCAGCTTGTCCTGGGTTCTAGCCCACCTTCCCCAACTGTGACGTTGGACAAGCCTCTCAGCCACCTCCCTGAGCTCTGTTTCCTCATGATAAAGTGAGGGCAGAGGACAGCAACACCGAGCAATGGGGTTGATCTACTGATGCTGGCATTATGTATAAAACACATTGCTCAGGGCTGCCATCGAGTCAGTGCACCAAAATATGGCAGTGATTATGTGTGTGTGAATCTCATCATCTCAGACAGACTGTGAGCCCTGGGAGGGTTGTGCCGGGGCCTTGTTCTCTTGAACCCCCTCTCCACCCCCAAATGGAGTCAAGCACCCAAGGGAGACTCTCCTGTATCCATTGACCGCATGACAGAAGAATCTTTTTAACCTGAGGGAGGACAGAGGCAAGGATTTGCCATTTGGTGTTTTCGTGCAGATAAGGTCATAAATGACGAATCACTTGTAACTGGAGGCCGAGTCTCCGTGTGTTTTCCAATTTGTGATCTCATTGTATTCTCACAGCCCCCGCCTCCTGCCAACACCATGTCTTGTGGGAGGATACGGAGAAACTGGGATTGGTCTCCCCAATTTCCAGATGGGAAAATTGAGCTTGGGAGAGACTGAGTGACTTATTTAGGTCACCCTGCAGTTAATGCCATGGCTGGGGCTTCTCCCTTCCAGCCCAAGGGTTTTTGCAGGAGTCCAGTGGCATGTTTAGGTTGTTCCTGCTACAAGGAAAAGAGAGCCCCTGAGGTACTGTGGGGACAGTGAGGGAGCACAGAAGGACTTCTCCGGTGGCATGGCCTTTTGATGGCAGTGTCTACACTGCAGCCCTGCTGGCCTGGTGGCTCCTCAGTGCCCTCCAAAGTAGCAGCAGCCCTAGCTCCTTCCCCAGCCTCACGCCAGGTCTGCTGCTCTTTCCTTCACACTTGTTGGGTCTCCCACTTAAACCCCAAAGAGAAAGGATCTGTTTGCTAGACCAGTATTTTGGATGCAAGGGGCACAGACTCTCTCAGGGCACCTTGGGAGTAGTTCTGGGGGACCTGTGTGGCCTGGAACTGGGGAAGGCTCAGACACCAAGGCAGCCCTCTGTGTGCTTTGTCCCCTCCACTCCCATTGGCCCAGTGCTCTGAGCCGGCCCCAGGCCAGATCCCTGGAGGGAGCACAGTGAGTTCATCACCTCACTGGCAGACTCTTCCCAGGGGCCTCCTCAGGCTCTGGGGGCCTGTGAGCTGGGACTCTCCCCACCTCTGGCTGGTCAGTGGCCTGCGCTGGGCAAAGACCTGCCCACACTGCTTCCGTGAAAGGGAATGGGGAGCCGTTTCATGAGAACAAAATATTAGGGAAGGCATGACTGCCAACATGGTTTGTGCCCTCAGGTTAGGTTTTGACTCTACTTACCCTCAGTGTTCCAGAGCCGGGCTGCCTCACAGAGCACACGCCTCTCTTAGGTCCAGCCCAGAGATGTGGCCTTTGCTCAGGTGTGGCTAGGGTGGAAGGGTCATCTCAAAATGACAATCATATGTTCAGAGTGGCCATTTTCATCCGATGGGGCTGTGCACGGAGGGGGCCTTCTAAGGCATGGAGAGCTCTCTGTGGCAGATGGATCTCCAGAGTCTGTGAGCAGAGTGGAACAGCTGGCTACTCCCTGGGCCCAGGGTCAGGGCCCTGTCAGCCCACAAGGTGTGTGATGGATGTGGAGACTTAGGCAAGCATTGCATCATGGTGTTCTGGAAAGTTCTGGGCAGCAAGCAGGGAGGTGTAGATGCGGGGATGTGCCCCTGGGGGCATGGGGGAATAGTTGGAGTGGATGTGCAGGCTCCACCTTGAATGAACCCACTGCAGAGAAGAATTCACCGTGATGCCAGAAAAAGAGGAGAAAGGAACACAGGTCCTCACCGAGGGTGAGCCTGGGGTGTCTACAGAAAGAACTCAGATGGGCACTTCCCAGGGGTTGTTGTGAGGGACCAGCACGGACAGGTGCCCTTGAGGGAGGTCAGGTGGCTTCACATCTACTGACCACTATGCCCCTCCCCTCCAGAGACCCTGATGGAGCCTGTGTGAGGGCGGGGAGGAAGACGACCGCTCTTGCTTTATTTTCCCACTCCAGGAGTGGGCATTTGTGTGTGGTCTGATGAATTCATGAGGAGGGCTAGGGAGGACTACTAGAAGCTACCCAATAGGGAGCAGCAGGGCTTCCCCATGAGCTCTGCGAGGGCAGGGTCTACCTATGTAATGTGTCCGGGTACGCCACCGAACCCAACCAAAAGCAAGGCACTGCAGCGGAATTGCGCGTTTCCGGTCCCAGGGCCTCCAGCGCCCTCTCAGCTCTCCTCCATGGTGGCATCCGGGACAGGAGACATTCCAGGAGCACATGACTAGCCTCCTACAGGCCTGTCCCCACTGACTCGGAGGCAACCCGGGGCCTCCTGAGGCAACATGGGGAGGCTCCGGCCCCAACTTTGCTGATGACAAAGTTCCGTGAGCCTCGGGTTCCTCAGCTGTAAGCTGGGAAACTGTGTTCCATTCTGTGAATTTATGTGAATGCACAGGAGAGCTCTGTGCACACAAGTGGGTGTTGCCATTAGCCTGGAAAGCAGGGGCCTGCCTGTCCAGTTCAGCTTTGTGAACCCAGTGTGTGGCACACAGTAGGTGCTCAGTAAAGCTTTTCTCAATAAACTGACAATGAAAAAGGAGCATTCTGAGAAACATTAATTATGGTCATTCCATCAGCCCGCAGACAGGGAGGCCCAGAGGCCTGGTGGAAATGGCATGAGGCCAGCAGACCCGTGTGGAGGGACCTGGGGCAAGGCTCAACAACTTGGGCCTTAGTTTTCTCATGTGTCCAATAAAAGGGTTGGACAAGGTGAGCTTTTGGGTTCCTTCCTGGCTCTGAGGTCCTGAGGATTTGCTGTGGGGGTGACCATATGCCCACCCCCATCTGGGTCTATAATGATCATGGAACCACGCTCCTGGCCCTGCCCTCCTCCCCGCAGGCTTTCCTTCTTCGTCTTGGCACTTTCATTTGCAGGAGTTTAAATGCTGCTTTGGTCTTCTTTCATACATTTGTGTCCTTCCCCCAACCCATTTTGAGAGTTCCCTGTGGGCAGTGCTGTCTCCTCAATCCACCTTATCGCCAAGACTGTCTTCCTCCTGACATCGCACATCCTCCCTCTCCCCCTCATCAGTTTGGGACAAGCCCCATCTTCACGAGGGTCTCTCCCCTGGATCCCACCTAAGGCTGTGGCTGCCCCGTCCCCTGGGGGAAGAGGGCAGAGTGACATGTCTGCTGACAGACTGATGGCCCATGCTCCAAGGGGAGCAGGCCAGCAGCCGCAAAGGTGCAGTCTGTGCCAGGTGGGCCTTGCCAGCCAGAGCTATTTTTAGAAGCCATGTTTGCAGAGTTTGTGTTAATAGTGTCTCTGTCCAAGCTCTGGCTCCCAGGTCTTAGGGAGGGGGAGAGCCTTAGAGAAATCCTCCCTCCCGCCTTGTTCTCCTCCTCACAGGTGGCTGGGATCAGTGGGGGACTCCTATCCAGGTCGAAGCCCTCCCAGCCAGCCATCTGCAGACACAGGGCAAATAGGGGCTGGGGGGCTAGCTCGAGGGAGGAAGAGAGGCACAGAGCTGAGGCTACCAGAGAACCAGTCTCAGAAGGGAGGCAGGACCCCCAGCCACAGGACACTCCATCGGTGCCATGTCACTGGATGGACACTGTCAGCCGCCTTATCAGTCACCTCCTTAGGCAGTGAGCCTGGGCCCCCATCGGGCTTCTGTATTTCTCTGACCATGCCCACTCTCATCCCAAGACCTCCAGCCAGGCCTTGACTGAGCTCTGATCTGGAGGCACCAGAGGAAATACTCCCCAGTGCACCTTCCTGGGCCTGTTTATGAAGGGAGGGACCTGGTAGCTGAGAGGGGGGCAAGCTGATACAGTCTCGTCCTCAGGGCTCTGAGTCAGACAGAAAGGGCCAATGCCTTGAGTGCACCATTACCACTGTGATGGGTATGAAGAAGTGATGGGTGCTGGGAGGGTATAACTTGCTCTGAGCTGAGAACTGAAGGATGAGTGGGAATCTCAGTGAAAAGTGAGTGAAAGACAGAACCACAGGGTGGGTGCAAGTGCAAAGGCCACTAAGATTTGGTGATTCAATGACTATAGAAGCCAGGAGATTCTTCCAAACATGGGGGCTCCCAAGGAAGAAGCTCCTATCTTTTCTTGGTTCCCACCCATCCACAGAGACCTACTCCTCTGCCAGCACTGGCAATACTCGGACCCCACCCCCAATGCCCAGTGCAGCCCAGAAAAGGCTTTCCTTTCAGGGCAGTGCCACTCCCGCACACTGAGGGACCCTAATGGCCCAAGCTGGAAGGAAGCTCAGAGGGCCCCCACTGGTTCAGTCTAAGGCTCCGCTTCAGTACCCCGGCGATGGGAGTTCACTCTCAAAGCGCAGCTTGATAGGCAGTGAGCGGGCTCTGAGCAGGAACATTCTCCCCGATACACCCACCTCCTGTGACCCAGCTGCCCCGAACCCTGCTCTCCCTCTGCTGGACTTTAGGCCTTGCTCTTTCCTTTAAACCCGTGAGACCTTGGGCAAGGTGTTCAACCTCCCTGGGCCTCATCTGTAAAATGGGGATATTAATAGAGCCGGGAGGATGACATAAAACCAAGTGGGAGAAGCCTCGGTCCAGGCCCTGGAATACAGTAAGCGCCCAATAAGCGTTCATTCCTAGTGACACCGCTATCATCCTGTGAGAGAAAGGGAAGCTGAGGCCCTAGTGGGCAGGGCTTTGCCCAGGGTGGCCCTGGGTAGCGAGCGCGGCCGGGCGGGCGCCGTGGCCTCAGGGGCCCTCCCCGGGCTGGGCACCCCCACGCCGCCCGGGCACTGCTCGCGGCCGCGCTTTACAAGCGAAAACAAACACGGCCACAAGCAGCCCCTGTGCGACGCGGCCCCGCGCCCGCCAGCGCCGCCGCCGCCCGGTCAAAGCCGGCTTTGTGCCCGTCCCGCCGCCCCCGCGGCCCAGGCGATTTTAATTAGCGTCTGGGTCTGCGCCGGGAGATGGGAATCAAAGCCCCCGTTCTTCCAGCGCCCCCACCGCGGCCCCCACCGCGGCCCCCGCCTCTCGGATCCCCGCGGCTCCGCGCACCCCTGCTGGCAACCGCGGGAAGTGGAGCCCTCCAGGGGCAGCTGTTTGGAGTTCGAATCTCGCCTTTTACAGCAGAGGAACCTGGGGCAAGTTACTGACGCTCTGAGCCTCCGTTTCCCCATTATTAATAGCGCTAGCCGGAGCCAGCCCTTAGAGTATTGCTGGGAGGTTTACATAAGAAACAAAAGGTCAGCAGGTATTCTAGTCCTGGGGCAAGGGACAGAAAGCCTTTCTGGGGGCAGGGGGCTGCGTCTTAGGTGAGGTTGAGGAGGGGTCCCCCGGTACACAGGAAAAGGCAGCCCAGGCAGAGGCAACGGGGGAGTAAAACTCAGGTGCGTTGCCTTCTCTGGAGCTGGACCCGGGAACCCGGGCAGGGGAGGCCGACTTCCACCTGTGTGACGGGGAGCCACGGGAGGGGTTTGAGCTGGGCCGTGAGAAAGCCAGCTTTGCTTTTTGGAAAGTTCACTTGGGCTGCTGTGTAAAGGAGGGGTTGAAGGGCTGAGGCTGGAGGCAGTGACTTGATGAGGCCTGAGTTGGGCTGAGGCACCCCCAGAGGAAGGGGCAGGAGGAGGCCCTCACAGGTAAGGCTGCATCATGGGCAGCGTTCTCCCACTGAGGTTGGGATCCTTACACCCTTGAGGGTTTCTTGAAGGATACTCTGGCCCTGAGTCACCAGGGTGCTTGTTTAAAAAGGCCAGTTGATGGCCCCACCTCACATCTGCTGAATCGGAACCCTTGGGCTTGGGGCCTTGGAATCCACAGCCTCATGCTGATTCTGTTACATGAATGAGGATGAATGAGCCATAAACTAGGAAAAGTATAATCGCTGGTCCCCATACTCCCAGCACCAGGACTGAAGTGAGACATTTGTTCCCATCACTGGGCCTTGTTACCCTCACAGGCCCGCATGTCTCCCAATGGGCCTCAGTTTCCTCACTCATAAAATGGTCATGACCTCACATCAACCCTTCCTCCTAGGGATATGGGAAAATCACAGGTGCCCTTGAGTGGGAAATGCCATCAGAGGCAGGAAGACCCCTAAACAGTCCTGTCTTCCACACACTGCATTCACCCTCTTAAAGGCATTTTTGTGCATGACTGCTGCTGCTCAGCACCCTTTGAGAGCTCCCTGTGGGCAGAGGAGTGGGGTCACTGGAGTGTGGCTCCCCACTGTCTTCAGAATAAAGCTCTGACCCCTCAGCCTCGTGTTCCAAATTGGGACCTGGCTACATCTCCAGTCTCCTTTCTCAGTGCCCCCAAAACTACCCTCCACCCCTGTTCAATCCCAAACACCTGTGCTTTCCTGCAGCTTTGACTTTGCTTAACCTGTCCCCTCCTTGGAAATATACTTTCTCCCCTCCCTCTCCCCCATTTTCAAATAGCTATATGTTGTTATTTCTCTATGACTGTGCCCCACCCTGCCCCAGTAGGGGTGCTCTTTGTCTCCTGTGAACTCCTTCCGTACTCTCTAGTCCTCTGCTAAAGCACTGACTGCCTTCTACACTGGTTAAGATCTTGGGTTTTTGATGTGAAGACAATCTGGCTGTGACATCTGTCACCTCAATGATCACAGGGTTGATTTGGCCGGTCTGGCTGGCTAGGCGGGTGTCCCCTTCCTCCCTCACCACTCCAGTGCATCCCTCCTGAAGCTGCATGCTTGGTCAAAGAGGATGACCTTCCTGATACAGGAGGACCATCCCTCTGTCAAGGGTATATGAGGAGCTATGCTCCCCTACTAGAACCTCCAAACAAGCTCTAAAGATCTTGGGTCTTGGAGATTTATAAATCTAGTTTGTGGCCCTGACTCCAGTACTGTGTGACCTTGAAAAAGTTCCTTAACCTCTCTGAGCTTCCATTTCCTCCTTGTATTTTCAAGGAAATTTGGGGACATAAGGAAGGGAAAGTATTTGGAGCAGTGTCTGGGCAGTGCAGAGTAACAGATAAGAGTGCAGGCTCCTTCTTGAAAGGGGAAATGGGTGAAAAAAAAAAAAAGGAGTGCAGGCTCTGAACTACAGTGCATGGGTTTGAAACCACACTCCGCGTTCACTCACTGGCAGTATGATCTTGGGTAGCATTACTAAACTCTTCTTTGCCTCAGTTTCCTCAACTGTACAATTTGGATAATAATAGTGTGGCAGACAGACCCTAGTATGGCACCCATAATGTTCACACCCTGTATTATCCCCAGTTTTTGAGTGTGAACAAGACCTGTGATTTGCTTCTGACCGCTGGAACACGGCAAAGGTGAAGAGATTTTGCAGATGTAATTAGGGTTCCAAATTATTACATTCTGAGTTACTCAAAAGGGAGATTATGCTGAGTGGGCCTGATTTAGTCAGGGAAAATTCCTTAAAAGAGGAACTGTACCCTCCCTGGAGTCAGAGACTCTGAGTTCTGATTTTGAAGAAGTAAGCTGTTGTGCTACAAGAAGGCCTAGGAGAAGGCCACGTGGCAAGACTGTGGGTCACCTCTAGGAACTGAAAGTGGACCCTGGCTGACAGCCAGCAAGAATACCAGGGCTTCAATCCTGCAACTGCAAGGAGGTGAATTTTTCCAGCTTAAGGGAACTTGGGAGTGGATCTTTCCCCAGTCAAGCTTCTGATGAGACTGCAGCTCTAACTGATGCCTGGATTGTAGGCTGGTGAGACCCTGAAGCAGAGAACTGTCTGTTCCCAGGCTTCTGACCTACAGAAGCTGTGAGACAATAAATATGCTAAATTTGTGGTAATTTGTTACTCAGCATACAAAATTAATACAGTGTCCACCTTATAGGGTTCTAATGAAGATTAAATGGGGTCACGGAGGTAATCAAAGCCTTGGCCTAGTGCCTGGCTCATGGGAGATGCTCAGTAATTGGTAGTAATTAGCTGCCAATGCTATTATGTTTAGGATGTAGCACTTTACAAAGTTATGTTTTTAATCATCAGCTTATTAGCACGTTTGAACAAATGATAGGTTTTGCAGGCAGGAAACCTACATCTGAAACATAGCAAAATTGCTATTAGACCTTTACCTTGCTGGGCCTGTGTCTGTTAGAATGCATTAGGCTGCAAGTACAGAACACCTGACTAACAGTGGCTGTCTTAGGTTGGGATTCTTAGAAACAGAAGTTGAGATGAGAAGATGAGTTGAAAGTGATGTCTTAGGAAGTGTTTCCAAGACAAACCAGTAGTAGGGGTGTGGAGAAGTGGGAAGGGAAGAAGGCAAGGCAAGGGTGTGATTCAGGCCAAGTCCCGCAGAGGGGAGCTTGACTCAGACTTGCAGAGGAGCTCCGGAGATCGTGCAATCACTCCTCAGAGTCATCCACATCAGCACAAGGGAGCTGGAGGATTGGCACCTCCATACTCATCTGTCTGAGCTAAGGGCCACCTGGGGTGGAGCGGAGGTGGACATTGTCAGGCTCTTCTGGTTTTCCATGCTCACTGGCAAAGTGGGCTCAGGCAGCCTAAGGTCAGTGTTCTGACAAAGAGAAGCAGGTGCTGGCTGTTGGGAATGAAAGCTCACTGGAGCTGGTATGTATGACAATGGTAAAGGGATAACAGGCATTGTGATTGGGTCAATGGCAGTGCCGCTACAGTGGCATAAACTGCAAGGACATCTGTTATTTTCTTAACAAGAAATGTGGAGGTATGTGGTCTCCAGACTGCTTCAGTGTAGGTCATCAAGGTCATTGAGGACTCAGCTCAGGACAGCCTTCCTCAGCATCCTGGCTTTTATCATTCTCAGCCTCATGGCCACAAGATGGCTGCTGCAGCACCAGGGCTCATGTCCTTAACTGATAGCATTTGAGTCTGGAAGAAAAGGGAGGGCTGCAGCAAAAAAACCTTTCGCCTCACATGACCCTCCCCTACAGAAGGAAAATCTTCCCTGCTCACTCCACCAGCCCTGGTTCATGTCATCAGTGCGTGTGAAAGGGCTTTATATCCTGCGAAACACAACAATGCTAATTTTAATTGCTATTGAAATCCATGCTTTTTCTTCCCCTTTGCACTGTGAGGGGCTGTGTGTGACTCACCGTGGCTTCTGTTGATTCTGCCCTCTAAATAGCTGGCAATCCCACCCACTTCTCTCCCTCTCTGTTGCCACACCCTCATCCAGACTGCCACCATCTCTGTCACTGGTAGCTGCAATAACTTATTAATACTAACTGATTGCCCTGCTTCCATTCTTGACTCCTTCCAAGTCTTTCTCCCACAGAAGCCTCAGGGATCTTTGTAAAACACAAATCTGTCTGAGTCACTCCCCTGCTGGAAATCGTTCCAGGCTCAAAAATAGGGGAGATATTCAGAATAACTACTGATTTGGAATAGGCCCTGGGCAATCAGGATAGGCCCCAGTGTTGACAGCCCTGCCAGCCCATCCTTCCTGAATATCAGCCCTGTTCTGGTGGCCCTGGGGAAATTGACCTCTGCTGCCTCTCCAGGCTTCTCTCTAAAGCCCGTGCCCCTCACCCCCACTTCCTGCACCACCTACATCCACTGCCCGATACTACTCTCTTGCCAGGCTGAACTTTTTGCTGCTTCCCAGATGTTTAACATACAGTAGGTGCTCAATCAATGGTTGTTGAGCTCTGGAATGATCACTGCTACCATTGTTACTCCCATTACCACTGCCACCACCACCATTACTGCCTCCACCACCACCAGTACCACCCCTCCGATTTGCAGGACCCAGGCAAGAGTGCAAATGGAGACTACATATCATAATATGTAATAGATCATATGTGATATGACATGGAGTCTCCATTTGTATCCTTGCCTGTCACCACTTTTGCCTGTTGTGAGGCCTCTGACCTCCCTGTTTCCTAGGACTGAAACACGATTTCTCCACTTTCCCTGAATAATTGCTTAACGTCTCTATTTGGATGTCTCCTCATCCAGGAAGCTTCCTCTGACACCCCTCTCCCCGCTCCCTGGCCATGGGTTCTCACAGCCACCCCTGTGCCTTCTTCTGTGTTTGTCACTCTGTTGTCATTGTTTATGTCTCTCCCTCTCTAGACTGGAGACTTTTGAGGATGCAGTTGGACACAGAGGACAATTACATCCCCTGTGCTGGTAGTAGCAGGGAGCCATGGTGGTAAAGGAGGGCAGGACCACCTTTAAGCCCAGGAAAGAGGGACCCCCACCCTGGGCCATGCCCTCTGGAGGGCCCCAGTCTGACCCACTTTCAGCTGCACTCCTACCCACAGCCCAAGGGGTCCATGGGATTGAGGGTATGTGCACCCCACCTCCTCTCTAGACCACAGTGGGGACCTAGGATCCTGGAATTCTCTGCCCAAGCAGCCCTGAGTCTGCTTCTTGGACTGCACAGTCCTCTTCCCTAGGTCTGTTCTCTACACCTGAGGGATAGTTTGCTGGGGCTCTGGAAGAAATTTGGAAAAGTTCCATTTGCTTTTGCTGCATAATGAATTACCCCAGAATTTGGCAACTTAAACAACTTTTTTTTTTTCTTTCCTTTTCTTTTTTGAGACAGGATCTTGTTCTGTTGTCCAGGCTAGGGTGCACTGGCATGATCATAGCTCACTGCAGCCTTGACCTCCCAGGTTCAAGCAATCCTCCTACCTCAGCTTCCTGAATAGCTGGGACTACAGACGTGTGCCACCATGACCAGGTAACTTGTTATTTTTTGTAGAGACAGGGTCTCGCTATGTTGCCCAGGCTAGTCTTAAACTCCTGGACTCAAATGATCCTCCCGCCTCAGCTTCCCAAAGTGCTGGGTTTACAGGTGTGAGCCACCACGCCCAGCAACAACTGTTTTCTAATCCTCATGAATTCTGTGGGTCAGCAACTTGGGGATGGCATGGTGGGAATGGTTTGTCTCTGTTCCACAATGTCTGGGGTCTCAGCTGGGGAGACTCCAAGCTGGGTGCTGGATTCCTCTGGAGGGGTCTTTATGTTCATATCTGCTTATTGTTTCTGATAGTTGGCCCAGAGCTCAGCTGGGGCTGTTGAGTGGAGCATATACGTGTGTCACCTATGTCGTCTTGGCTTCCTCACAGCATGGTGGCCTCATAGTGGTTGGACTTTGTACAAGTGGCTCAGGGGTCCAAAAGCAATTATCTCTGTAAGCAAAGCAGTAGCTGCATTGCCATTTCTGACCTAGCCTTGGAAATCAGCCCTTATAATTTCTGTTTCATTCTGTTGGTACAAATGAGTCACAGCCTACTCAGATTTAAGGGGTGGGGACATGGGCCACACATGGGCTACCTCTCAATGGGAGGAGTATAAAAGCATTTGTGGACATGTTTTAAAACCACCATAGACATGCAGATTGGGGTGTCCATACGTGTGTGTACGGGACCCCTCACAGTAGAGGACGGAGGTGAAATGAGGAGAGAGGTGGGCCAACAGCTGGAAGCCAGGGGTCAAGGGTTGGCTTTCCCTGGGTTTACATATTCTGGTCAAGAATTCAGAGAAGTCAGAACATTTTAAATTTGAATTTGGCCTTCCAGGCCATTAAGAAGTTACATTTGTCAAGGCAGGAACACAAAACATATTCATGTAACAGTTTAGTTAGTTGGATTTATAACTTTTAAATATTTAGCATGTGATAGGTATTCTTCACGTGCATTCTTGCCTGGGCCCTGCAAGTGTGAGGGGTGGTCCTGGTGGTAGAGGTGGCAGTAACGGTGGTGGTGGTGGTGGTAATGGCAGTGACAGTGGTAGTGGTGATCATTCAAGGGTTGAACAACCATTTATTGAGTACCTACTATATGTCAGCAGTCAACCACATCTTACCACTGTCGCCTTTACCATCATTGTCATTCTTCCTTCCTTCAATTAGCATATATCGAATGCCTCTTGTGGGCTAGGAACCACGCTAGGGGCTGGAAGTGCAGAGATGATAACATGTGGTCTCTGGTTCCAGACACTAACTGTCCCGTGGGAGAAACGGACCACTGCAGTACAAACGTATGAGTTCCACTACTGAGGAGCAGACAATGCTGGGGCAGCCAAGGACTAGGGAGGGCTTTTCTAGGAGATCTTGAAAGATAAAATGGAGTAGTACAGGCATAAAACGGGGAAAGGCATTCCAGAAAGAGGAAACAACTTGTAAAAGGCATGGAAGAGAGGACACAGTTTCAAGAAAGTTGTAGCAGTGGCGGCCTGGGAACGGGGATCCCTTTGGTGACCACTCCCTGTGTTTGCCACCCACTCCTTTATTTTGGGGTGCTGCTCTTCCCCTACTCCAATCATGTGATGCTAGTACCTCATCCCTGACCACCCAAGACTGGCTGTATGTCACCCAATATGGACCAGTCAGAATTCCTCCCCAAAGTATTTCTATTGGAATGGGAAGGGAAGGTCCTTTGTACCTGATCTGGTTGGGAGCTCTTACAGTGTTCAACAGTGTGTAGTGTGTTGTCTTCTTCTTGAAAGAGTTGGTTGGAAAGAAGGTGTGACTATTCAGGGTCAACAGAGTTCAGAATGGAGAGGGAATGTTCTGATGGTGTCAGAGTCCATGATTCAGGTCTTTCTGGAGCCCAGATCCATCCCAACTTGGTCAGATGGTGCAGCAGGACCCTTGGGTATTGCTGGGAGATAAACCCAAGGGTTGGACTGAAAAGGCAGCAGGAGTCAGATCATGAAGGGGTGAGCGGGGGGAGATTTGGTGTCATCTTGAGGACAAAGGAAAGTCATTTAGGGAGGGGCTTAATAAGGGAGAGGCATGGTCAGATTTATGTTTTTGAAAGATCATTCTGATAGGCAAGACTTACTGGGAATGGGGAGGGGTGGGAGAGGAGAGGCTGATGGCAGGGGAGCTGGTGAGAAGGCTGATCTCACCCTTGGCCCAGTTGTCACAGGGCAGGAGAGGCCCGAACTTTGGAGTGAGACCCTATGAGTACCAATCACAGCCCCACCTCCCAGTTGCTGTTTGACTTTGGGCAAGTATGTGAGCTCTGATCTGTGCTGGAGGAAGATAAATGTGGGATTGGTGAGAGAAATCAAATTTCATGTGGTCATTAAATCAGTCTTGAGCTGGGTACCAGAGATGCAGGTTCTAATTCTAGAAAGTCTGAGAAAACGCCCTATACACAGAAACCCATGCCAACCCACCCCCTTTCCAACCTCAGCCACCTTCCTACAGCGGTTCCTGCTCATTTCCATGAACTGACTCTGATGGAGGAGGTGGCAGGCAGGGGGTGTCTTCCAGGGACCAGGGTGAGGGGAAGCAGGGTGGCTGAGCCAGCCCTAGAGAGAGATGCCATTGTGTCCAGTGGGGCCCCAGGCCATCCCTCACCCCCAGGCTAGCCCTAAACCACAGGCCACGTCCTGTTTCTCAGAAATACTGCCATTTCCCAGAGCCCAGTGTTCGTGGGGGGACAAAGGGAGTGACGTGACAGCTGCCAGAGGAGGAGG